>NC_000006.12:26423636-26726666 GCF_000001405.40 Homo sapiens
TTGGGACAACTGGAATAAACAGTGACTGCCCAGAGAACTACGATATTTGAAATCTTATTTCTTGATGAATATTCATCCTGACTTCTTTCCTGAAATGCTGTTTGCAAAGAGAGTGACTTATATGTAAGTAGAGCGTTTTATTAAAGCAAGACTTAATACAGAAGCAATATTTTTTTTGAGACATAGTCTCGCTCTGCTGCCCAGGCTGGAGTGCATTGGCACGATCTCAGCTCACTGCAGTCTTCACCTCCCAGGTTCAAGCAATTCTCCCTGCCTCAGCCTCCTGAGTAGGTGGGATTATAGGCATGCATCACCACACCTGGCATATTTTGTATTTTTAGTAGAGACAGGGTTTTGCAATGTTAACTAGGCTGGTCTCAAACTCCTGACCTCATGTGACCCGCCCATCTCGACCTCCCAAAGTGCTACGATTACAGGCGTGAGCCACTGCACCTAGCCCAGAGGCAAAATTATATTCCTGCTGACTCCACAGAGAAAGTGTAAGAATTTAGCTGGCAGGGAATAGACAAGGTTTCAACATAGAAATACATTTGAACTGGAATTTCTAGGAGTTTGCTAAAATGACATTAAGTGATTACCTCAGTCTTGGGGTTAGTTTATTGTGCTTTAAAAGATATATTTGAGGACTGAAAAAGCCCTTCAGGTGCAGGATAATCTGTGGTGGCATTTCACTCCATCAGACCAGAGGAGGTGAGGACTAGGGAATTGGGTCCTTCCCAGGGGGCCTCAAATCATAACAGGTAGGAGACCCCATCTTTGCTACTCACAAAGGCAAACTTGCATGTGATTAAAACAGAATATCATGGAAGGAGGGTTTCTTGATCTTGTGTCATGGCTGTGTTTGTAGCAGCACTGCAGGGTTGGCCAGTTATGGTTTCTGCGTGGCAGGAATCTACTCCTCCCTCTCTGTAAAACTGACACTGGCCTGGCCTTTCCCACTCTGAATTGGGCTGCTTAGGACTTTTTGTTTGTTTGTTTATTGTATTCTCTATGTTAGGTTGGTTGGCCGGCTGATTTTGCCTTTAAATCTATTTTGTCATGCTTGCCTGTATTGAACCTCATGGAATGTTTTGAAGAACTTTGTTCTCCAATTTGCTGAGTTATTTTAATTCTTATTCCACTGAGCCTTTAAATGTACAAGTAGTTTTATCTCTTGATAAAAATTAAAATGAGCCTGGGCAACATGGCAAAACCCCATCTCTTTTAAAAATATATAAAAAAAATTAGCCAGGCATGGTGGCACATGCCTGTAGTCTTAGCTACTTGGGAGGCTGAGGTGGGAGGATCACCTGAACCCAGGAAGTTCAGGCTGTGGTGAACCACGGTCATGCCACTGCACTCCAGCCCAGGTAATAGAGTGAGACTGTGTCAAAAAATAATAATAATAATTAAATTGAGCCATAGCAATAGACTAAAGTTATTGGCTTAATTTCCTGTCTTTGCCATAATTTGAAGACTTTACAAAGGAATTACTCAGAAGAAGTTTGGATGTTCACACATGGCTTAAGGGTCTCCTAGGACCATGCAGCTCTTTCATACCTGGTATTCACTTTTATTGAAGATTCATTAAACATGGATTGTAGTTAGGGTAAGTCTAGATTCTTAGGATTTTTGGTGATGATCTCTGATATTGAAAAAGTGATATGGTTATCTTAATCCCAAGAGCATCCAGATCTTTCTAATAAATCGATGTTCTCAAAGCACTATAAGAAAATTGCCCACCTGGGCAACACTTTATCTCTACAATAAAATAAAATGTTAGCCAAGCATGGTGGAACATGCCTGTAATCCTAGCTAGTTGGGAGGCTAAAGCGGGAAGATCTCTTGAGCCCAGGACTACAGGGTACAGTGAGCTATGATTTTGCCACTGCACTCCAGCCTGGACAACAGAGCTAAAACCCTGTCTAAAAAACAAAAGAGACATTGCCTAAAAGACGGATCCTCTGGGAGGTAAACAGTATGAATTAGGGTTAGAGTTGGTTTTGCAGGCTACCATGTTGAGGCTCCTAAAAACCATCACCTCCTGTGGGTGGGAGAGAGCTGTGGTTATGTGAAGCCCTAAACTAAACAGAAAAGTAAATGTCTTTAGGTCAAATGGTTGCTTAGTATTCTGCCTGCCTGGCAGATTTTTGTCCTCCTTGTTATTCAAGAGCTTCTGGAAGCTGAGGTCTACTGAGAAGTCATCCTGGGACCAGAAAGTGAAATCCAAAACCTGCCTGTTTGAAGTGGGAGTTGACAAACCCACCTTAAGTGAGAAAATTAATCTGGCAGGATAAAATGAACAAGCATTTATAGCAGACACATAGATGCTTGGTGCTGTGATGGGGCCTGTAGGTGGACCACAAAGAAAAGGGTGCAATTGGATCCTTTCCTCTTAGAGAGCTCACAGTTTGTGTGGCCAATTGGTCTGCTGGTGTTCTCCAACATCAATGTTCTTTCTTCCTTACCCTCATCCTTTTCTTCTTCCTTCCTATTTCTTGCTTCCTACTTCCCTCTTTTTTTCCTTTACTTTCTCTCTTCACAGAAGAGATGCAATAGGCACTGAGACACTGCCTTTTGGCTGTGCCCTGGTATCTCTCCCCAGGACTGGACTCTGAGCCCGTCATTGAAATGAGAGACCACGAGGACGGGGGCATCCAGCTGGAGTGCATATCTGGAGGGTGGTACCCAAAGCCCCTCACAGTGTGGAGGGACCCCTACGGTGAGGTCGTGCCTGCCCTGAAGGAGGTCTCCACCCCTGACGCAGACAGCCTCTTCATGGTCACCACAGCTGTGATCATCAGAGACAAGTCTGTGAGGAACGTGTCCTGCTCTATCAATGACACCCTGCTCGGCCAGAAGAAAGAAAGTGTCATTTTTATTCCAGGTTAGTTCTCTGCTCTCTGAGACTCATTGAGTGCATGGGGGATCCTCAGCACACAGATGGAGCCCAGAGCGGGGATGGGGGCAGCAGTGTGGGTGGAATGAATGGTTCTGGGCCCTGAGGACCTGGAGGCTGCAGCTGATATGAAGCTTCTCTAACCCCTTTTCACAAAAGGAGAATCAAAGAGTCCCAAAACTCGGGAGTAGGAGCCTCTTCTCTGAGGGCGAACCTAGTCTTTTTTTTTTTTTTCCTGCAAGATCCTTATGATGCAGCAATTTTTAAACATTGAAAACAACCATGACACATGGAGGGAGGGTGGTGTGGATAGGTGACTCTCTACACTTGGTGTTCCTGTATGCTGCAGCCATCCCTTCCTGCCCAGGGGATTTCCCAAGGGACAGAGCTGGGGAAAATCCTTATTGATACACGCTCATAATTCATTCAACAAATGCTCAAGACACTGTTCTAGAAACCAAGGGTAAATCATTGAACAAAATATATCAAGATCTCCTCCCTCAAAAAGTGATTAAATAATTGACCATATACTCTATCAGATGGTTTGAACATCTGTAGGAAACATTAAGCATGGAGGGAATAAAGAGAGGCAGGGGCATGAGATATTGCAATTATTAACAGAATGGTCAGGGAAGAATTCACTGTAAAGATGGAATTGAGTCATTCTGTCTGATGGCAAGGAACCATCAGATGCTTAAAGACTGAGCAACCCAGCTACAGGAAGAGCATATGCAAAGGGCCTGGGGAAGGAACATCTCTGGCAGTTTCCAGGACCCTCAGGAGGTGATGCTGTTGTGGCTGAAATGGAGTGAGTGCAGGAAGTGAGAGGAGATGAATTCACAGAGGCAATGAAAACACATACATGGCATCGCAAGCCACAAAAAGACTGGTTTTTAGAGCGAGTGACTTGGAAAGCATTGGAAGGATTTGAGCTAAGAATTAACATGATCTCACTTGGGCTGGTCTGCTGAGAATGGACTACCAATGGTAAGGGCAGAATAAGAAGGAAGGCACTGCAGTATTCCAGGTATGAGTGGTGGTGGCTTGAGGCAGGGTGGCGGCTGTGCTGACTCAGCATAACGGGTTAGCTTTATGTACACTGGTCCTTCCTACCGTGACTCCAGATGTTTCTGCTTTGCTACCTCTGGGCCTTGGCCCTGGAAGCCACTGAGGTGTCAGCCAGGGCTGAGCCAGCATCACTTTCTCCATCCAAGTTTTCTGAGGGAGAAACTAATAGAGCAGGAGGCTGAGGAGCTCTTGAGATGTGCTGCTAGGGGCACTCTCACCTGGATGTTCTGTTTCAAACTAAGTGGACGTTTCTGGCTTCCTTTTCAGAATCCTTTATGCCCAGCAGGTCTCCATGTGTGGTGATCCTGCCTGTTATCATGATTATTCTGATGATACCCATTGCCATATGCATCTACTGGATCAACAATCTCCAAAAGGAAAAAAAAGATTCTGTCAGGGCAAAAGGAGCTTGAACAGGAAAGGAAAGAAACTGCACTAAAGGAACTGGAGAAAGAACATGTGGAAAAAGAGAAAGAACTTCAGATAAACAGTAAAAGAGGCCAGGTATGGTGGCTCATGGCTTGAATCCCAACACTGTGGGAGGCTGAGGCAGGCGGATTACTTGAGCCCAGGAGTTCGAGACCAACCTGGGCAATAAAGTGAGACCCTGTGTCTAATTAAAAAAAAAAAAAAAAAGTAAAAGAGTAGGAGGACAGTTCACCATTATAGAAAGAACACAGCTCTCCCAGGTACCAGCATACAGAAGAGAGAGGAAATGCACAGCAGCAGCAGCAAGGACTTGGAACTCTCATGTCCTTGGAATGAATCTCTCAGAGCTTTTGTTCTTTCATTCTGCCCGCATTGCACTCATTCACCTGGCTACATGAAGTACTAAATGGTTGAGCAAAAGCAAGTGTAACAATGTACTGGTACTACCCAGCCCCTGATCATATATCATTTCTGGTTTCTGACAGTGCCCTAGGCATGAGGGAAGGGAGATGTTGCTGTTCATAGAAAGGGCTGTTCCTGCTTTGCTTACTATAAACCCGACTTCTTTTAGTTCTTCTGTTAAAGACATGATTTTGTTTCTGTTTTTCAGAGCAACTTCTGAAGAATTGCATACGTTTAGCCTTTCCTGAACTACTCCATGTACAATTTGTGTTCTGCTCATTTAGCAGCATCTCATGACATTCAACCTCTGTCTGTCCCTTGCAGGATGGAGAAGAACATTCTTACATGCTGGTGAGTGCCTCTGATGCTCCCTCAGATCTCAGCTTTCTCCCGCTAGCCAGCTAACAGGACTCCTTAGAGGAGATGAGCAAGGGGCCCAGGGCTACACAGGGATAGCAGGGAATTGGGGTCAGTTCATCAACAGTGTCCCAGCAATGATGCATCATGGCTCTTCTGTCAGAGAATCCCAGCAGCTCTCAATCCACCGTGGTTTACATCCCAGGATCCTTTCTCTTTTGGAATAATTTAATACATGATTACCAGAGGTTTCCATATATAGTAGCCTCCCCAAGACTTATGCTTCAGTGGTTTTTGCTCTTTGATTCTGGATCAGTTTGAAAGAAGACAATGCTGTCTTAGCAATTTATATACTAGGAATGATGTAGACTGTGCATAGTTGAAGGCACATGTTGGCAAGAGGCTATAAAGGTTCCCAATCAGCTTGACAGAATGGTATACAAATAACTGGCCAGAAATGCCTTTCTGCTCTTAAGAGAACACCTATACTTTGTGTATATATAGCCTGCCAGGGGAGGGGGTTCGGGTGGGTGGGAGAGCACAGAACCCAATTGCCCACTCCCAATGGGCACTTCCCATCTTATGATTGAGCCCCTCTGCCCATAAGCACCACAGAATCCAAGCTTCACCAGATACCATGGCACACGGACCCTTCCTCTTTAGGTGAATTTCAAAATTGCCACTGTCAACTTGGGACCAAATAGCAAAATGTCACAACCAGACATATTAACTTGGGGAATGGAGGAAATCATTTTAACACAATAGAAAGGTAGACTAAATAAGTAAGAATAAATGTAGATGGGGGAGGCCGGCAGAATGCCCGGAGTCTGGAGCATTTCTTGCACTGACAGGAAATGTACCTAGGTAGGCACCTACATTTCCTGTACCTACCTATATGTTCTTTCCCCAGTTCTTTTAGCAGTTTCTTTCCTTTCCTATTCAAATCCCTTTTCCCTAGACAGAATCTTTTCTTCCTTTTGGAGTTTGTTGATCTAATAGGTATACAGAAGTCATACCTGCAGACATCAGACCCATGTTGTTGAAGCAAAACTGGATGGAAATAGTTCCTCCATACCTTTGCCTACAGACCCCTCAGGCAGTAGGTTTTCTTTTGGGGACATTTATTTTTCTCCTTTATCCTCGAAGGGTGCCCTCGTCAGTCATTTAAATCAGTTGTCATCTGGTAAAAGGAACACATAGGACCAACGAAGAAACCCTTTATCCTCCAGGACAGTGTGAAGGGAAAGACTCACCTTAGTTGATCCAATGGGGAGAGGAGGAGCAGGACATAAAGCCTCTGTGCTGGTTTGAGCCAAGTTGGAAAGTTTCTAACTAAAGAAAGTCCCAGAGATCATAGGTCTTGAATAGAAAAGGGAATAGATTTTAGAATGCTAAAATTGTGAATGATTAATTTGGGCTCATTCCCCAAATTCTCTGGATTTCATAAAGCCTCAGTTCTTCTCAACCTGAGGGTGCTGCTTACTGTCTCTGGAGAGACAGAAATGCAGCTTCAGAGGCCAGGATGGTGGCTCACACCTGTAATCCCAGCACTTTGGGAGGCAGAGGTGGGAGGATCAACTGAGGTTGGGCATTCGAGACCAGCCTGACCAACATGGAGAGAAACCCTGTTTCTACTAAAAATATAAAATTAGCCAGGCACGGTGGCACATACCTGTAACCCCAGCTCCTTGGGGGGCTGAGGCAGGAGAATCACTTGAACCCGGGAGACAGAGGTTGCGGTGAGCCGAGATTGCACCACTGCACTCAGGCCTGGCAACAAGAGCAAAGCTCAGTCTCAAAAAAAAAAAAAAGTGCATCTTCAGTAATTCTCGGGTATGAGCTGCCTGGGATCAGGGGGCCTTCGTGGAAATGGCCCCTACATGGGGATCCCGCTGCAGCTTTCTGAGACCTCTCAGGGCACCAGGAACCACACAGAGTTCCTGAGACTTCCTCTGCAGCCAATGTTGTCCTGGACCAAGACACTGGTCATCCCTATCTCTTCGTGTCAGAGGACAAAAGAAGTGTGACATTGGACCCCTCCAGGGAGAGCATTCCGGGCAACCCAGAGAGATTCGACAGTCAGCTTTGTGTCCTGGGCCAGGAGAGCTTCGCCTCAGGGAAACATTACTTGGAGGTAGATGTGGAAAATGTGATTGAGTGGACTGTGGGGATCTGTAGAGACAATGTTGAGAGGAAATGGGAGGTCCCACTACTTCCTCAGAATGGCTTCTGGACCTTGGAGATGCATAAAAGGAAATACTGGGCCCTGACCTCCCTTAAGTGGATTCTCTCTCTGGAGGAGCCCCTTTGCCAGGTGGGCATCTTCCTGGACTATGAAGCTGGAGACGTCTCCTTCTACAACATGAGGGACAGATCACACATCTACACATTTCCCCATTCAGCCTTTTCTGTGCCTGTGAGGCCCTTCTTCAGCTTAGGGTCTTATGACAGCCAAATCTTAATCTGCTCTGCATTCACAGGAGCCAGTGGGGTCACGGTGCCTGAAGAGGGCTGGACACTTCACAGAGCAGGGACCCACCACAGCCCACAGAATCAGTTCCCCAGTCTCACAGCCATGGAAACAAGCCCTGGCCATCTCAGCAGCCACTGCACAATGCCTCTGGTGGAAGACACGCCCTCCTCCCCTCTGGTCACACAAGAGAACATCTTCCAGCTGCCTCTTTCACACCCACTCCAGACCTCAGCCCCTGTTCACCTCCTCATTAGGTGTGGCTTTAGTAGTTCCTTTGGTTGTAACTATGGGATGGAATCCAGGCATAGGGAACTAGTTGTTCCACAGCTCCCAGCCAGGAAGAAAGTGTGAGAAGCTGATTGGTAGTGAACCTGCTGTTTAACATCACAGTGACTACATTGAACCCAGTATGCCAGTTGGCACCAGATGCTGTGGACTTGGAATGAGGCCAAGAGGAGTCGCCAGGATGTGAGAGGAGAGAGGAATCCACAGGACCACCAGAGGGTGAGTGAACCAGATATGCAGGTCAGAGATAGACGAAGTGGAACCAGAGAGCTGGGAGGGACCAAGGTTGTAAGGGTGCTTAAGCCCCACCATAACAGCTAAGGAGTCCCAGGAGATGATGGCTCATTTCCACCCAACCCCAGGATTTCCACAGCACACACCCACAGGCCTGGACCTGGGACGAAGATGAATGAAGAATATGGACATGTGGATGTGGTTTGGCTCACGTGTCCCTGCAATAAACAAGGAGTCAGTACTCAGTCCTTGGGTGTGGTTGAGGCTTGAGGTCCTGATTGAGCAAGGCAGTACTGGACAAGGTCTACATCAGCATTCAAGTTCAATGGGGGGCACTAGTGGCTTCAAACTTCCTGGTCTAATTATGTCTTTAGACACTTAATAACTACTGAGGGCCTTGAGGAGCTCTTGTTTATTTGGGTTGATATTTGTTAATATTTATGGCATTTGACATTAAAACAGAAAATGTTAAAATGTTATTTACTAATTCATGTTAAAATATAATGAATGAACCAAATGTAGGTTAATATAAATAGAATGCTTTCTGAAAAATCAACTGTTGTGTCCAAACAAAAAAACAAGAAGTGTGACACTGGTTAACTTGTTTCAAATCTGATGTCTGGCTTAATGGAAGATGTTTGTATTCTCATATCTGCTTTTGTATTAAATCTGTTGGTATATCATACCCTACCAAGAGAATGAGATCAAAAACAACAAATGTTATATTATGATGATGATGATGATGAAAATAGTATTAAGATTGGGGACTCCTTAGGAGTATATCAGAGTTCTCCCTAGACATCCCCAGACCATGTTTGGAATAGTGGATCCTGGAAGTGAATCCATGAGCTGCTTAATTTTAGGTGTCAACTTGACTGGATTACGGAATACCTAGACAACTGGTATATTATTTCTGGATGTATTTGTGAGTGTGTTTCCAGAAGAGATTGACATGTGAGTCAGTGGGAAATTCTCCCCTCCTATTGGCTGGGGGCCCAATATAACAAAAAGGCAGAGGAAAGGCAAATTCTTCTCTCCCCTGAGACATTCTTCTTCTGCTGCTCTTGGACATCAGAACTGCTGGCTCTCGGGCCTTTGAACTTTGGGACTTGTACCAGGAAGCCCTGGGTTCTCAGGCCTTTCACTTTGGACTGAGATTTACACAATCGGCTTCCCTAGTTCTGAGGCTTTCAGACTTAAACTGAGCCATACTACCAGCATCCCAGGGTCTCCAGCCTACAGACGAGCTGTCATGGGATTTCTCAGCTTGCATAATCACATGAGCCAATTTCCCTAATAAACACCCGCTCATCATATGTATCTATATCTATATGGTATTGGTTTTGTTTCTCTGGAGAATTCTGACTAATACAATCAGGCATCTAAAATTCTGACTTGAATGGTAGTATTTTAGGTTTGAGACAATTCAATAATCCAACAGGAATGAAAAAAATTTAAATAGTCCAAAATTGTATTACTGCAGTTACAAAAAGGCACATTATTGAAAGAATCCAGAGTTGTTGCAGGAAGTCAGGGACCCCGAATGGAGGGACCAGCTGAAGCCATGGCAGAAAAACTTAAATTGTGAAAATTTCATGGACATTTATTAGTTCCCCAAATTAATACTTTTATAATTTCTTATGCCTGTCTTTACTGCAGTCTCTGAACATAAATTGTGAAGATTTCATAGACACTTATCACTTCCCCAATCAATACTCTTGTGATTTCCTATGCCTGTCTTTGCTTTAATCTCTTTATCCCTTTATCTTCATAAGCTGAGGATAAATGTCGCCTCAGGGCCCTGTGATGATTGCGTTAACTGCACAAATTGTTTAAACAATATGAAATCTGGGCACCTTGAAAAAAGAACAGGATAACAGCGATGTTCAGGGAACAAAGGAGATAACCTTAAGGTCTGGCTGCCTGTGGGCCGGGCAGAACAGAGCCATATTTTTCTTCTTTCAAAAGCAAATAGGAGAAATATTGCTGAATTCTTTTTCTCAGCAAGGAACATCCCTGAGAAAGAGAATGTGTTCCGAAGGGGAGGCCTCTGAAATGGCTGCTTTAGGAACGTCTGTCTTTTACAGTTGTAGATAAGGGATGAAAAAAGTCCCGGTCTCCCGTTGCGCTCCCAGGCTTATTAGGAAGAGGAAATTCCCTCCTAATAAATTTTGGTCAGACCGGTTGTCTGCTCTCAAACCCTGTCCCCTGATAAGATGTCATCAATGACAATGTGTGCCTGAAACTTCATTAGCAATTTTAATTTCACCCCGTCCTGTGATCTTGCCCTGCCTCCATTTGCCTTGTGATATTTTATTACCTTGTGAAGCATGTGATCTCTCTGACCCCCACCCTATTCATACACTCCCTCCCCTTTTGAAAATCACTAATAAAAACTTGCTGGTTTTGTGGCTTAGGGGGCATCACGGAACCTGCCAACATGTGATGTCTTCCCTGGACACCTAGCTTTAAAATTTCTCTCTTCGTACTCTTTCCCTTTATTTCTCAGACCAGGTGACACTTAAGGAAAATAGAAAAGAACCTATGAAGAATTATCGGGGGCGGGTTCCTCCGATACAGAGTGATTCTTTCAACCTCTGGGGTTGAGGGCCAGATCATATATGCCCCTGAAAGTCATCATGCTAACCTGGGCTTTACCTGTGAGAGGGGAGCCACTGGAAGGCTTGGCAGAAAAAAAAACTGGACTTACTTCAGATGCTAGACCAAGATGGGCTATGTGTAGGGGTGGTGGATGGAAGCCTGAAGACCCAGCTGGGAGCTACTGCAGTGATCCAGAGGGGAGATGCCGATGACTTGTACCAGGGAGGAGCCATGGAATGATCTGATGCTGGATTTATTTTCAAGACAGAGTAAAAAGGCTTTGCTGGTAAACCTAAATGTGCTGTGTGAAAAAGGAGGACATCAAGGATGACCATAAGGTTTTAATCCTAAGAAATGGTACAGATGGAGTTGCTACTTATGGAGATGAGGAAACTGAGGGAGAAGTCCATTTTGGAGGCCAGAGGAGGAGCCAGCATAGAATCCAAGGTCAGTTTTGGATACGTTCGGGTTGAGGAGCTTACTAGAGATCCCCGTGGAGATGCAGAGTAGGCAGGTCAATAATAAATGTGCATGCCAGGCACAGTGGCTCATATCTGTAATCTCAGCACATTGGGAAGCCGAGGCAGGTGGATCACCTGAGGTCAAGTGTTTGAGACCAGCCTGGCCAACATGGCGAAATCCCATCTCTACTAAAAATACAAAAATTAGATGGGTGCAGTGGCATGCGCCTGTAATCCCAACTACTCAGGAGGCTGAGATAGAAGAATCACTTGAACCTGGGAGGCGGAGGTTACAGTGAACCGAGATTGCACCACTGCACTCCAACCTGGGAGACAGAGTGAGACTCCATCTCAAAAAATAAGTAAATAAGTAAATAAATAAAATGATAGCAATAACAATTAATGTGCAGTCCAGGCAACAGGTCAGGGCTGGAAACACAAGTTATTCTTTCTGTATTCTGTATCTTCATGATTGTTGCCACTGCCTGTTTCAATTTAATGCATTAGTGATCTATTGCTGCTTAACAAATTACTGCAAACTTAGTGGTTCAAAACAGCAGACATTTGTCATTTTAGTTTCTCTGGGTCAGAAGTCCAGGCAGACCTTAGATGGCTTCTCTGCTCAGAACTTTACAAAGCAAAAGTCAAGGTGTTGGCCAGGCTGTATGTAGCCTCATCTTGTCTTGACTGTGGGAGAGTCCTCTTTTCAGATCACTCAGGTCATTAACAGAATTCATTTCTTTACAGTTGAAGGACTCCCTGCAGGCTGAAGCTGGAGGCTGCTCTAAGCTCCTACAGGCCACCTCAGCTCCTTGCTATGTGGGTCTCCAACGATGACTACTTTTGTCTTCAAAGCCAGCCAGGAAGACAGAGACTCTAGAGTGGGTCAGCTAGCAAGACAGAGTCTTACACTACATTATGTAGTCATGGAAGGGACATGCCATCAGCTTTACCATATTTTATTGGTTAGCAGTAAGCCATAGGTTCAGCTCACACTCAGGGAAAGTACAGGCTGCAAACTGCAAGAGGAGTAATCATAAGGGGTCCACTCCAGAGTCTGTAGGCTACACCATATACAAGCTCAAGGTTCTCCCACTGTAACTGCCCTGCTTCCCCTTTCCCAGGGCAATACACCACACTTGCCTTTCTCTAGGTCTCTACTTCCATGAAAGCAAAGTCTCAGAAAGAGAACACATGCATGGCCGTCAGGCACTGTTTGCCATGATGATGGCCACTGCTGTACCACACCATAAACATTGTTTTACAGTTACTAGTGGATTCCCAATCATTAAATCCATTATACATTTCTATTTTCCCCTCCCACCGCCATGCTTTTTTTTTTTTTTTTTTTAAGAGAGATAGGATCTTGCTCTGTCACCCCCCAGGCTAGAGGTCAGTGACGTGATCATAGCTGAGTGCGGCCTTGATCTCCTGGGCTCAAGTGATCCTCCTGCCTTAGCATCCCATAGTGCTGGGATTGTAGCTGTGAGACACTGGGCCTTGCTTGTCTTTATACACCTCTGTCCTTTCTTTATGGACAACCCTGAGTTCTTCATAGACCTGCCTGAGTAGGTGTTCCTGCCTATGTGGCATCTGCCTCATCAATCCCCAGGGCCCTCTTCTTGGTCTTTCCCTGCTCCTAGGGAGATCTTTCTCAGAATTCTTGCTCCACTTGCTCCAGAACTGCTGAAATTCCTTAGGCTTTGGTCCTGGGCTCTCATTTCACACCACATATACTCATATGGTCCAATCCATTTTCAGAGCAGACCCCCACTGGCACCTATCCCATAAGCAGACCCCCACTGGCACCTGTACTTCTGTCTCCAGCCCCACACATTCCCTGAACTCAGTGCCCACTAGGCATCTCACAATGAGTGTATCCAAAATAAAATTCCCATCAACCCTGCCTACCCATCATCATCTGAATGACTGACACCACCTAAGAGTCATTTTAGCCTTCTCTTGTTCTCTCTTAACCCACCACATCCGACTGATAGCCAAGCCCTGCTATTTGTACTTCCTTTCAATAGTCCAGCTTAGTGGTTTGATCAAAGACTCTGGAGTGAGACAGCCTGGGCTCAAGGCCCAGCTCAGAAAGAAACTACTTGTGTGACCTTGGGAAGTCATTTAACCTCCCTGGACCTCAGCTTTTACGTCTATAAAATGTGGGAAATAAGGTACCTCTTAGTGTTGTTGTGAATCTTGTTAATATATGTAAATCTCTAAGCACAATACTAGCATTGTAGCAGGTTCTATGTAAGTATTTCCTAGTATTAATGTGAGTAATCAATCAAGTCCCCTCTCCTCCATTGCCAAGCTGCCATCATTTCTTGCCTAGAGTGTCACAGTAGCTTCCTTTCTGGTCTCCCTATCTCCTAACGTGTGGCCCACCGGATGAGGATGGGATATATTGTGCAACCCCAGCAGGCATCATCCCATGGAATACAATGTAAAAGGTGCCCCCTACCTCCCATCTTCCCTGGCACCTGCCCCACTGCTATTTTCAGTGTACACATTTTCTCACGTCATACTTTTCAGATATTTTCCCTTCACCTTCACACTAAAACTCCAACTCACAGCAGGCAACTGTCGATGTTTTCTCCAGGGGAGGTGGATTTAGGAGTCATCAATGCAGGGATCAGAATTAAGCCTTTCAGAATGGAAGACAATGAAATTCATTTAGGGTTAATACATGCAGGTGCTGTGCTAACTCTTCCTTAAATAACTTATGGACCATGTCTCATTTCCACTATAGACAAAGAAACAGAAACATTGAGTGATTAGTTAACCAGCTTTGGGTTCCAGGGCTAATGAGTTGTGCATGACAACAGATGAAGATAGAAAAAAAAAAGCCTAGAGAGAGTAGATAGTAAGCCAGTGTGCCTGGGACATGCTGACAGATATCTAGATGTAGCATAAAGAAAATTTGTGTTCATGGGAGGTCCTAATGGCAGCAAGAGGTGAGATAACCATGAGAAATGGACATTTCTTGGTGAGACTAACTCGATAAAGGAGACAAATCTCTGGGCATTTTGCCACACCTACTGCATGCAGGACACTGCACTAGATCTTATAAAAGATAAAGAGAAGATAGCATCAAGTGCCTAGGTCTTGAAGGAGGGCTGAGTGCACTTTTCATTTAGCGTACATTCTTATGACTTACTTTTTTATCATACACTGTTGTAAGCAAACTGCATGTGTTGTCTCATTCCATGCTCACAGCAACAACTCTTAAAAGTCAAGTACTATTACTGTCATTATTTTACAGGTAGGGAAACTGGGGCACAAAGAAGTTAGAGAACTGGCCAAAGGTCACACAGGCCACCTGGCTTCAGAATTAGTGCTCTTATCCACTCTATTATGCAACCTCTCCTCACTAGTTTTGAACTTCAGTGGCTGAGACCTACTACATGGTAGGTTCTCAATAAAAATTTGTTGAATCACTGAATTCATTTCTGCCCCATTTCACATCCATTTCTTTCCCAAGACTTCTTTGTCAGAGTTCGGTATAAAGGACTGATGAGAAATGGACCCAGGGCCTCACACTTTGGAAACTACAAAGTTCAACGATACAAACTATTGGTCCCAGAAACTCCTAATCTGAAGCTTAGCACCTCAGCTGCTGTGTCAAAAATGACTTGGATCCTTCAGGCAAGGGTGGGGTGATCATTCTTACTGATATAATTTCAAGCAGCACAGCTTCTGATAGACTGTGAATTTAAAAATGAGCAAATGGGCTGGGCTCAGTGGCTCATGCCTGTAATCCCAGCACTTTGGGAGGCCGAAGCGGGCGTATCACCTGAGGTCAGGAGTTTGAGATCAGCCTGGGCAACACGGTGAAACCCAGTCTCTACTAAAAATACAAAATTAGCCGGGCATGGTGGCACATGCCTGCAATCCCAGCTACTCAGGAGGCTGAGGCAGGAGAATCGCTTGAACCTTCGGAGCCGGAGGATGCGGTGAGCCGAGATCGCACCATTGCACTCCAGCCTGGGCAACAAGAGTAAATCTCCATCTCACCAAAAAAAAAAAAAGAAAAAGAAAAGAAATAAAAATGAGCAAATGAACATTTAAATAAATAAGTATGATGGATAAATAGGGAATGAACAGTGGTATGGATTATAATAAAGTAAGAAAGTTTCGTAAAATATTAAGTATATCACTATAATCTACATGGTAGGCATATTGGTATTCACCAAAAATTCTTTCACCTTTGCTTTATGTTTTAGAAGTGTTATGGTAAACTGTTGGGAAGGAAAAGGGGGAGGGAAGAATTGTGGGATTCTGTTGGTAACAGAGACCAGAAATACCATTGGCTTAAACAAAACAAGGGTTTTCTTGTTTTTTCTTGATGTTGTTGTTTGTTTTCATGTAAAATGAATTTAGATGGCGGTAGTCCAGGGCTGACCTGGCAGCTCAGAGATGTCATTCATGCCCCAGCCTGCTTCTGACTTCATTCTCTGCTGTCTCTGCATGTGGCTTTCAACCTCAAGGTTGCCTCATGGTTCTAAGAGGGCTGCCGCACCTCTAGTTCAAAAGTCTACATCCAAGACAAGAGGAAGAAGGAAGTACGGAGAGTGTACACTCACACTCCCAGCTATCTTGGCCTCCATTCTGAAGGATCTCTGGGAGAAACACAAGCCCACAACTTTACCTACAAACTATTGATTCCAACTTAGTCCCTTGTTCTCTGGTATCTATGAGATAGCAGAGCCTATTGAAGTACCCAAGAAAATTAGGCTTTATCACCAAGAAGAAAGGGGGACTGCATGATGCAGAAGGGACCAGCCATCTCAACCAGATACTGCACAGCCTAAATTCAAACTGTTACAATATAATCAAATTTCATCAACCCCAGTCACATCTTAATCTTAGGAGTTTTGATCACTGACTTGCAAATCCAAAAAGTGTGTTTTGAGGTCCTAGGCCACAGGAAGAACCAGTTTGTCTCACAGACCTCTTACAGAGATGGCATTTGTAGTCTATCTAGATTCCAGCTTCAGATAATATGTACTCCACTGGCAGCACGAGAAATAAATACACAGGAAAATACAATATAGCACAAACCAGGAGCTGAGGGCGAATGAAGATGCTCAGAAACACCTGCACTAAAAGTTTCCTGAAAAAGGTAAAAAATGTCAATCAGCACTGCCTCTGGAAACCAGAAACATTATATTATTTGATAACAGATCCTAAGTCTGGATGCTGGAGGTGCTTAAAAATGTGCATTGCGTCTGGCTTTCTTTCCATGTATACATTTATTTGACGCTGTAGTAAAATCTCCTCCTTCAGGTACCCATATTCATGCAAGCAAATGTTAGCAAACTGCCACAGTAGCATTTTAATTAGTGCACAACTTTCTCTCTTCACCACATTATAATCTTTTCTCATTTTGTTCTGCTGCTATTTCTATTATGATAAAAGACTTAAGTAAATATGTAGAAATACTTATATACATGGACACGCAATAATGATTCAAATAGATAAACACAGAAACACAAACACTAAGGGAGGTACGGCTGGAATTTTTCTGCAACGTGTACAATTCAATGTACTTTCACTTTTCATTTCAACCCTCCTCAGTGGTTTCCTCCCAGCAACTGATGAGAAACATCACCTCTGAGCCAATCAAAAAACTAATTCTTCCAAAAAGAGATTGTTATTATTCCTCACAATAACCAGATAGCCTCTGCTTTCTTTTTCCTTTCTTCGGAATGAGAGACTCAACCATAATAGAAAGAATGGAGAACTATTAACCACCATTCTTCAGTGGGCTGTGATTTTCAGAGGGGAATACTAAGAAGTAAGTGGGGAATGTTGATTAGAGCCTGGGCTACAATGCCTGGGAGGACAAGAGCTGAATCGCTGAGAGTGGTGAGTGGGCATGCAGGGAGAGTACTTGCCCAGGGAAAGGGGTGCAGTGCCTCTGTGTGTGTGTGTGTGTGTGTGTGTGTGTGTGTGTGTGTGTGTGCGTGTGTGCGCATGGGCACCCATGCACACATGTGGGCACATGGAGAAGAGGCAAGTAGTGCAAAGAATAAAGACCTGCAGATATTGGGATTTGGTGGAAGGAGAGGGAGACAACATAAATGAAGAAATATTCCAACTGCATGTTCTTAAGAACTTATTGTGGTCAGAAAAGGGCAAAAAAGTCGCTAAAATCTGTTTTGGCCAACACAAGCCATCTATTCTAAGAGATTCTA
This sequence comes from Homo sapiens, assembly GCF_000001405.40. NCBI lineage: Eukaryota > Metazoa > Chordata > Mammalia > Primates > Hominidae > Homo > Homo sapiens. The sequence continues at coordinate 26,441,049 of NC_000006.12, forward strand.
GAAAGAGATGTGCCTTATAGATTCATATGTAAATTTGTTCATTACAGAAATACTTATAATATAGAAAAATCTGAACCAGCATACACATACAACAGGCAGGGGGTAGACAAACAGTGCGTGGCTCTATCATAAAAGAGATTTCTATGCAGCTTTTAGGCATCATGTTTTTAATGAAGGGCAATTATTTCTCATTTTAACAGCATTAGATCCATACATTAAACCTTGTTTTGTATGTTTTAGGTACAGTATCTGTTTTTCCTTCCATTAATCATTTCCTCATAACCCAATATATGTGTTTCAATGGACACAATCTATTTCATTGTGTGAATATATAATTATTTTGTAATACTTTACTAATTTTGGCTATTTCAATTATCTACATTTGGCTACTGTATAGATTTTATTATATTTAACAACCTCAGACATAAATTTTTGTCTTAATTTCTGTCTTTTTTTTTTGCCTCAACAATAATTCCTATAAGTGGAACTTTTGGGTAAAGCATACAACTTTTTTTTTTAATAGCATTTCCTTGGTAGAGCATGTAACTTTTTAAAGATGCTTGCTGTATATATGACCAAAATGCTTTGAGAAATATTTATATTTCTACTACCAAAGTATATGATTACTACTACAGAGTTTTAATTTTATTGATTGACTAATTTGTAGAAATGGGGGTCTCATTATGTTACCCAGGCTGTTTTAAACCCCTGGGCTCAAGGAATCCTCCCACCTTGACCATCCAAATTGCTAAGATTGCAGGCATGAGCCACTGAACTTTTATTCCTTTATGCTTTTCTTCATTTGCAATATTGACTATAATCAGGAAGAAAATATAAACATCCTTTAAAAAGAATGAAAACATATGTCTCACTCTAAGCAGAGCAGAGAAATTGTTAACTTTGAAACCAGTGATAATAAAAATGATACCCCTTCTATAGCAACATAAAGAGAAGTTTTGAGGAACAGAAGATGTGAAATGCAATATTTAGTCTGGGTCAGTGCAAGATCCAGGCGAGGGTGGAGGATGGCCGGCTGCACAGACCTCTGTTCCGGTGCTTTCTCTTCATCCCTCCCCACCTCCCTCTGCAGACCTTGTTCTCAGAGGCCATTCCCAGACTCAGGTAGCTACAGCAGCGGGTGTTGTGGCTGCAGGCCTCATGCTCCTTTGCTTTGGAAGAAACTGTTGAGGAGTTAGTATTTACTGAGCAGCTTATATGTTCCAGTCAGTATTATCACTCATAATAATTACTGTTAAGTAATACATGAAAAATCTTAAATTTAAAGCATTTCAATATTTTAAAAGTAAAGGGAGCAAAAGGCCAACGTGTTCTTTTGCTCACTTAACTTCCGATCTTCAGTTTAGCATGCATCTTTTTAGACTTTTTCAGGCGTTTACATCTATAAATATGCAGAAATGTATAGCTTTGTTTTTGTTTTTCAGTTGAATCATTAGTGTAGTTCTGCAACATGCTTTTTGACCGCTTAGTGTATCACCATTATCTAGGTTCATGACAATAAATCAACTCTTTTTACCTGCTGCATTGAATTCCCTCTGAGGGATGAGCCGTAGTTCCTCTAAACAGTCTCCTGTTGGGTGGCTGGTTCAGTCGGTTACCACTTTTATACTTTAAAAACAGTGCTGCAGTGTCATTCTCACAGAGGCTTCTCTCTGCACTCATGCAAGTACTTTGCTAGACTAGACATCAGAAAGTGGAATTGCTGGACCCAATTGTGCACATTCGAAATTTCACACTTCATGATATTGTATGAATCAATAAAGTTCCAATGGTTTTGTCCCATGAACAAGATCACACAGCTTGTGAATCTTAGAGCCTTTACCTATTGCTTACCTTCTTTATGTCCTTAACACTAATATAGTAGGCCTCACCCATTGTGGGTGCTCAGTAAATACTTGTTGAATGACTTTATGAAGGGAAGAAAGAAAAGATGAGTAAGGCCTGGTCTTATTCAAAGCTCTCCTAATCAATATCTTTGTGATTAAACGTGGTGGGTTCAGCCCCTGACTGACTTCAGAGCCTCTGCCAGGCAGTCTGCCTGGATCCCACCAGGAGCCACCAGGCCATAAGTTGACTGTAGTAATGGCCAAGAGTTTGATGCTTGAGGAGTCCACAGTGTTGGACACCCACAGAGCTGAACAAGGGTGGGACCAGGGAATCCAGTGAAGAGGGTCCTTCATGAATCAGAGGGGGATGATGGAAGCTTGGACCTGGCAAGGGAAGTGTGGGGAAGTGATAGGATTATGAATATTTTAATATTTTAATGCAGTAGAGTCAGAGATGTCCTGATCAGATAACAGATATTATTTTTACAGATGGTTTTCCATACTGGAACCCAAAGGTAAAGACACTCAAGGACAGACATTTTTGGCAGAGGTAAGATCTTCTTTGGTCACCATACTTGAGTTAGCCCTGGGGAAGTGGACATTTCCATGCAGAAGCCTAAAGCTTCTTCCAGGCCATAGTGTCTGTCCCACACCTTCTGGTATCTCTTGATATGCAGCATAGATGAAAATGGCAAGTTCCCTGGCTTTCCTTCTGCTCAACTTTCATGTCTCCCTCTTCTTGGTCCAGCTGCTCACTCCTTGCTCAGGTAGGGAATGATTCCATGATTCCACATTTATGTTTCTGAAGCAGACAATTATCTCAATTACCTAATTAAGCAGACAATTACCTAAATGCCCTCTTAGAACCTTTAACTCATTCCCATACCTGGAAGTCCATCCCAACCTGAAGGACCACCTGTCACAAAGAGACAAATGGTCCTTCTGTTAGGATTGTGTTCCCCTCTAGGTTCTCTGTATCTCGCCTTCCCTGTCTGAGAAGGACCCTTCCTCTCGTGACCCCAACTCCAAAACCCTCTGATGGAGCTTCCCCCTTGTGCTGACAGCTCAGTTTTCTGTGCTTGGACCCTCTGGGCCCATCCTGGCCATGGTGGGTGAAGACGCTGATCTGCCCTGTCACCTGTTCCCGACCATGAGTGCAGAGACCATGGAGCTGAGGTGGGTGAGTTCCAGCCTAAGGCAGGTGGTGAACGTGTATGCAGATGGAAAGGAAGTGGAAGACAGGCAGAGTGCACCGTATCGAGGGAGAACTTCGATTCTGCGGGATGGCATCACTGCAGGGAAGGCTGCTCTCCGAATACACAACGTCACAGCCTCTGACAGTGGAAAGTACTTGTGTTATTTCCAAGATGGTGACTTCTACGAAAAAGCCCTGGTGGAGCTGAAGGTTGCAGGTGAGCCTCCAGGTTTTGTTCTGAGAACACTTCTCTGTAGGATCTAGAGCAGATGCAGAGTCCCTCTTCCAAAAGTACTGCAGACACTCCTGGCTGCTCACTAGCAATTGTCTGCACTGCCTCCCAACTTAGCTTCTCTGCAACCCTTAAGAAAGACACATTCTTTCTTTAGAAAGAATTCCTGCTGTACCTTACATGCCGAAGTAAACAACTCCCTCCCTCTGACAACCAGAGATATAAGGGAAATGAAGGACGACGGATAGGAAACATTAGAAATCATCTCTTTAGTGACTGGTACACAGTCATTTTGGTTTAGTCATGTAACAGACGGCTTCTGTTGTGTCTCCAAGTGCACGTTACCGTGGGTCCTGGGAGGTGGAATGGTGACTGTATCTGCTGCCAGTGTTTTCCAATCAGTGACTCCCAGAAACATTTTTGTAGTATAATGAGGCATGTTTCTTACTTGTTGCTTTGAGGAAGAACACACATCATGGGGAGCTGTGGCGAGGTCTCAGTAAGGTTTTAGAGCAGATTTATTTTACAATTTGGGCTTGTGTTAGGGGATTTGGGGGAGGGTTTATAGACTTAGCTCTCTTCTCTGGATGAGATACTGTCAGGAAGGTGTGGGGAGATGAATTCTGAGAGTGGGAGCCTTAATCAAGCTTATCTAGGAGGAAGGAGACTAGGGTGAGACTAAAGCTGTAAATGATGAAGAGGCAGCAATTCCTCATTGCTGATGGGGGATGTTTGGTTATTGTTGTGGTTTGTACAATGTTCATGTTTTTCTCTGCACTCACAAAAGATTGGGGTGGTCTTGTATTTCCCATGATCTGTCACAGTGATAAAGTACTATTTTTTGTGTTCTGTGAAATTACTTATGTTCAACAGGAGGATACCAAGACCTGGTATCAGGTTCCAGACGCCGAGGAGAGCTTTTTTCTTTCTCAGTGCAATCCCTTGCCTCATGGCTTCTGGTTGGGTTTGGTTTAAGGGGAGCTGTAGCAGACAATGGTAGGAAGAAGAGAAAAGGGAGAGGTCTGGGTGCTTATTCCCTGGCTTCCTTCCTGCAAGATTCCCTCAGGCTGGCTGCATTGCCTTGCTGAAGGTCACAAGTCAACTCAAGAAAGTCCTCAATGCATCAATCTTTTTATGTCTCCGGAACAGATCCCTCTCCTCCTCCCTCTGGTAATTGGGGTGGATGGGAATAGCCCCACATTACTGACCCTGGGATACTGCACTAGCCCATTTAGTTTTCTTTTCATCATGACCACACTTGTGTAAATAGCTCCTGAATGAAATCTTCCTTGGATTATCAAATGTGAGTCTGCCATTGATTCCCATTGAGACCCTCCCTGATACAGGAGCTCTCAAGAATTTAGGGCAATTTATCCTTCTACAGCATTGGGTTCTGATCTTCACATTGAAGTGAAGGGTTATGAGGATGGAGGGATCCATCTGGAGTGCAGGTCCACTGGCTGGTACCCCCAACCCCAAATAAAGTGGAGCGACACCAAGGGAGAGAACATCCCGGCTGTGGAAGCACCTGTGGTTGCAGATGGAGTGGGCCTGTATGCAGTAGCAGCATCTGTGATCATGAGAGGCAGCTCTGGTGGGGGTGTATCCTGCATCATCAGAAATTCCCTCCTCGGCCTGGAAAAGACAGCCAGCATATCCATCGCAGGTCAGTACCCTGCTTGGCCTCAGCTTTACTGAGCTGAGCTGTGGCAGGTGATGAAGGGGGATGTGTGAGTCTCTACTGTGTGAGTCTCTGCGGTCAACCTGGGTCTCTACAATGCATGTAAGGCTCAAAGCAGGGACCTGAAGGCTACTCACTGCTTTAGGGGAGCTTCCCCACGCCACAAAGCTGTTCATGCCACAAACATTTACTGATCACTTCCTGTCTGACAGAAACAGAAAGTGTGACAGGCAGTGGGAATTGGGGAAAAACATTAAGAGAAGCTCCTTATGTAAAGTCAAATGACAAAATGGGAAAACATATATATATTTACAAACTCATAGAGAAAGAGCTAATCTTTTTGAAACAGAAGAGTTTGAAAACTGAGTAAAAAATATTAACAAAGGTCATGAATTGTTAATTCACAGGAAAAGAAATAACCCACAAAAGAGTGCTCATTCTCACTCATTAGGGAAACATATCTGAAATCATTTTTCACTTATGATATTAGCAAAAATCAAAACCCCACTGCCTTGCTTGATACCACATGGCTATGGCAGGAGTGTAGGAAGGCAGTGACTCTCAGTCATTTGCTCGTGTCACTTGTATTTTTGGTGTGCATTAGCACAAGCTCTATTGGGGGATCTATCCAAACTACATATTTATTGATCCAAAATTCCAGTTCTGGGATATGCTTGCATTTGTATGAGATGATCCATGTAAAAGGTTTCTGGGGGTTTTTTTGTTTGTTTGTTTGTATGTTTTTTGAGAGGGAGTCTCACTCTGTTGCCCAGGATGGAGTGCAATGGCGCAATCTCGGCTCACTGCAACCTCCTCCTCCTGGGTTCGAGAGAGCCTCCTGTCTCAGCCTCCCCAGTAGCTGGGATTACAAGCATGCACCACCACACCTGGATAATTTTTATATTTTTACTAGAGATGTGGTTTCACCATGTTGGCCAGGCTGGTTTCAAACTCCAGACCCCAATTGATCCGCCTGTCTCAGCCTCCCAAGGTGCTGGGATTACAAGTGTGAGTCACCAGCCCGGCCTATAAAAAGTTTCTTATAGCATTGATTATGATTGTATAAGGTTAGAAGCTATGGAGATGCTCACTGATGGTGAACTTCCATACAAGGGAATACTGCCCAACTGTGAAAGAAAAAAGAGATAATTCTCTCTACACTAATATGGAAAGATCTCCAAGACACACTTTACACAGAAGAGTGAGATGCAGAGTGATGTGTATAGAATGTTATTTTTAGTTTAAACAAGAGGAAAAATAGGAACATATTTTAATTTACTTTTTTTAGTTCTTGATTCTGTTATTTAACTTACATTTTTAAAATTTAACAAGCAATTTTGTAATACTCACTGTACATCAAGTACTTTATTTACTTATTTAGAGACAGAGTCTCACTCTGTCACCTAGGCTGGAATGCTGTGGCACAATCTTGGCTCACTGCAAGCCCCGCTTCCTGGGTTGAAGCAATTCTATAGCCTCAGCCTCCCAAGTAGTTGGGATTACAGGGACATGACACTATGCCCAGCTAATTTTTGTAATTTTAGTAAACATGGGTTTTCACCGTGTCGGCCAAGCTGGTCTCGACCTCCTGACCTCAAGTGATCTGCCTGCCTCGGCCTCACAAAGTGCTGGGATTACAGGCATGACCCACTGCAGCCCATTAGGCCCTTTTAAAGTATTAATTTAATTCTTCTAACCTCAGGAGATAGGCATTATCATTACCCTCATTTTATAGATTAGGCCACTACAAACAGAGAGGTTATGTAAGTAGTCCAACATCACACTGCTAGTCACATAGGGGAGCCAGCATTTAAACCCTTGCCCTCTGACTCCACAGTTTATGTCCCTAAGCATCATATTAAGTGGACTAAGGAAAAGTTAATAGATGGAGGGAGGGAGTACTAGGTAGATGGGAGAGTTGCATAACTTTATGTACATGAAGTTTTTGAACCATGTAAATGTGTTACTGGTTGAAAAAATATTTAGAAAAAAATGAGTATGACTCTGCTGAAGTTAATTTCCATACGAGAGGCAGACCTCTCAAGATAGTAATAGTAGTAGCTTGTAGTGAGGGTTTACCAAAGTCCTCTCTACAGTCCTCTGAGACTTTAGGGACAGAACGCTTATTTAACCTCATGAGATGGATTCCATGCCCCCAACCTGGGCTGAGCAGCTAAAGCTTGGGGTGCTGAGGCTGGGGAGGCTGAGTGCACTAGCTCCCATGACCCACAGCTCTCCCCTTCGCAGACCCCTTCTTCAGGAGCGCCCAGCCCTGGATCGCGGCCCTGGCAGGGACCCTGCCTATCTCGTTGCTGCTTCTCGCAGGAGCCAGTTACTTCTTGTGGAGACAACAGAAGGAAAAAATTGCTCTGTCCAGGGAGACAGAAAGAGAGCGAGAGATGAAAGAAATGGGATACGCTGCAACAGAGCAAGAAATAAGCCTAAGAGGTATCCAACGCAAGCAGAGAATCTAAGCCCCTGGCTTGCATGCCCCAGCCTGAAGATCTCACCCCCATTCCCACCCTGACACTGCATCAAGTTTAAGGTTTATTTTCCCAAAACCCCCCTTACCCATAACTGTTCTTTTTTTCTTTTCTTTTTTTGCTTATTTTCCAGAGAAGCTCCAGGAGGAACTCAGTAAGTTCCCATTCCCCAGGAGACCCAGGCATGTCTTCTTATCCCCACTTTGAGCACCTTGATAACCCTTCCCTATTCATTCCATTGCAGAGTGGAGGAAAATCCAGTACATGGCTCGTGAGTGACTCTGACATTTTCTCTGAATTTGAATCTTGAATCTATGACTCTCTTCTGCTTGGAAATTTTCCAGCCCATAAGTCTTTGCCCAGGGTTGAAAAATGGTCCTAGATCCCTTTACTCAGGAAAAGAAAATAAGTTTGGCTCTTTGGAGAAACCACCCAGAAGGAGTCTCTCTCTCTCGTCTATCTCTCTCTCTAAGAAAAGAAAAAGAGGTCTTCAATCTCTTTGTACTAGGGGCCACAGACCTTTATGCCCTAAAAAGCACTGAGGAATATCCAGGGGTACACTTCAAAAGGAAGAGAGAAGGATGAGGTGCATTTTCTGTGGCAGGAAACTTACTTGTTGTTTTCCATAATCTAGAGGATGTTGAAAGGAAAACAAGAATGGAAGATTTAAGAGATAAGAAAATCAGAAAAGAGAGAGGGAGACAAGTGTGTCTAATAAAGAGGAATAGCTACAGTGGCTCAGTTGGTACAGATTTATCATAACTGCTTTCAAAAACTAGTCCCTGAAATTGCTCATTAAATTTCCCAAATTCTTTTTAGAGCAAGGTAGGAAATGATACAGATTGAGAAGGGTGGATCTTGTACTCCTAGACATACACATATAGACATGGTGACACCTATGCCCAGGTACAGGAGTATAGACAGATTCAAAATAGATTAGCTGGACTCCACTGGGAAGGAACTCTCACAGTGACTGCCCTGCCACTAGCATTCAACCAATGTTCCCAGACTTGATATTAAGAAGAAGAGGTGAAGAGAGAATTGAGCTTGCAGAGTGAGACCACAGGGAAGAGTGGAATGGTCAAAAAGAAAGTCTAGATGGATGCGAAAGGAAGTGGAAGGGGCCAACAGAGCAAAGGCAGTGTTCAGGTGACACCTCTATCTTTCTTTCATTGTAGGTGGAGAGAAGTCTTTGGCCTATCATGGTGAGTGAGCCTGATGCTCTCTGGGTTTGCTGGGTCATGTACAATGAACATTTCAACTTTTTCTCTGCTGTGACCCATTGACGTTCTCAGTTGGATTAATCAGATCTAACCCTTAGACTCAATTTTGCATGGTAGGGGGTTGACTTCTGCTTTTCTGGAGCCTCTGAGAGACTCCTGACCCTGCACATGCCCAGGCAAAGCATAACCATGCAGCCTGCACCCCCCATGGCACAGGGAGCCGAGCCTGACATTGTTTAGAAGGTGCCACCTCTGATCTATCAGAGCTGTAGAGGAAGGAAGCTGAAGCCTGGAAGAGACTCTGAAGAAAAGGAGAGAAAACGTGTAGTGAAAGGAGAATGGAGTGGAGAAAAGAACAAAAATACTGACCTTTTTCTTATCTGTGTCTCCTTCCTTTCAGAATGGAAAATGGCCCTCTTCAAACCTGGTGAGTAAATCACTGTATGTTCCCTGGATCAACAACCTGAGGGACTATATTCCTTTCTCCTCCTCCAACTCTTGTGATTTAGGGAAGAAAAGTTCCCTTGACTAAGAAAGTTTGGGGTAGACAACATTAAATCCCAATCTGAAAAGTGGGCCCATCTCCAAGACCCTTCCCGCTGAGAGCCCAGGGAACCAGGGAGAATTGCTCTCTTGGGCTTCCTCAGACCTTCCTGGGAAGGAAGACACATAAAGGGTGGAGCTGAGGGGAAGGAGACACACACTGAGTGATACTGCAGGGAGAGTGAGGATGCAAATGCCAAGGAGAGGAGGTGATGCCTGCCCAAAGAACTTTGCACTTCCCAGGCTTCTCATGCCCCCTACTGCCTGTGTCACCTCAAATGATTTAATGCTTCCGAGCTTTCGCCTCCACATTTTTAAATGAAAATTGCAATCTGTGTTTTGTGGGGGTGAGGTGAAGACTGAAGTAATAATAAATATCCACTGGTCAAAAACCAAGTAAGAAAGAGATGACAAGTTCAAACTGGTTGGTTGAAAAAGGTTTGCGGAAAGGAGGGATAAGGGTAAGCAATAAGGAAAAGTGCAGTGCCCCCATGGTTCCCAACAGTGGGGAGCTGTCTTCACTCCTAGCCTGGGAGGTCTAGGAAGGGGAGGCAGTTACTGGAACCCAGAGAAAAGTAGCTCAAAAGAGAGGGCTCCCTGAGAAGAGTCGTCAGGCCTTGTTAGAGTAGCATCAGCTGCTGCTGGCAGGGAGGAAGCAGGAGAATAAACAGTGTGTCTCTCCTTTCTTTCTCCTTCCAATCTTCTATCAGGGCCTCCCATTGGCCAAACCCAACAGCAAACCAGAAGACAAGGGAGCCCAGTGGCACTATCCTTAGAGTACAGATTCCTAGGACCCAGAAGAGGGTGGAAAAAGCTGAAGGCTGGAGAGTGAATCTGGGGCCCCTCATAGAGCCCAGCATAGAGACGGCCTTGCAGCTATTAGAACATCAGGAGCTTCCTTCATGCCCTGCTGTGGGCTGAGTAAATAACATGATTCCCCTATACTACGCTAGAGAGTCATATTTTTATCCCCATTTTTCAGGTGACAAAATGCTTCAGATGAGGCTCCACCTTGTTAAATAAATTGGATGTATGGAAAAATAGACTGCAGAAAAGGGGAGCTCATTTAGTTCATAAGCGGTCGAGTGAAGATTGAAAATTAACCTCTGAGTATAAGGCATTAGGGGGCAGAGTCAATGTGGGGAGGGAAACAAGAAAAATGTAGCAAGAGGATCCTTATTGCTTCCTGAGGCAGCATCAGGGTATTGGGTTAGGCAGATACTGACCTTACTTTCATTTCCCCTCTGGACACAAGACCCCTTGAGCTTTCTCCCATGACATTGATGAGAGAGTCATATTTAGAGCAGGCTAGGGACGCCAGGTTCTGGAAGGACCTCCTTAGCATGGTCCAGGCCTTGCATGCTGAGGCTCTGAAATCCAGGAAAAATGGCTGACCCCATGGACACCTCCTCAAACTCTCTGCAGCGGATGTGATTCTGGATCCAGACACGGCAAACGCCATCCTCCTTGTTTCTGAGGACCAGAGGAGTGTGCAGCGTGCTGAAGAGCCGCGGGATCTGCCAGACAACCCTGAGAGATTTGAATGGCGTTACTGTGTCCTTGGCTGTGAAAACTTCACATCAGGGAGACATTACTGGGAGGTGGAAGTGGGGGACAGAAAAGAGTGGCATATTGGGGTATGTAGTAAGAACGTGGAGAGGAAAAAAGGTTGGGTCAAAATGACACCGGAGAACGGATACTGGACTATGGGCCTGACTGATGGGAATAAGTATCGGGCTCTCACTGAGCCCAGAACCAACCTGAAACTTCCTGAGCCTCCTAGGAAAGTGGGGATCTTCCTGGACTATGAGACTGGAGAGATCTCGTTCTATAATGCCACAGATGGATCTCATATCTACACCTTTCCGCACGCCTCTTTCTCTGAGCCTCTATATCCTGTTTTCAGAATTTTGACCTTGGAGCCCACTGCCCTGACCATTTGCCCAATACCAAAAGAAGTAGAGAGTTCCCCCGATCCTGACCTAGTGCCTGATCATTCCCTGGAGACACCACTGACCCCGGGCTTAGCTAATGAAAGTGGGGAGCCTCAGGCTGAAGTAACATCTCTGCTTCTCCCTGCCCACCCTGGAGCTGAGGTCTCCCCTTCTGCAACAACCAATCAGAACCATAAGCTACAGGCACGCACTGAAGCACTTTACTGATATTCATTCCATTATTCCATATGACAGTTGTTTTGAGTTTCGTACCACCTTATTGTCCCCTTATACAGATAAGGAAACTGGGGTGCAGAAAGGTGAATTAACTTTACAAAGTAGACATGACAAGTGAACAGCAGAGCTGGGATCTAAACAGCAATAACTAACATTAACAGAGAATTTAAAATGTTCTTAGTGCTGTGTTATAAGCTTTGGTGGATGTCACTCCTTTAATCCTCACAACACCCTGTCGGGTAGTCATATTTTGCAAGTATGGAAGCTGAGGCAGGGCAACATGAAGTAACTTACATAACTCATACAGTAATTTGTGCAGTTGGGAGATGTTCAGCCTTAGTCCCTGGCTAATTGCCTGTTCTTTTCCAGCCTGATTTTTTTTCCCACAGGAAGAGCCCACATGTAGCCCTGAGGTTTCCTTCCCAGGACAGCTGCAGGGTAGAGATCATTTTAAGTGCTTGTGGAGTTGACATCCCTATTGACTCTTTCCCAGCTGATATCAGAGACTTAGACCCAGCACTCCTTGGATTAGCTCTGCAGAGTGTCTTGGTTGAGAGAATAACCTCATAGTACCAACATGACATGTGACTTGGAAAGAGACTAGAGGCCACACTTGATAAATCATGGGGCACAGATATGTTCCCACCCAACAAATGTGATAAGTGATTGTGCAGCCAGAGCCAGCCTTCCTTCAATCAAGGTTTCCAGGCAGAGCAAATACCCTAGAGATTCTCTGTGATATAGGAAATTTGGATCAAGGAAGCTAAAAGAATTACAGGGATGTTTTTAATCCCACTATGGACTCAGTCTCCTGGAAATAGGTCTGTCCACTCCTGGTCATTGGTGGATGTTAAACCCATATTCCTTTCAACTGCTGCCTGCTAGGGAAAACTGCTCCTCATTATCATCACTATTATTGCTCACCACTGTATCCCCTCTACTTGGCAAGTGGTTGTCAAGTTCTAGTTGTTCAATAAATGTGTTAATAATGCTTACTCCTCAGCTTGGCTTTTTCTAGACTGTGGTGTCTACTCAGCACAGTAGTCTGCACACCCACTGTACTCACCACAGTCTCAGTTTACCTCACTGCAGCATTTTCACAAGACCCTTATTGGATGCATTTTCTGTTGTTGCCATCTGAATTACCAGAAATGTATAGACATTTTTTTTTTTTTGAGATTGGATTGTGCCACTGTACTCCCAGGCTGGAGTACAGTGGCACGATCTCAGCTCACTGCAACCTCCACCTCCCAGGTTGAAGTGATTCTCCTGCCTCAGCCTTCCGAGTAGCTGGGACTACAGGTGCGTGCCACCACGCCTGGCTAATTTTTTGTGTTTTCAGTGCAGACGAGGTTTCACCATGTTGTCCAGGATGGTCTCGATCTACTGACCTTGTGATCCACCCACCTCGGCCTCCCAAAGTGCTGGGATTACAGGTATGAGCCACCGCGCCTGGCTTCAGAAATTCATGAACTTAAAGCAACACAAATTTATTATCTCACTGTTCTGTAGGTGAGAAGTCAGAAGTCCCACAGGGATCTCACCAGGCTAGAATCAAGGTGTCTGCAGGCTGGATTCCTTTCTGGAGTCTCTAAGGAAGAATCTGTTTCCTTGCTTATTCAGACTATTGGCAGAATCAGTTCCTTTCATTTATAGGACTGACGTCCCAGTTGTTCCCTGGTTTTTAGCTAAGGGCTGTACCCACTTCTAGAGGCTGCCACACTCTGGCTCCTAGCTCCCTTCCTGTATCTTCAAAGCAGCAACAGCGCATTGAGGCTCATCTCCTAGGTCTTTTTCTCCATTGTGTCTCTCTGATTCTTTTACCTTCTCCTTTTTTTCCTTCCTTTCTTTTTTTTTTTTTTTTCTTCTTTGACAAGGACTCGCTCTGTCACCCAGGCTGAAGTGCAGTGGCGTGATCTCAGCTCACCACATTGTCCCCTGGGCTCAAGCAATCCACCCATCTTAGCTTCTCAAGCAGCTGGGAGCACAGAGCCACATCACCATGCCTGGGTATTTTCTTGTAGAGACAGGGTCTTGCCATGTTGCCCAGGCTGGTCTCAAACTCCTGAGCTCAAGCAATCTGCCCACCTTGGTCTCCCAAAGTGCTGGGATTATAGGCATGAGCCACCACGCTCAGTCTGCCTTTTACTTTTAAAGACTCCTATGATTAAACTGAGATCACCCAGACAATTTAGAATAATCTCTCTATTTTAAGGTCCATAACCTTAATTCTGTGTAAAATTCATTTTACTGTGTTATACATTCTTTTCATAACTTTCATAGTGAATATAGCTCAAAGGGTGGGTGCGGGGAGCACTATTCAGCTCACCACACTGATTTGGGAAGTGATTCCAGGAAACACAAGTGCAGAAACAAATTGAGAAATGAAAAAAAGCCAATTACATGACAAATGGGATAAAGGGTTCACTCATGAGTCAGTTACCATGTGGATAACTTGGCTGAATCCCTTTTAGGACTCTCTAAGAAACCATATGAAATGTGTGATATAGCTCAGAATCTTCCTAAGGACTACAGGGCCTGGGACTTTATCTCCACTTCCCATCCTCCTTTGCTTGAATTGGTTGAAGGTTGGCCTGGGAGTGTTAATTCTAATGCACTTTAAGATTGGGCTATGTAACTGCAGAAAAGCAACTATCACGGGTGTGATAAAGCTCACAGGCAAAGGAGAAGGGAGATACTCACTGGAGGTGGAAAGGTTGTCATCCTTGCAGAAAACTGTGCCTCAGCTATTGGCAAACTGTGATAGGCCAAGAGAATATGGGATGGGGCATCAACAGCGTCTGTTATAAGGGCTCTGCCTCTGAGAATATAGTGAATGCCTTTCAAGGTCTCTCTGCCCTCGCTGTACCACATTTAGCATTAGTGACCTCTTCTCTTCCAATACATGCCCACATCACATGGCCCTGCAGCCTCACCACATGGACTGGGTCTGGGATGGACACCTGACCCAGGCTAGGCCAGAGGACCAAGTGACATGTGGCTAGTTACTCCTGTAGCAGATGTGCATGGGAGCTGTGGGAAGAAATGCTCCATTCATGGTGTGGACTAAACAATGGTGGATTGCAGAGAAGACCAAAGCAGATGAGCAGAGAGAAGGCTACAAGATGGAAAGAGTTTAGGCAAATTTCTCACGTTTGGTTCTTTTAGAAGCCCAGTATCATTTCTTCTTTTTGAAAAAATGTGTTCTTTTGAGGCAAGATAAATGTACTCGTTAATATTGCTTGTAGTCCTAATATTCAGAAGCTTATGCAACTATTATAATATGTTCAGTGATTCTGTGAGTCAGGAATCTAGAATTTGAACAGGGCAGAGTAGGAATGGATTTTCTGTATGTCAACATGTCTAGGCCTCCCCTGGGAGTACTCCATAGCTGGAGATGACACAGCTATATTACCTTCACAGACTGTAGTTTATTGTAAAGCAAAAGGAAATCAATGCTTACCCTGTATCCTGGTTCTTCCAGGGTTGGCAGGTCCATAAAGAACCTTGCCAACGTGACCCTTCCTGTCTCTATCCCTCCCACTACAGAGCATGATTGGGTTAGGTTGTTACTATCTAACCGGGCACACCCCAGTAGAGCCTGATTTCTTTCTAAGCTACCCCATCGTCAACTGATCCTCTTCCTTCTCAGAACACACACGTTTCCCTCTAGCTCAGATCAACTTTGGCAGAGGCTGAAGCCTGGCTTAGCTGGATGCTTCTGGCAAAAGGGCTACTTCAAAGCCCTGGGCCTTATTTCTTCAGGTAAAAAAATATAAAGTCAGATCTCATCCTGGCTGGCCATGCTGTTAGACCCTTTCATCCTTCTCTTCTGCCTCTTCTCAACAGCTGCCCAGTCCTGTTTGGAATTCATATACATACAGTTCTAATACTGATGTATTTACCCTCATAAGCCACTCAACCCAGAATCTTATTTGAATTATAATCCAGAAACATCAGGTGACGTGTGAGACTACTGTATGAGAAAGAGACAGTTTAAGGGTCAGTCCAATGGAAAAAAGAGTTCTCAGAGCTTTCTTTAGCTTATTCTCATCAAAGAGCTTTCTCTGCAGAAGGAACCTACTGGTTCCTCCTTTCCAGTCCTAGAAATCCTGACCTAGAGTGGCTTAATCCTGCTAGCACCTCTCTCTCGCACTCTGGTGCCAAATGACTCCAGGAACTGGGCCATGATGTGGTGGGAATGACCTTACCCTGAGCATGTCACTCATGCATTGAACAACAGCTAAGAGCAGAGCTTAGAGCTTAGAGCTGGGCCCTGTAAGGTGAGAGGAATCACATCCTGCAGAAGTCTGTCCTGAGAAGCAGGTACTCCTGTCACAGCAGAGACACAGTGGATACCTGAGTAACAATAATACAAGACAGGACGTGGGAACAGCAAAAGATTTGGGTGTCAGAAGAGGCCGAGAACACTTCAGGCAGGAACATTCAGAGTTGTTCTTGGAGGAAGTAGGCACGAAGGCTGGGCAGGATTTCACGGGGCAGAGATGGAGCAAGCAATTGAAATGAAAGCCATGGCATGGGAAAAGGAGCACTGGCCACAGGGAGTGCAACGTTGTGATGCAAGGCCACTGTGGAGCCATTGCTAGCGTATTAACTGCAAAGTTTTGAATTGAATCAGAAGGGAATTGGAGGCCTCCAGACTAAGCATTTAGACACTTGAGGGGAATATTGACAACTGGGCCTCGGGAAGATTATTCTGGAAGATATCTTTACAATTACAAGATTGGAGCCTTTGGGAGAGGGATGATGTTTACGGGAGGATGGTATGTGTGCTAGTGTGTGTGTCTGTGTGTGGCTCTTGGACCCAACCTGACCACCTACTATCTAGAAGGTGAAGGACAACTAGAAAGTTTTGCTCAATTCCATCTTCTGCCACCACCAGAATGCCACCTCCCTGAGGGAAAAGGTTTTTGATCCTCAGTCAGGATTCTCAGCACCTCTTATCCGATAGCTTTGGAATGAATGGCAAGGCCTTCATAACAGCCACTGCAACTGCTGTCTCCTTTCCTTTGCTACCCCTCCCGCTCCAGCCATGCCAGCTTCCCCCAAGCCCTCCTGCGCTCCAGGCCCAACCTCCAAAGCCAGCAACTTGAACAGGAGTCCTCTGGCTTTGGAAAGGGGGCGGCTTACGTTTTCCTGCTCATGTTTCCTCCCCAGCAAAATTGCCCTCTACATAGAGAGGCCTCTCCTTGTGGACACCAGCAAAGCCACCGACCTCAGTGACAAACCCCAGGGAATCTCCCCAAGGAATCTCAAAGCGAGAGAGAGAGAGAGAGTCTTGAGAGAGAAAGAGAGAGAGAGAGAGTCTTGCTTTCGAACAAAGAAAAAGGAAATAAAAAGACCCGATAATCTCAAAAGGTTATTTGCTGCTTGAAATTTGTGATTCGGTGTATTCTACCCAGCAACTGCTGAGAAATAAGGTTCGACACCATTGGCTGGTTCACTCACACCCGGCCAATCCTGGGCTCTAAAATACTTAGGGAACTCTTGGGACTGTGGAAGCCCAGGAGACCAGATTTCGTTTCCTGCATCTCCAAACATGGCGACCTAGGAGAAGGGGAAGAACAATTTTTTCTCCTCTTTTGGGAAGGTTTGTGTCTAGTAGTGCCTGTGCCCCTGGGCAGATTGGAGAGAAGAGGGACGACTGGAGAATCGTCGAGAACCAGCGGAGAAAAGAAAAAGCAACGTTTAATTCTAGAAGGTAGGAAACGGAGGGGAGGCGCTACAGCTCCGGGGTGGGCACAGTAGGTGGGGGAAGCGGGGTCTGCTGTGGACACGAGACGGGGTCCTGGGACAGGGAAAGCCCACCGGTGGGGAGGCGCGGCCTCGCCTGTCTTTGCCTCAGGCTGCCCGGCCTGGGTCGCGGGGAGGAGGAAGTGAAGGGAGGAGGGTGTGGTAGAATCCAGCGACAACTGAAGAAACTGCATTCTGGCCAGAGAAGTGAGCCGAGGAGGGCGGAAAAAGGCCCCCTTGATCTTGGCATTGATGGCTTACTTCATGGAATGTTTAAGGAATCCCTCTCTCGGGACATACCTGAGCCTTCGGATGCAGGGGACTCCCTGAAGTTGGGGCACTGATGAGACCTACTTGAGTGACGGGAGAGGTTGGGCCCGACCAGCACTGAGGTGCCAAGACTCCTAGGCTGATTCTCCTCTGTAACCCTAGGCCTCCTGTCCCTGCCTGCTCTGGGTGCTCATGGAATCAGCTGCTGCCCTGCACTTCTCCCGGCCAGCCTCCCTCCTCCTCCTCCTCCTCAGCCTGTGTGCACTGGTCTCAGGTAGGGATGTGTGCCACTTGCTGCTGTCACCTATCAGAAAGGAACATCAACCCTGTAGTCTGCAAAGGGAAAGAAAGAAGGACTGTGGAGTTGTTGACTTACCCTTTCATTCTGAACATGTTCATTGAATTTATACCAGCACTGTCCAAAAGGAATACAGTGAGGCACAAAGGCCGAGTGCATGTACAATTGCAAATTTTCAAAAAAAATTAAATTTTACTTTTTATTTTAAAAAGTAAAAAGAAACATGAAATAAATTTGTATACTATATTTTGTTTCGCCCCAAATAATCAAATACGAATATTTAAATACTTAGTTAATATACCATATTACCAATGAGATAGTCAACATTTTGAAATTTTAAATCTTCATAATCCTGTGTGTATTTTACACTTACAGCTCATTTCAGTTGGAACTAGCTAGTGGATATGTGTCCTATTGCACGGCTCAAGTTTACAGTACACTCAGGCACAGCACTAGATTGGGAAATCGAGGAAAATCCCCTCAAGGGCACAGGGTGGACAGAGGGTGCTCAGGGCAGGTTCCTCAGGGTTTCCTTCATGAAGCAGAAGCACACTTTATAGTTACTGCTCCCAGGGGTGCTGTCGACTAGCCACAGCTACTGGTCCCCAGATTTCTCAGCCCAAAGAGACCCTATGGCCATGGAAAAAATAAGTTTGTCCCTAGAATATCTGCTTCCTTTCTTGCCTTAGAGATGTGATGGCTGGTGTCTTTGTCTGACTCTACCCCTTTGTTGAACAGCCCAGTTTATTGTCGTGGGGCCCACTGATCCCATCTTGGCCACGGTTGGAGAAAACACTACGTTACGCTGCCATCTGTCACCCGAGAAAAATGCTGAGGACATGGAGGTGCGGTGGTTCCGGTCTCAGTTCTCCCCCGCAGTGTTTGTGTATAAAGGTGGCAGAGAGAGAACAGAGGAGCAGATGGAGGAGTACCGAGGAAGAACCACCTTTGTGAGCAAAGACATCAGCAGGGGCAGCGTGGCCCTGGTCATACACAACATCACAGCCCAGGAAAACGGCACCTACCGCTGTTACTTCCAAGAAGGCAGGTCCTACGATGAGGCCATCCTGCACCTCGTAGTGGCAGGTGCGTCGCTTCATTTTGCTTTGTTACTTTGGCACAGTGTGACTTTGGGGAAAGTTTCTCTCCTAACCTCAGGCCCATTGCAGACCAGCAAATTTTTGTCTGGACTCCCTTTTCCACTCTCCCTGTGGAAACGGAATTCCAGGGAAAAATCCTTCCTCCTGCACAAGGGACACATGAGTGGGTTTGCCCTGCTAAGCTAAGGGCTTCACTTCTTGAGAAGCACATGCAGAATTCAGCTGAGGCCGTGAGCAGGGGAAAATGGTCAGTCTCGGAAGAGAAGTCTTATACCTGCCTTAGGATTGAACTGTGCACTTCTTTTGGGTTTTTTTTTTCTTTTTGAGACAGAGTCTTGCTCTGTTGTACCCTCGCTGGCACGATCTTGTCTCACTGCAACCTCTGCCTCCCAGGTTGCACTTCTGAGAGTGAGAGGAGACACTGTCAATAATTGTTCCAAGACAACTGGAATAAACTGATTACCCAGAGAACTACAACATATCAAATCTTATTTCTTGATAAATATTAATCTTTACTTCATCTTTCCCAAAATGCTGATTGCAGAGAGAGTGACTTATTGTAAATAGATGGTTTTATTAAACCAAGACGAAATACAGAAGCAAAATTATATATAGTTCCTGCTAACTCCATAGAGAAAGACTACGAATTTTGCTGGGAGGTAATAGGGAAGCCTTCCACATAAAAATGCATTTAAACTGGGATTTCTAGGAATTTGTTAAAATGACATTAAGTGATTACTTCAGTTTTGGGGTTAGTGTATTATGCTTTAAAAGATATATTTGGGCTGGGCGTGGTGGCTCATACCTGTAATACGAGCACTTTGGGAGGCAGAGGCAGGTGGATTACTTGAGGCCAGGAGTTCGAGACCAGCCTGGCCAGCATGGTGCAACCCCATCTCTACTAAAAATACAGAAACATTAGCCAGGCTTTGTGGAGTGTGCCTGTAATCTGAGCTTCTTGGGAGGCTGAGGCACAAGAATTGCTTGAACCCAGGAGGCAGAGGTTGCAGGGAGCCGAGATCTTACCACATCACTCCAGCCTGGGCGACAGAGCAAGACTCTGTATCAAAAATTAAACAACAACAAAAAAGATATATTTGAGGACTGAAAAAGCCTTTAAGGTGCAGGATAATCTGTGGTGGCATTTCACTCCATCAGACCAGACAGAGGAGGTGAGGACTAGGGAATTGGGTCTTTCCCTGGGGGCCTCAAATCATAACAGGTAGGAGACCCCATCTTTGCTACACACAAAGGCAACCTTGCATCTGATTAAAGCAGAATATCATGGAAGGAGGGTTTCTTGACCCTGCATCATGACTGTGTTCATAGCAGCACTCCAGGGTTGACCAGTTATGGTTTCTGCGCGGCAGGAATCTGCCATTCTTTGCCTATAAAACTGACAGTGGCCTGGCCTTTCCCACTCTGAATTGGATTGCTTAGGACTTTTTGTTTGTTTGTTCATTGTATTCTCTTTGTTAGGTTGGTTGGTGGCTGATTTTGCCCTTAAATCTATTTTGTCATGCTTGCCTGTATTGAACCTCATAGAATGTTTTGAAGAATTTCGTTTTCCAATTTGCTGAGTTATTTTAATTCTTATTCCACTGAGCCTTTAAATGTACAAGTAGTTTTATCTCTTGATAAAAATTAAAGTGACCCTGGGCCGAGTGCAGTGATTCATGCCTGTAATCCTAGCATTTTGGGAGGCCAAGGCGGGTGGGTCATCCGAGGTCAGGCGCTGGAGACCAGCCTGGCCAACATGGTGAAACCCTGTCTTTACTAAAATTACAAAAAGTATCCAGGCATGGTGGCACATGCCTGTAGTCCCAGCTACTTGGGAGGCTGAGGCCAGAGAATCACTTGAATTCAGGTGGCCTAGGTTGCAATGAGCTGAGATCCTACCATTTCACTCTAGCCTGGGCTACAGAGCAAGACTCTGTCTAAAAAATAAATCAATAAATAAATAAATAAATAAAAATAAGCCTGGGCAACATGGCAAAATCCAGTCTCTACAAAAAGATACAAAAAAAAAGTAGCTGGGCATGGTGGCACATGCCTGTAGTCTCAGCTACTTGGGAGGCTGAGGTGGGAGGATCACCTGACCCTCAGAAATCGAGGATGCAGTGAGCCATGATCATGCTTCTGCATTCCAGCCCAGGCGATAGAGTGAGACTGTGTCAAAAAAAAAAATTTTTTTTTATTAAATTGAGCCAAAGCACCAGACTTAAGTTATTGATTTAATTTCCTGTCTTTGGTAAAATTCTTTGGGAGACTTTACAAAGGAATTACTCAGAAGAAGTTTAGATGGTCACACATGGCTGAAAGGTCTCCCAGGACCACGCTTTTGCAGCTCTTTCATACCTGGTGTTCACTCTTATGGAAGATTCATTTAAAGATGGATTGTAGTTAGGGTGAGTCTAGTTTCTTAGGATTTTTGGTGATGATCTCTGATATTGAAAAAGTGGTATGGTTATCTTAGTCCCTGGATCATCCAGATCTTTCTAATAAGTTGATGTTCTCCAAGTACTATAAGAAAATCACCCAGCCTGGGCAACATGTTAGCCAAGAATGGTGGAAAATGCCTGTAATCCTAGCTAGTTGGGAGACTGAAGCAGGAGGATCTCTTGAGCCCAGGAGTACAAGGCACAGTGAGCTATGATTTTGCCACTGCACTCCAACCTGGACAGCAGAGCTAAAACCCTGTCCCTAAAACAACAAAAGCAATACTGCCTAATGGATGGAGCCTCTGGGAGGTAAACAGTGTGAATTAGGATTAGAGTTGGATTTGCAGGCTAGATCTGTCAAGTCTCCTAAAAACCATCACCTCCTATGGGTGGTAGAAAGCGGTGGTTATGTGAAGTTCTGAACTAGACAGAAGGGTCAATGTCTTTGGATCAAAAGGTTTCTTAGGATTCTGCCCGCCTGGCAGACTTTCGTCCTTCTCGTTATTATTCTAGAGCTTCTGGAAGCTGAGGTCTACTGAGAAGTCGTCCCAGAAGCAGAAAGTGAAATCCAAAACCTGCCTGTTTGAAGTTGGAGTCGACACACCCATCTCAAAGTGAGAAAATTAGTCTGGCAGGATAAATTGAACAAGCATTTATGGCAGACAGATAGATGCTTGGTGCTGTGATGGGGCCTATAGGTGGACCGCAAAGAAAAGGGTGCAATGGGATCCTTTCCTCTTAGAGAGCTCACAGTTTATGTGGCCCATTGGCCTGCTGGTGTTCTCCAACATCAATGTTCTTTCTTCCTTACCCTCATCCTTTTTTTCTTCCTTCCTATTTCTTGTTTCCTATCTCCCTCTTTTTTACCTTTACTTTCTAGCTTCACAGAAGAGATGCAATAGGCACAGAAGAGATGCAAAAGGCACTGACTTTTGCCTGAACCCTGATATCTCTCCACAGGACTAGGCTCTAAGCCCCTCATTTCAATGAGGGGCCATGAAGACGGGGGCATCCGGCTGGAGTGCATATCTAGAGGGTGGTACCCAAAGCCCCTCACAGTGTGGAGGGACCCCTACGGTGGGGTTGCGCCTGCCCTGAAAGAGGTCTCCATGCCTGATGCAGACGGCCTCTTCATGGTCACCACGGCTGTGATCATCAGAGACAAGTCTGTGAGGAACATGTCCTGCTCTATCAACAACACCCTGCTCGGCCAGAAGAAAGAAAGTGTCATTTTTATTCCAGGTTAGTTCTCTGCCCTCTGAGACTCGTCGAGTGCATGGGGGATCCTCAGCACACAGATGGAGCCCAGAACGGGGATGGGGGCAGCAGTGTGGGTGAAATAGTCCTGGGCCCTAAGGACCTGGAGGCTGCAGCTGAGTGAAGCCTTTCCGCTTCTCACAAAAGGAGAATCAAAGTGTCCCAAAACTCAGGAGTAGGAGCCTCTTCTCTGAGGGTAAACCTGTTTTTGTTGTTGTTGTTGTTGTTGTTGTTGTTTTTCCCCCCAATAAGGTCCTTACACTGCTGCAATTTTTTTTTAAGACAAGTTCTTGCTCTGTCACACAGGCTAGCATGCAGTGGCACAATCTTGGCTCACTGCAACCTCCTCCTCCCAGGTTCAAGCAATTCTCATACCTCAGCCTCCCGAAGGCTAGGACTACAGGCACACGCCACCACACCCGGCTAATTTTTGTATTTTTAGTAGAGATGGGGATTTCACCTTGTTGACCAGGCTGTTCTCGAACTCCTGACCTCAAGTGATCCACCTGCCTCAGCCTTCCAAAGTGCTAGGATTACAGGCGTGAGCCACCATACCCGGCCAGCAATTTTTAGACATTGAAAACAACCATAACATATGGAGGGTGGTGTGGATAAGTGACTCTCTACACTTGGTGTTCCTGTATGCTGTAGCCATCCCTTCCTGTGCAGGGGATTTTCCACAGGACAGAGCTGTGGAAATTCCCTATAGACACACACTCACAATTCATTCAACAAATGGTCAAGAAGCATATCGTATGTTCAAAACACTGTTCTACCAAGGGTAAATCATTGAACAAATTATATTAAGAACTCTTCCCTCAAAAAGTGATTAGTTAGCTAACCATATATTCTATCAGATGGTAATGAACATCTATAGGAAACATTAAGCAAGGAAGGAATAAAGAGGCAATGTGAGACATTGCAATTCTTAACAGAATGGTCAGGGAAGACTTCACTGTAAAGATGGGAATTGAGCCATCCCATCTGATGGCAAGGAGTCATCAGATGCTTAAGGACTGAACAACCCAGCTACAGGAAGAGCATATGCAAAGGGCCTGGGGAAGGAACATCTCTGGCAGTTTCCAGGACCCCCAGAAGGTGATGCTGGTGTGGCTGAAATGGAGTGAGTGCAGGAAGTGAAAGGAGATGAATTCACAGAGGCAATGAAAACACATTAAACATGGCATTGTAAGCCACAAACAGTCTTTGGTTTTTAGGGCGAGTGACGTGGAAAGCGTTGGAAGGTTTTGAGCTAAGAAGTATCATGATCACACTAGGGCTGGTCTGTTGAAAATAGACTACAGAAGGTAAGGGCAGAATAAGAAGGAGGGCACCGCAGTATTCCAGGCGTGAGTGATGGTAGCTTGAGGCAGGGTGGTGGCTGTGCCGACTCAGCATGACGGGTTAGCTTTATTCATCCTGGTCCTTCCCATGGTGACTGGTTTGCTACCTCTGGGCCTTGGCCCTGGAAGCCATTGAGGTGTCAGCCAGGTGTGAGCCAGCATCACTTTCTCCATCTGAGTTTTCTGAGGGAGAAAGCAGGAGAGCAGGTGGCTGAGGAGCTCTTCAAGTGTGCTCCTAGGGGCACTCTTACCCCAGATGTTCTGTTTCAAACTAAGTGGATATTTCTGGCTGCCTTTTCAGAATCCTTTATGCCCAGTGTGTCTCCCTGTGCAGTGGCCCTGCCTATCATTGTGGTTATTCTGATGATACCCATTGCCGTATGCATCTATTGGATCAACAAACTCCAAAAGGAAAAAAAGATTCTGTCAGGGGAAAAGGAGTTTGAACGGGAAACAAGAGAAATTGCTCTAAAGGAACTGGAGAAAGAACGTGTGCAAAAAGAGGAAGAACTTCAAGTAAAAGGTAAAAGAGGCTGAGTATGGTGGCTCATGGCTTGAATCCCAGCACTGTGGGAGGCTGAGGCAGGCAGATCACTTGAGCCCTGGAGTTCGAGACCAGCCTGGGCGATAAAGTGAGACCCTGTTTAATTAAAAAAAAAAAGAAAAGAAAAAGAGTAGAAGGACAGTTCACCACCATAGAAAGGACACAGCTCTCCCAGGTACCAGCATACAGAAGAGAGAGGAAATGCACAGCAGCAGCAAGGACTTGGAACTCTCATGTCCTTGGAATGAATCTCTCAGAGCTTTCATTCTTTCACTCTGCCCACCTTGCATTCATTCATCTGGCTACATAAAGTACTAAATGGTTGAGCAAAAGCAAGTGTAACAATGTGCTGGTACTACCCAGCCACCTGATCATACATAATTTCTGGTTTCTGACAGTGCCCTAGGCATGAGGGAAGGGAGATGTTGCTGTTCATAGAAAGGACGGTTCCTGCATTGTTTACTAAAAACCCAACTTCTTTTAGTTCTTCTGTCAAAGACATGATTTTCTTTGTTTGTTTTTCAGAGAAACTTCAAGAAGAATTGCGTAAGTTTAGCCTTTCCTTAACTACATGTACAATTTGAGTTCTGCTCAGCAACATCTCATGACATTCGTCTCTGTCTGTCCCTTGCAGGATGGAGAAGAACATTCTTACATGCTGGTGAGTGCCTCTGATGTTCCCTCAGATCTCAGCTTTCTCCACACTAGCCAGCTAACAGGACTCCTTAGAGGAGATGAGCAAGGGGCCCAGGGCAAGGTGGGGACAGCAGGGAACGGGGGTCAGTTCATCAACAGTGTCCCAGCAATGATGCATCATGTCTCTTCTGTCAGGGAATCCCAGCAGCTCTCAATCCACCCTATGGTTTACATCCCAGGATCCTTTATCTTTTGGAGTAATTTAATGCATGATTACCAGAGGTGTCCCATATATAGTAGCCTTCCTAAGAGTTACATTTCAGTAGTTGTTGTTCTTTGATCCTGGATGAATTTGAAAAAAGACAATGCTATCTTAGCAGCTTATATCCTGGGGATGGTGTAGACTGTGCCAAGTTGAAGACCCATGTAGGGAAGAGGCCAGGAGGGTCCCTAGTAAGCCTGACATAAGGGTGTACCAATAGGTGGCCAGAAATGCCTTTCTGCTCTTAAGAGAACACTAATACTTTGTGTATAGCCTGCCGTGGGAGGGATTTCAGGTGGGTGGGAGAGCACAGAACCCAATTGCCCACTCCCAGTGAGCACTTTTCATCTTATGATTCAGCCCCTCTGCCCATAAGCACCACAGAATCCAAGCTTTACCAGATACCATGGCACATGGACCTTTCCTCTTTAGGTGAATTTCAAAATTGCCACTGTCAACTTGGGACAAAATAGCAAATTGTCACAGCCAGACATATTAACTTGGGGAATGGAGGAAATCATTTTAACACAATAGAAAAGTAGACTGAATAAGTAAGAATAAATACAGATGGGAGAGGTCTGCAGAATGCCCGGAGTCTGGAGCATTTCTTGTACCTACAGAAGTGATATGTGAAGACATCAGACCCATGTTGTTGAAGCAAAACTGGATGGGAATAGTTACTCCCTACATTTGCCCACAGACCCCTCAGGCAACAGGTTTTCTTTTGGGGACATTTATTCTCCTTCTTCATTTTTTGAAGGGTGCCCTTGTTAGTCATTTAAGTCAGTTGTGATCTGGTAAAAGGAACACATAGGACCAATGAAGAGACCCTTTATCCTCCAGGACAGTGTGAAGGGAAAGACTCACCTTAGTTGATCCACCGGGGAGAGGAGGAGCAGGACATAAAGCCTTTGTGCTGGTTTAAGCCAAGTTGGAAAGTTTCTAAGTAAAGAAAATCCCAGAGATCATAGGTCTTCATTTGGGGTTTTGTTTTGTTTTGTTTTGAGATGATGTCTTGCTCTGTCACCCAGGCTGGAGTGCCATGGCACAATCTGGGCTCACTGCAACCTCTGCCTCCCGGGTTCAAGCAATTCTCGTGCCTCAGCCTCCTGAGTAGCTGGGATTACAGGTGTGCACCACCATGCCCGGCTAATTTTTGTATTTTTAGTAGAGATGGGGTTTCACCATGTTGTCCAGGCTGGTCTCGAACTCCTGACCTCAGGTGATCCACCTGCCTCAGCCTCCCAAAGTTCTGGGATTACAGGCGTGAGTCACCACGCCTGGCCAGAGATCATATGTCTTGGATAGAAAAGGGAACACATCTTAGAATGCTGAGAGAAAGTATAAGAATGATTGATTTTACTTCATTTGCTAAACTTTCCGGATTTCTTAGAGCTCCAATTCTTCTCAAACTGAGAGAACTGCTTCTGTCTCTGGAGAGACAGAAGTGCAGCTTCAGTAATTCTCAGTGTGTGAGCTGCCTAGGATCAGAGAGCCTTCATGGAAGTGGCCACTACGTGGGGATCCCTTCAGAGATATCTGAGACCTCTCTGGGGATCAGGAACCACACAATCCCCAGGGTTCCTGAGACCCCAGGCCTAAACCTGAGACTTCCTCTGCAGTTGATGTGGTCCTGGATCCAGACACCGCTCATCCCGATCTCTTCCTGTCAGAGGACCGGAGAAGTGTGAGAAGGTGCCCCTTCAGGCACCTAGGGGAGAGCGTGCCTGACAACCCAGAGAGATTCGACAGTCAGCCTTGTGTCCTAGGCCGGGAGAGCTTCGCTTCAGGGAAACATTACTGGGAGGTGGAGGTGGAAAACGTGATTGAGTGGACTGTGGGGGTCTGTAGAGACAGTGTTGAGAGGAAAGGGGAGGTCCTGCTGATTCCTCAGAATGGCTTCTGGACCTTGGAGATGCATAAAGGGCAATACCGGGCCGTGTCCTCCCCTGATAGGATTCTCCCTTTGAAGGAGTCCCTTTGCCGGGTGGGCGTCTTCCTGGACTATGAAGCTGGAGATGTCTCCTTCTACAACATGAGGGACAGATCGCACATCTACACATGTCCCCGTTCAGCCTTTTCCGTGCCTGTGAGGCCCTTCTTCAGGTTGGGGTGTGAGGACAGCCCCATCTTCATCTGCCCTGCACTCACAGGAGCCAATGGGGTCACGGTGCCTGAAGAGGGCCTGACACTTCACAGAGTGGGGACCCACCAGAGCCTATAGAATCAATTCCTTGGTCTCACAGCCATGTAGACAAGCCCTGGTCATCTCAGCAGCCACCGCACAACACCCCTGGTGGAAGACACGCCCTCCTCCCCTCTGGTCACACAAGAGAACATCTTCCAGCTGCCTCTTTCACACCCACTACAGACCTCAGCCCCAGTTTTCTCCTCCTCACTAGGCTGTGTTTTTAGTAGTTCCTTTGCTTGTAACTATGGGATGGGATCCAGGCATAGGGAACTAGTTGTTACACAGCTCCCAGCCAAGAAGAAAGTGTGAGAAGTTGATGGGCAGCAAACCTGCTGTTTAACATCAGGGTGACCACATTAAGCCCAGTATTCCAGTTGGCACCAGAAGATATGGACTTGGAATGAGGCCTACAGGGTTCACCAGGATGTAAGAGGAGAGAGGAATCCACAGGACCACCAGAGAGGAGAGGGAACCAGATATGCAGATCAGAGATAGAGGAAGTGGAACCAGAGAGCTGGGAGGGACCAAGGTTGTAAGGGTGGCTAAGTCCCACCATAACAGCTAAGGGGACCTGGGAGATGATGGCTCATTTCCACCCAGCCCCAGGATTTCCAGAGCGCACATCCACAGGCCTGGACCTGGGATGAAGATGAATGAAGAACATGGATGCACGTGGATGTAGTTTGGCTCAGGTGTCCCTGCAGTTGGCAAGGAGTCAGTACTCAGTCCCTGAGTGTGGCTGAAATTTGAGGTCCTGGCTGAGCCAAGGAGTAATGGACCAGATCTACCTCAGTATTCAAGTTCAGTGGGGACACCAGTGGCTTCAAACTTCCTGGTTTCATGATATCTTGAGACGCCTTACAAATGATGGAGGATTCCAAAGAGTTTTTGTTTATTTGGGTTAATATTTGTTGGTATTTATGGCATTTGAGATTGAAACTAAGAAATGTTTTAATTTATTACCTTTACAACATTTATTTACATTACATACATACATTTACAACATTTATTAATTTATATTAAAATAGCATGAATAAGCCAATTATAGGTTAATATAAGTAGAATGTTTGTGAAAAATAAGTATGGTATCCAAAGCAAAATAAATTTTATTGTGAAGTGTGGCATTGATTAACTTTTTCCAGATCTAATGTGTGGCTTGAAAGAATATGACTGGATTCTCATATCTGCCTTTATACTCACTCTGTTGAGATATCATAGACTATATAGGCTCAAGAAAACTTTATCCTAGTGACAGAATGAGATTAAAAACAACAAACTGTGTTTTATTATTAATATGAAAATACGATTATTAACCTTGCAGGCCCCTTAAAACAGTTCTGGTTAACTGAGACCTTGTCTCTACCAAAAACAAACAAAAAAAATTAGGTGTGGTAGCGCACGCCTGTAGTCCCTGCTTCAGGAGACTAAAAAGACTAACTCCAACTCCTTGCTTGAGCCAGGAGTTGGAGTTTGCAATGAGCTGTGATCCTGCCATTGCACTCCAGCCTAGGCAACAGAGTGAGACTCTGCCTCAAAAAACCAAAACACAGGTCGGGCACGGTGGCTCACGCCTGTAATCCCAGCACTTTAGGAAGCCGAGGTGGGTGGATCACCTGAGGTCAGGAGTTCAAGACCAGCCTGGTCAACATGGCAAAACCCCATCTCACTAAAAATACAAAAATTAGCCAGGCATGGTGGCGGGCACCTATAATCCCAGCTACTCAGGAGGCTGAGACAGGGAATCCTTGAACCCCAGTGGGGTGGAGGTTGCAGTGAGCCAAGATCGTGCTGCTTCACTCCAGCCTGGGTGAAAGAGTGAAACTCCCGTCTCAAACAAAGAGGGGGAGGGAACTTATGTCAGAGACCCCCCCCACCCCACCCCAGGAATCCTGAAACCATATTTGAGAGTTGGGATAGAGGATTCGGGAAGTAAATCAATGTGATGGTTAATTTTAGGTGTCAACTTGATTGGGTTAAGGAATACCTAGACAACTGATGGAGCATTATTTCTGGATGTGTCTCTGAGGGTGTTTCCAGGGGAGACTGGTATGTGAGTCAGTGGACTGAGTGGAAGAGATCTGCCATCAATATCTTTGGGCACCTTCCAATCAGCTGTGAGCCCAACAGAGCAAAAGGCAGAGGAAAGGTGAATTCTCTCTCTCTCTCTGTCTCTCTGGAACACTCTTCTCTTGCTCTTCAATATCACAACTCCAGGCTCTCCGGCCTTTGGTCTTTGGGACTTATACCAGTGGCCCTGAGGTTCTCAGGCCTTGGGTCTTTGGACTGAGTTACGCCATCAGCTTGGTTCTGAGGCTGTCACACTTTGACTGAGCCATGCTGCCAGAATCTCAGGGTCTCCAGCTTGCAGATGGCCCGTCATGGGATTTCTCAGGCTACATAATTGCATGAGTCAATTCCCTTAATAAATGCCCTCTCATGTCTGTATCCCCTATTGGTTCTGTCTCTCTGGAGAACCCTGACTGAAACGATCAGGCATCTAAAATGCTGGCTTAAATGATAGTGTTTTGGATTTTAGACAACTCAGTAATCCAGTTGTAAAACTGGGTTGAACAAAAAGCTTTTTAAACAGTCTGAAATTATATTACTGAAATTACAAATGACACATTATGGGAAGAATCAGGAACATATATTTAAATACCTGATTTGTTAAGGCAGAAAACAGGGTTGTTTATGTGCATGTTTTAGTCTGCCCAGACAGCTATGACAAATATACCAAGACTGAGTCGTTTATAAACAACCAAAATTTTTTTTCTTGCACTCTGGGGGCTGGGAAATGTAAGACCAAGGCACCAGCAGTTTGGTAACTGGTAAGAGCCTGCATCCTTGTTCACAGCCTTTTAAATGTGTCCTCATATGGCAAAGGAGAAAAGTAGATCTTTGGTTTTTGTCCCAAGAAACTGGAAAGATGGGCCGGGCACGGTGGCTCACGCCCGTCATCCCAGCACTTTGGGAGGCCAAGGCAGGTGGATCACTTAAGGTGAGGAGTTCGTGAACAGCCTGGCCAACATGGTAAAACCCTGTCTGTACTAAAACCCAGAAGGTGGAGGTTGCAGTGCACCACTGCACTCTAGCCTGAGTGGCAGAGTGAGACTCTCAAAAAAGAAAAGAGAGAGAAGGAAGGAAGGAAAGGAAGGAAGGAAGGAAGGAAGGAAAAGTAACTGGAAAGATGAAGTTGTTAATTTCTGAGATGGGGAAACGGAGAGACAAGGAGCAAGACGGGAGTGGTACAGAACCAAAGGTTCAGTTGTGGATACATTAAGGTTGAGGAGTCTATATTAGAGATGCACATGGAGATGCAGAGTAGTCCATTGAATAACCAAGAGTCCAGGTGAGACCTCAAGGCTGGAGATAGAGATTCCATACTCAACTTTCCTATATGTTTGAAGAGTTTCATGATACACTGTAGTGGGTAGAGGGAAGAATTGTATTTTGTTATTAATAACAGTCCTGAATATCATTGGCTTTGACAAAATGAGGACTTCTTTTCATGTCAATAAATATGGATGGTGGCCATCAAGGGCTGATCTGAGAGCTTGAAATGTCATACATGCCCCAGCTTAGTTCTGTCTTTATTTTCTTCTGTCTTAGCATGTGGCTTGCATCTTCAATGTTGCCTCATGGTCACAAAAGGGCTGCCCAGCTCCAAAGTCCATATTCTAGATAAGAGGAAGTAGAAAGTAAGGGGAGTGTAAGGGTCTACCAGCTGTTTTAGCCTCCCCTTAAATAATCTGTCTGATAAACTTCCACCCTCAAGCAATTGGCTCAAACTTAGTCCCTTGGCTTCCCCTGTCTACAAATGAGATGGACACCTTGCAATAAGAAAATGGGATTTTATTACTGAGAAAAGTAGATCTGTTATTGAACAAGCAGCCAGCCAACTCTACCACAGAGCCTAAATTCAAACTGTTGTAGTATCATTTTCTACCAGCCAAGGTTTCAGCTAAGTCCTAGGAGTTTTAATTACTTTAAGGGTCTGTTTTATAACATAAACAAATGATAGGCCTTTATATTTTATTTGTGACCCAACTAAAGTTGCAAGTGCTAGTGATACAGGATTTTTATTTGTCACTTTGCAAGCAGGGGACCTCTGGCCAGCAACACCCCACCCAAGCCTCGCTTGGCTAAACTGGCATGCCCCAGCTCACCTGTGTTATAGCTTATACCCACGTTCAGCAGTTCCTGAGCTCTTGTACCATGCCCAAGAAGAATGAGGATACACTAGACGTTGAAGGGTGAGGAGGGCTGAGAAGAATTTTATCAAGCGACTGAACAGCTCTCAGCAGAGAGGGGATGCTGGCACCCCTACCTGAAGGCAGGAAAGCTCCCCCTGTGTGGCTGGGTCCAGGCCTGTTTTATGGACTCAGAATGGGAAGTGTGTGCTGAATGGTTTGTGAGTATGCAAAAAAGGTTAAAGTGAAGACACCACTCAAAGATGGCCACAACAGTGTAAAAAAACAATTAGGAAAGTGTGGGTATATGGAAAGTAGTTGAAGGGTGGGGACCAATCAGAGGAAAGTGCACCAAACAGGAAGACAAGTTCTCAACAAGTTCTCAATTTGGGCTGAGGATTTACCTTGTAGTTTGGCTTTCAGGCTTTAAACTGTCTTCAGCTTGGAGGTGGGGTATCACTGGGGACCCATTGCTACCTGCCTAGGCATCTGACTGCCTCCTGTCTGCTATCACTAGGTCCCAAGGTTTGTAGCAAGGACCCCTTACAAAGACATCCCCCACAGTCTACCCAAAGGTTAACCTTAGAACATATTTCATTGTCAGAGTGAGAAACAAATACACATGAAAATACAGTATGGCACAAATAAGGAGCAAGAGGTGAAGAAAGCTTCAGTCACACCCAAAATAATTTTGTGAAAAATATAAAATATGCAGTTATAGACAGCACTAACTCTGGATACCAGAAAATTCTATAATTCGGTAATGGATCTGAGACCTGAATTTTGGAGGTACTAAAATAGATGCAATAGATCTAGTTTTCATTATGTTCATACTTTCATTTGGCTCTGTGGTAAAAGATGATAATATCCAAAACAAAAGATGATAATATCCTCCATGTAACAATTACATGCAAGGGGATGTCTGCAAACTGCCACAGTATCATTTTAATTAATACCTATCTTCTCTTCTTAAAATCTTTTCATTTTTCCACTCAGTTCTCCTGATATTTCTGTTATGATATAAAAGACAGCTGAATGTGAAGAAACACTGATTGTACACGTAACACACACATTAATGATTCAAATATGTAAACACAGAGAGCTGCAAACACTTTGAGAGGTAGGGCTGAAACTTTTCGTCAATGTGTACAATTCAATATCGTTTCAGTTTTCATTCTAACCGTCCCCAGTGGCTTCTGCCCAGCAACTGATGAGAAATGGTACCTCTGAGCCAATCAAAACACGAATTCCTACAAAGAGGATTCTCTTAGTGTTTCTCGGACCGAGTGTACAGCACATGCTTTCTTTTCCTTTATTCTGGATCAGAGAATCTTAACTAAAGCAGAAATAATTGTGTTAAATTAAACTAAATTTGGTATGAGATATGTATACATTTAGCCTGAGGGATGGCTCTTGAGCCCTTAAATAATGAACTGCAACCTAACTTAGTATGTAAACTAACTGAAAGCTTAAGGCATGGGAGTATACTTTTGTAACAAATAGCTGAGTCTCAGCCAATCCCAGTAGCCGAACTTCAGTCGGCGGCAGTCAACCCTGCAGCCAAGTGATCAGACTATGTTCAAATAAGGCCAACTCTGAGCTGTAACCAATTAAGCTGTTTCTGTGTGTCACTTCCCTTGTGGAATGGAGCTCACTGAACCTCTCTGATGGCTGCCCGATCGTTCTGATGGTTTGCAAATTGTTCTTTGTTCAAATTAAACCCTGCTAAATTTAATTTGTCTAAAGTTTTTATTAACAACAGAAAACTATTGATTACCTTTTTTTGTGGGCTATGATTTTCAGATAGGAATATTAAGGAGTAAGTGGGGAAAATTGCTTAGAGCCAGGGCTACAAGGCCTGGAAGAAAAGGGACTGAAAAGCTGAGAGGGGAACTGGCACAGAGAAAGGGGTGAGGATGGAGAGGGTAGAATGCAAAGAGTAAGGACCTGAAGAGGCTGAGATTTGGCTGAAGAGGGACAACCTGAATAGAGAAACCTTCCAACTGCATGTTCTTAGGAACTAATTACAGTCAGAAAGGAGCAAAGACTCCTTTTTTTTTTTTTTGTCAGAGTCTCACTGTTGCCCAGGCTGGAGTGCAGTGACACAATCTCGGCTCACTGCAGCATCCACCTTCCCAGCCAAGCAATTCTCTGGCCTCAGCCTCCGGAGTAGCTGGGAATACAGGCATACGCCACCACACCTGGCAAATTTTTTGTATTTTTAATAGAGACGGGGTTTCACCATGTTGGCCAGGCTGGCCGGCCAGGCTGGTACTGAACTCCTGACCTCAAGTGATCCACCCACCTTGGCCTCCCAAAGTGCTGTGATTACAGGCATGAGCCACTGCCCCCAGCCAGGAGACGAAAAGACTCCTAAAATATCTCCTGGTTATGTTTAGGAACATATTCCAAAAGGTTCTAAAAAGAGATGTGCCTTAAAGATTCATATGTATATTGTAAATTTTCAACTCCATATTTTCTAGATGTCCCCAACATCCCCACAACAGCCCGTCAACACCCTGCCCAGGTGACCAAGTACACCAGTGCAACAGGGCTGGTTCCTGCCTGCTTGCCCTTGCTTAACTGTGACCTAGTGACCTCCTCCCATCTTTTGATCTTTATTCCTCTAGTTCACTTCCTTTGTCACTATCTCTCCACCCACACCTACTTGCCTTAATCACCTTAACAGCAAAGGCTGAATTATTGTAAACAAAAGGAGTCTGTCTTTTTAGTGCATGGGTCCCCAAGTATGTATATATGAATATGCAATGAACCCCAGGATACTAAGCTTCACTTAAGGATTTTTTCCTACAAGGACTCAGCTGTCACATTTGGGGGCATTTTGTTTTGTTTTGTGAATGTTTAACCAAGCTAATGGAGGAACTATTGGTACAATGAACTCAAAAAATGTACAGGATCAGCAGGGCATAGTGGCTCACGCCTGTAATTTCAGCACTTTGAGAGGCTGAGTTGGGAGGATCACTTGAGCCCAAAAGTTCAAGATCAGACTGGGAAACATAGTGAGACTTCATCTCTAAAAAATTAAAATAAAATAAAATAAATACAAGGAAAAAAGAAAAATGTACTGGATTGAGGGGAAAAATTTATGATGCAAACAGAAGAGCATTTATGATTGAAGTGAGAGAAGGATAATGGGGGAGGATGGTGAAAGAACATCAATCTAAATTTATATTTAAATTTACATGAATCCAGTGCAGGCAGCATCTCAGGGGAGGGAGGAGTCTATTTTTCTGTTGATTTCCTGGGCTAAATTCCTGACTGACTCATTGCTGAAAGTAAATAACATATTATTATAGTTGAAAGATTTTTTTTTAGTGTAGTGATTTCAAACTGTGCTCATTTATATGCAACCCATGAACGCCTCCCTTCTCCTATGTCTCCTTTTGAGTTGTAGGGCCAGTTTGAAGCTTTATATATCATTTACCAAACTTAGGGTGGTGAGTGGGTGCTGATGGCAGCCTGGTTTGAAAATCTCCACTGGAGAGAAGACACAGCAGGATTCAGATGCAAATGACCAGAGCACTCCAAGTTGGAAAGAACTGCTGAGCGGGTCTGTAGAGCCCATCGCTCTCTCCTGTCTATTCATCAGCTAGGCTGAAGCTCCTGACAGACTCACACCAGTATCTTGCTGCTCCAGAAAGGTCGAAGATGGCAGTTTTCCCAAACTCCGGCTTGCCCAGATGTCTGCTCACCCTCATTCTTCTCCAGCTGCCCAAGCTGGTTTCAGATAGGTCTCTCTCTCTGGCCTGCAGAGTTAAAACATCTCAATAAATATAAAGTATAAAAAGAAGCTGGAGCCCAACCACTTCGGCACATGTTCACAGGATCTCGGGGCTGTGTCACAAGCCACTGGGCACTCATATCTGGCTGAGAATAAATCTCTTGCAATATTTTACAGAGTTTGACTCTTTTTGTTTGACAAAATAAATTCAACTCATAACTGCTGAGTTTGGGCTCTGGGCTGTGGAGTTGTCTGGAAATGGGTGCTGGGCTCCCACTGCTGCCTTTCACTCAAGGCCCCCAGATATAGCAACCATCTCTTAGTATGTAAAGATCTGATCTCAAATCATCAGGAGCTTCCAGGTTATTTCATTTTCCTTTTTTTCTCTTCTTTTCACCGATGTTTGACGTCCAGGTTATTTCTAAGGTGACAGAAAGAAGCAGAACACTTTCTTGTGCCTGATTGATCAGTTGATGTTTTGTAGGCGATAGGATTCAGATAGTAACAGTCCTCCAGTGCGTCCTTCCCACTCTCATTTTCTTCCTCCTCCTCCTCACATCTCAGCCCCAGAGGCCTATTGAAGAATTTCTATTCATTTTACAAAGAAGCTCCTGAAATTTTTATGTTAGTTTTGTCTTTTTATTTTCCTCCTTCTTCTTCTTCCTCTTTTTCTTCTTCCTCTTCTTCTTCTTCACACCACTATACAAAGGAGGAAGTTTAGTTTTGTCTTTTACTTTAAATTACACAAGATTTTTTTTTCTTTCTCTCTCTGTCTCTTTATTATTTTAAATTGTTTGTAGAGATGGAGTCTCGCTCGAACTCCTTAGTTGGCTCAAGTGATCTTCCTGCATTGGCCTCCCAAAGTGCTGGGATTACAGGTGTGAGCCACCGTACCCAGCTGATTTTCTCTTTAACCTGGCAATGACTCTTGTTTCTGTTTTATTATAGAATGGAAACTGGCTCGATCTTGTGCAGGTTAGTGGCTGGGCACTGCTCTGGGTGCTGAGATTTAACCTCTGAGGTATCCAAAGACCTAAAATAAGTGGAAATGAAAAATGCTGATACCCTTTTAGTGATGAACACAGAGATTTTAAGTTGTGGGGAAAAAAAAAAGAAAGAAAGCCTAATACTTCCTTGGAACACAGAGAGGGGCTTTGGAAGATGGCCAAGAGTCCAGCTTCCTGTGAGATTATCTCACGAGGCATTACAAGCCTGGGCACAGTCAACTCTTAACATCACCCTCTGGCTGCTGGTGACAGAGGGAGCCTGGGGGAATGGAGACCCCTTAGCAGGCCAAACAGCCCTCCCCCTGAGGAGACCTATCAACTCCTACAGCAGTGCTCTGTTTCTTAGAAGCAAAAATAGTCCTGTAACCATAACACTCACCAATGGTCAGACTTTTTGTTTCTGTCTTTCTCTCCAGTTGAAGTGACTCTGGACCCAAACATAGCCCTCCCTCACCTCTTTCTTTATTAGGATTCAAATCTGTTTGACTGGAAGATTCATGTCAGAAACTGCCTGAAAAACCAGAGAGATGTGACTCCTGGCCCTGTGTGCTAGGCCTGGAAGCCTTCACCTCGGAGAGACATTACCAGGAAGTGGAGGTGGGAGATGGGAAATAATGGTTGGTTGGAGTCTGTAGGAAGAATGTGATGAAGAAAATTCTCCTTGCTCTTAAGAATGGGATCTGGGCTGTGGAGTCATCTGTAAATGGGTACTGGGCCCTCTCCCCACTCAAGACCCTTCTCTTCTTGTCAGATCCCAGCCCCCTGGTTGAGATTTTCCTGGACTATGAAGCAGGAGGCATCTCCTTCTACAACATGAGTGACAGAACCCCTTATCTATGCTTTCCCCAAAGGCTCTTTCTCTGGCTCCCTTCAGCCTTTATTCTTCTTGTGGTCATGCGATAAAAAGCCCCTGACCACCTGCCCAATTGTTGATGGACTTTCAGGAGGTCACAGTCTTGTGAAGCCTGGGGCCTAAGGAGATTCTGTTGTCCAGAATTCAGAAAATTCTGCCTCCAGAAATACAAATATGCTCTTTTCTAAACAAGTGACAACACAATGTAGCCATAGGCTCCCTTAAGCAGCCACCTCATGTCAACTAATAGTCTTTGCTCTCTAGCCTCTCTCCTCCAAAGTCCATTTCGTCTCCTGAGGCTTCAGCTATTACTGTCAGACCCTCAGTTACTTCTGATGAACAGGGATTAGGCTTGAGAAAATGGAGATGCATTTAGATTGGCAGATATGGGGGACTTCTTAATGTGCTTTTATTGCTGCCTTATCTCTGAAAACAGGTTCTGGGAGTTTGGGAATAAGTCTGAGGGCATATAAAGGATTGAGACTGAGTGACTTAGGAGTGTGAGAGGAAATATCTTGATGTTGAGAACAGGGTTGATGTGGAGGGGTATTCTCTGTGTTATGCATGTAAAAAGAAAAAAAGGAAAAAAAAATCATTACTGGGAAAGAAAACACCCCAAGCTGAAGTCCAAGAAAGGTACACAGAGGAAACACAGAAACAGTTGTGTTAGCAGAAGATGACATGAAACCCAGCTGACAGTGAAATTAGGAAGTTGCCTTGGAATTTCAAGAACTTGCATTCTCAAGTTTATGGTTCTGTGTCCAACAGAGCAGCAAAATCCAGCACTTCTTCTTTTGAGTCTCCATATCGTGCTAACAGAAAGACAAGGGGTCGGGAGATGCAGAGATGAGGAGGAGCTCAAGAGTGACAGTGTTGAAGAGATTCTGAGCAGAACTCCACAGTGATCTGTGTAACTGATATCCAACCCTGATCCCTCCATCGTCTGCCTGTCCAACCCTTGCTTAGATCTCAATGTAACTTCACTTCATTGTGTCCAAGAAGTTCTCTGATCTCTTCCCCTGTGGATTTAGCAACCCTCCATTTTAGAGGCATTTTCAGGAATCTTTTTGCAATGCATCATCTCTATGAAAGCTCAGCTTCCTGCTCCCCAGGCCGATTTAGCCTAACATCCCTGGGCTACACCACTCCGACAGACATGCTGTCAAATTAGTCACCATCTTTCACACAGCCCATCCCCAGCCCACCCTTCACATATACAAAACCTCTTCTACCTACAGATTGTGTTTCTGTAATAGGAATTAGCTCATGTGCTTTTTGTTAATCCTGGAATTATGACAGCATTATAATGTCGGTGTTCCTTTTACTCATACTCAATTTTCTCCCAAATTAATGTGTTATGCCATTGAGGAAGAGTTATTTGAGTACAAAATACACCAGTAGCTAAGCTCAGAAAACCACAGAGAAATGCACTAGCATATGTAATGCCTTTTTGCCCCATGGTTTTCCTTTTGGCTTAAAAGAAACACAAGACCATAGCTTTGTAGATCACATTTTGTACAAAGATGACAACTTCTCCACCTTTAGCCTGTTGTCACAATGTTAGCCCTTACTCCTGTTGGTGTCCTAGAGCCAGCCAGCTTGCACCAGTTTAGGAGAGGTGATTGTTAAATTTTCAGGAAAGTAGTGAGCAAAAATCACTCATAGTAGGAGTATTTACACCACAGAAATTGCCAAACAATACTAAACAAGGCATTTCTTCCTGCATACGATTTATTAGCCCACCATTGCTTTGTTCCCAAATTCAGCAAACTCATCTTTTTGGTATACTTCTTTTTGAGATGGAGTTTTGCTCTTGTTGCCCAGGCTAGAGTGCAATGGTGTGTTCTCAACTCATCGCAATCTCTGCCTCCCAGATTCAAGCGATTTTCCTGCCTCAGCCTCCCGAGTAGCTGGGATTGCAGGCATGTGCCACCATGCTTGGCTAATTTTGTATTTTTAGTAGAGACGGGGTTTCTCCATGTTAGTCAGGCTGGTCTCAAACTCCCGACCTCAGGTGATCCGCCTGCCTCGGCCTCCCAAACTGCTGGGATTACAGGTGTGAGCCACCACACCCAGCCAGTATACTTCTTTCTATTAAGCTACATTCACCTACCTTCAGGTAAAGCCCTACATTTACTATTAAACACGTTTAGTTATTAGGAGTTTGGGTAACTGTGCTAAAAGTATTACTATCATTGATGTTTTTATTAGTGTTCTTTTTTTCTCTTTTTAAGGGTTTTTATGGACAATTTGGTGGGCATTAGGGAATGGGTGCTGCTGATTGGTTGGCTTTATTAGTGTTTTGGAAACAAACCTGCATGGGTTTTTAGTTGTCTAAGCCCAACTCTATTTTTTTGTAAGCCCTGGTGTTTTTGTTGCATGATTTTGCAGAATTCAAGGTGTTTGTTGTTTTTTTTTTCCAGGAAAATAATATGTTGGGTTATTGCAGAACACATACTTTATTTTCTCTAAAATCCCATAAATGCTTGGTTCCAGAATTTCAAGCATCGTTTTTTTGTTTTTGTTTTTGTTTTTTTTTAGAGATGAGGAAGTTGAGGCCAAGAAAAGTGAAAGTATTTAGTTAAAAACACATAGTAAGTGACTGAGCTGCAAGTAAACCAGTCTCCCAGCTATTCATGCAGTAAAATGACTGAACTACAAATGGGAATGAGAACAGATTAAACTAATCTGGAGCCAGAGTTGTCAGAAAGTTCTCTAGGGAAATCCATGAGCATGTCCCCATTGGTTCAAGGATTTCTTATGCAGAGGGAGAGAAATAACGTGATTTCTCTCACATGAACTCAGGGGCCAACTTTGGATAGAACTGAAAGCTGTACCTGAGAAACAAAGAGAAATATTCCTTCCTCCTTCATTTTATACTATTTCCAGCACCAAAACCTTTTCTTCTCTCTGCCTGCCCCCTTCCACACAAACTGTCCAACTCCATTCTCATTTCCCCACTGAGGTGGATGCTGTGGTGCCCTGCCCTGGTCACTCCGTGTTGGACTGAGACACACAATCAACCAGCTGCAGAGAGTGTTGGTGGCTCAGGGCCCTCAGCTGACTCCATACCATGAATTGTTAAAGAGCCAAAGAGAGCCCTGTTGCCCAAGGTTATTCCACCTCTCAGTGAGTGGACCACATCCAATGACTGGAAAACATAGGTGTAAAGGTCCTGGACCCCTTGCACAAGGTACACAACTCTGAAGGGTCACCCCAGTTCCAGAGTTCATTGTGAGACTGCATTATATTTCAACTTTTCCTTCTGTCTATCCTCTTTCCTTAACTTCCTCAAGGTATTGATGCTGCGGGGCTCTCCAGTGGATGTCCTATAGTCTATTTCTCTGGAACCACCAAAGACAGGGATTCTTAAAAGTGTGGTCTGACCCTAAGATTCTTTCAGGGGATCCATGAGGTGAAGACTTTTTTTTTTTTTTTTTTTTGAGATGGAGTCTCACTCTGTCACCCAGGCTGGAGTGCAGTGGTACGATCTCAGCTCACTGCAACCTCTGCCTCCTGGGTTCAAGCTATTCTCCTGTCTCAGCTTCCCGAGTAGCCACCACTCCTGCCTAATTTTTATATTTTTAGTAGAGATGGAGTTTCACCATATTGGTCAAGCTGGTCTCAAACTCCTGACCTCAGGTGATCCACCCATCTCTGCCTCCCAAAGTGCTGAGATTACAGGTGTGAGCCACCGCACCTGGCCAAGACAATGTTTATAATGATACTAAAATGTTATTTGTGGCTGGGCATGGTGGCTCATGCCTGTAATCCCAACGCTTTGGGAGACCAAGGCAGGCAGATCACTTGATGCCAGAAGTTTGAGACCTGCCTGGGCAACATGGTGAAACCCTGATCTCTACAAAAAATACATAAAATTATCTGGGCATGGTGGTGAGTTCCTGTAGTCCCAGCTACTCAGGAGGCTGATGTGGGAGGATCACCTGAGCCTCGGAAGTCGAGGATGCAGTGAGCCATGATCACGCCTCTACACTCCAGCTTGGGTGACAGAGTGAGAACTCTGTTTCAAAAAAAAAAGAAGCGAGAGGATCACTTGAGCCCAGGAATTCAAGACCAGCCTGGACAACATAGTGAGACCCCCATCTCTATTTTTAAAAATAAATAAATAAATTTTTTTTAAGTTATTTGCCTCTTTTACTCACATACTCTCACATGTGTGCATTGGAGTTTTCCAGATGTTGAAGACATGATGACATCATCCCTCTGACACCTATTGGAATGTATGTCACAATGTGTATTATTGTGTTTAAAATGCTGTGTTTTAAGGGCCGGGCATGGTGGCTCACACCTGTAATCCCAGCACTCAGGGAGGCCGAGGCAAGCCGATCACTTGAGCCCAGGAGTCAGACCTGGCCAACATGGTGAAACCTTGTCTCTATGAAAAATAAAAAAATTAGCCAGACATGGTGGTGCATGCCTGTAATCCCAGCTACTAGGAAACTGAGGCAGGAGAATCACTTGAATTTGGGAGGCGGAGGTTGCAGTGAGCCGAGATTGTACCACTACACTCCAGCCAGGGCAACAGAGCGAGACTCTCATTTAAAAAAAAAAAAAAAACCTGTTTTATTTATTTATTTGAGACAGGGTCTCAATCATTCGCCTAGGCTGGAGAGTAGTGGTGCCATCTAGACTCACTGCAACCTTCACCTCCCAGGCTCAAGTGATGTTCCTGCCTCAGCCTCCCACGTAGCTGAAATTACAGGTGCATGCCACCACACATAGCTAATTTTTGTATTTTTTTGTAGAGACAAGGTCTCACTATGTTGCCCAGGCTTGTCTCGAACTCCTGAGCTCAAGCGATCCACCCACCTTGGCCTCCCAACGTGCTGGAGTTACAGATGTGCACCACCACACCCAGCCCAGTTTTAATTTTTAAATGCTAAGTGTTGATAGATATAACTCACATAAATAAAAACTCTCTGGGATTCTCAATTATTTTCAAGAGTATAAGAAGGTCATGAGACCAAAACATCTGAGAATTGCTGCTCTAAGATAACCAAATCTACCCTGGGAGGAAAAGGCTGAGGTTTTAAAGCACAAGTTATTTTCAAATTATATTTTTAGACATTAAACACGTGTGCATGCACGCACACACACACGTAGAGAAGTCAGTGAGAATGGTTAAGTGAGGACTTCTGAAAATCCCTCCCTCCATAAAAGCAGTAAACACTGGCAAAGATTGGCAGAAAAGGCCAGGTGCAGTGGGTCACGCCTGTAATCCCCTGCACTCTGGGAGGCCAAGGCGGGCGAATCAACTGAGGTTGGGATTTCGAGACCAGCCTGACCAACATGGAGAAACCCCATCTCTACTAAAAATACAAAATTAGCCAGGCATTGTGGTGCATGCCTGTAATCCCAGCCACTCAGGAGGCTGAGGCAGGAGAATCTCTTGAACCCAGGAGGCAGAAGTTGCAGTGAGCCAAGATCGTGCCCTTGCACTCTAGCCTGGGCAACAAGAGTGAAACTCCATCTCAAAAAAAAAAAAAATTGCCAGAATCAACTTTCTCAGAACTCTGTAAATTAACCTAAGGCTTGCAGCAATCAGAGTGAATTTTATTCAAGAAAAATGGCTGAACCTCAGTAAGAACAGTACGTTTTATAGGCATTTTAACATGTCCTATTACACTACCACCACCCCACCACAGCTCTGCAGTAGCCTAGAAACCACCCCACAATCACAGTGAAAAACAGCGCCTGACAGTCACTGGAGGGAATAGAAAGGGGTTGGGGCTCCTTCAAAACCCCATTCCTAGAGAATTGTCATTACTAGACATGCCTGGTTGTTCCTTGTGTAGGGGAGGGAAAAATCTGCTTCTCTTTACCCCTCTAGGTTATTTGGCTAGGCTATTAATTAAATTTATCTAAAACAGATTAATAGGAGAAAAACCATTTTAATTACATGCATATGTACAGGAGTCCCTCAAATCTCAAAATATGAGACTCAAAGAAGGGCCGGATGATTGAAGTTAATATAGCATCCTGAGCTACAGAAAGGAGGAAGTCAGGGCTTCTGGGAAACGATGGAGACAAATTATGGGATGGTGAGAGAAGAAAATGTATGGTGAGTAAAGGTTACCTTGTTACAGATAAAAGTTCCCCAAGTGGTAAAACTTGTCTCAAAGCAGTTCTCTTCCTGGTATAAATACCTCTACTAGTAAAAATTTCTTTTATAGATGTAAATTTTTCTTTACAAAAGGGGTGTTTTATAATTCATTTCAGACAGTTGAGGGGAAGGCAAGGAGATTTTTCTATGTTGGCTGGTCTTTAATTTCTTTTAGCTCAAAAAGATCAGTATGCCAGGGTGGCATATTTTGAGATGGCATATTCTGGTCTCCTGCACTCATATTTTTGGATGGTGTGTCCTGAAACTCAGCACCCAGAAGACGTCACTTGCAAGCTTTGTCCTTATTTGATCTGACGCAAAGCTCACCAAGTGTGAACAGGGTTTTCTCTGGGAGCATTTGTTGACAATAACCAGTGACAATTGTTTAACATCACAGCTGTCTGAGATGGTGGGTAATCATTGGAGCAAACAATAACTAAAAAGCTTAATAGGAAAGGCTGAGGAGTGAAATATATACAGAGGGCTTTGAAAATCTCTGACGTATTTCTTGGATTCTAGAAGTCCACACATATACATAGGGTTGTGCACATGCCCAGGGCTGTGTGTGTGCTCTGGAAAGACCTGAGAAGGCCCTAAGTTCTCACTCTAGCTGATCTTGAGGCTCTGTGTGGCCTCATCCTTCACAGGATGGGGACCCACTGCCACCACCACCAAATTCCTGGTCTCAGAGTCATGTAGAGAGGGCCTGGCCATCTTGACTACCACAGCACAGCACACTCTACCCCATGCCTGGTGGTAAATGAGCTCTTCCCTCTGGTCACATAAAAGGACCTCTTCCAGTTGCCCCATTGACACCCATTTTAGGCCCCAAACCCACCTCTCTTCCCGATTAAA
The DNA here is from genome assembly GCF_000001405.40 of Homo sapiens. Taxonomy (NCBI): domain Eukaryota; kingdom Metazoa; phylum Chordata; class Mammalia; order Primates; family Hominidae; genus Homo; species Homo sapiens. Next base: position 26,485,288 of record NC_000006.12, read on the forward strand.
CTGTTGCCTTAGTAGCTCATTAGCTTATAACCATAGGGCGAAGTCCCGTCTCAGGGAAACTATTGCTGCCACAGGGTTGTCAACCAAGGAGAAAAGTGTGAGAAAATGACATGTTGTAAACCACTTGCTTTAACATCAGGGTGGCACATTCAACCTAATGCTTGATTGACACTGTACGCTTGGACTTACAGTCCTCTCTCTATATATATGGGGGGGGGGTGGGGGGAGAGAGAGAGAGACAGAGAGAGAACTACGGGGCCTCCTAAGGAGAAGAGGAAACCACAAATGAAGGTCAGAGACAGAAGTGGATAGAAAGCTGGGAGAGGGAAACAGCTGTGAGCCTGATTAAATCCCACCATGACAGCTATGAGGCCCAGGAGTTGACAGCCCATTTCCACCCAACCTCAAAGATTTCCAGTCCACGCTGGAAATCTCCAGGCCTAGAACTGGGATGAAGGAATATTGTACTCTAAGTTTCCAGGAGAACAAACTCATGATAAGCTGACTTGGTTCAGGTGATCCTAGAATAACTAAGGCTGTAGGCATGGTTACCCATGACCTGAGTTTGAGCTTACTGGCAAGCAAGTAAGTAGTGAACCCGGGCTATCATTAGGTTCATCCTCAGTAGCTGGAGGGGACTAAAAGTGAGCCGGGCATCTAAAGTGATGGCTTCAAGGGTAGTGTTTTGGATTCAAACCAATTCAATAATGCATTTTTGTAATAATGACCTGGAAAAAAAATGTTTTAAAAAAATAAACTTATCAATGTTGGTCAAAACCATCATTAATGCAGTAGTCAGATCTGGAAATATTTAATAGGAAAGTATAAAAACCGGTCTTTTATGGCTGCAGCTCTAGAGGAGTTGTATGCTTTTTTCATTTATTTCTGGTATTGCTGATACTCTTTGAACAGTTTTGTTTAAAGAAAGGGTACAACACTAAGTTTCAGGAAGAGAGAAATTCAGCCGTGGTCTCGCTGGTTGTATTTTTAAAAAGTCATTTTATTAGACCATTTTCACATTGCTATAAAGAACTATTTGAGACTGGGTAATTTATAAATAAAAGAGATTTAATTGACTCACAGTTCTGCATGGCTGTGAGGCCTCGGGAAACTTACAGTTGTGGCAAAAGGTGAAGGAAAAGCAAGCACCTTCTTCACAAGGCAGCAGGAGAGAGAGAGGGAGGGGTGAGAGGGAAAGTGTCACACTTTTAAACCATCAGATCTCGTAAGAACTCATTCACTATCACGAGAACAGCATGGTGGAAACTGCCCCCATGATCCAATCACCTCCCGTCACGTCCCTTCTTCAACACATGGGGATTAAAATTAAAGATGAGATTTGAGTGGGGACACAGATCCAAACCATATCAGTCTTATCTTCATGGTGTCTCTGTTTCTTCATCTGTACAAAGAGAGTTAAACCTGAGGACTTTTTAAAATGAATTTGTGTGTGCATGTGTGTTTAAGTTATAGAATGTTTCTATTCACTCTTTTAGAGTTCTCATGACAACCCTGTGAGACAGTTTATTTATTTTATTTTATTTTATTTTTTTCTTTGAGACAGAGTCTCGTTCTTGCCCAGGCTTGAGTGCTGTGGTACAATCATGGTTCATTGCAGCCTCAACTTCCTGGGCTCAAGCAATCCTCCCACCTCAGCCTCCTGAGTAGTTGGGGTGGGAAGCGCATGCCACCGCACCTAGCTAATTTTTTATTTTTTTGTGGAAACAGGGTCTCACTATGTTGCCCAGGCTGAGATAGAGATTATTAAGTCCATATTGTGGTTGATAAAACTGAGGTCTGGAAAATTTAAGTCTTTTCGTTTCTGAATATTTCCAGATAAAATAAAAAAGAAACTGTTTTGTTTTTTCTTTTCTAAATCCTACTCATCTATATCAATTAGCTATTGTTGCTTAGTAAACCATTCAAAAACTCAGTGGCTTTAAAAAGCAAGCATATCTATTGCTTACATTTCTACAAGATGACTTGGGTTTGGCTAATCTAAGTTAAGTTCAGATAGGGTGCTCTACTTCTCACCTGCCAGTTTATGTGTCAACTGGAATACCTCTGCTCTATGAATCTACCAACCTCCTGGGACCAGTAAGCAAGCCAAGGTATCTACTTCTCATGCTGCCAGCAGAGACAGAAGAGGATGAGAAGTGACAGTCGTGAGGCTTTTAAGTCCTATGATTAGAACTGGCACACTATCATTCTCACCCACATGCTACTGGCCAAAAAAGTCATATGGGCAAGCCTAGAGTCAAGAGGTAGGACATATATTTCACCCATGAAGAAGCATTGCAAAGGTTTCAGGGATGGCCAATAAGTCCTTCAACCACAACCTATCTCTAGGCCATAATTATTCATGTCTCTCACACATACAAAAATATCAATACATTCAATCCCAATCACGGGACCTTCAAAAGTCTTACCCATCCTGTCATCATTCTTAAAGTCCAGCACCTCATGTTCTACCTGAGGCTTGATCCAGCTCCTCTTGATCTGGAGACCAATGAACAAAAAAAGGGTAAGTCCATCCACCATCAGCATAGATCCCTGCATTACACACACACACCCAATGTACAATGGTGGAATAGAGGCAGAATTACCACATTAACTTCCGTTTGAGAGAGAATTATTGGAGACCCATAGCTGTCACAGTTCCACAGCAATTATGAAATGAAATCCCACTGGGCAAATGTTGCCATTCTTCCTTACTTTGTGATAGAGTCTGTTCCTTGATTAGGCTGTGGTTCTGTTCACTGGGAGTGGCTCTGGTGTCCTTGTCCTCCACAGCTCTTGGTTCCACCCTTTGGGAGAGTCTTCATTTTCCATCCTCCTCAGCCCCTTCTGAAGAGAACTTTAGAGAATAAACCATTTTGGTCTGCTGAGTAACTTTCTCGGCCAGCTTCATGGCATTCAAAATTGGGAGTCCAAACAATCTCAGTCTCTTCTAATGTAGGCTGACTTTGTCAATACAGTTTTCTCAAGGCTTTGTGAGTTTTCTTTGTATTTGATTTGAGTTCACTCGCATGTCAAAAGCAACACCCAAATTATTTTAGAGAAATACCTCTTTCTCTAAATCTTATTTGGGGTACAGCAAGCTGTTATGGGTCCACACCCTTTAAGCTACCCAGAAACCCTCTTGTACATTACCTTATTCCTTTCAAGGGATTTGAAAAGTATTTTGGTCTACACTGGGCTGTAATAATAACAGTAATAATAATAATAAAGAAGTATGTTACAGCCACACCCATCATTTGATCTTAAGCCAGAAGCCATATCTTACATGGCAGTCCCTGAATTTCATCTTTGCTCCCAGAGTATGTCAACTGCTGGCTGGAGATCTACTGTCTCATCTACACTCATAGATGAAAAACAGTTTTATTTTTCAACCCAGAAGCTCAAAGTTCTTTATCTTCTAAATTCTACTTAAAAGCTTGCCTGGGCCGTGCCCAGTGGCTCACACCTATAATCCTAGTACCTTGGGAGGGCGAGGAGGGTGGATTGCTTGAGGCCAAGAGTTCAAGACCAGCCTGGGCAACATGGCAAAACCCTGTCTCTACTAAAAATACAAAAATTAGCCGGGTGTGGTGGTGCATCCCTGTAGTCCCGGCTACTAGGGAGGCTGAGGCACAAGAATCACTTGAGCCTGGGAGGCAGAGGTTGCAGTGAGCGAGATCGATATTGCACCAGTGCACTCCAGCCTGGGTGACAGGGCAAGACCCTGTCTCAAAAAAAACAAAACTTGCCCATTCTTTCCTGAGCCCACCTCTTTCCTGCAGTATCTTGTATGCAACTAAAAGCAATTAACTCACATATCCAACATTTTGCCTGGAAATTTCTTTGCCTAAATCCAAAAGTTCATTAGATGACATTTTATATCTCTCAAGTTCTACAGGCAACAGTTTGAATAAATATTTGGTAAATACATAACACAGGTCGCCATTTCTTCTAGCCTTCTCTGAGGGAAAAAAGCAGGTTTTCTCTCCCTCTACTCACACACTCAAACACAGAACACTTTTGTGATCAGACATATGGGGTTGGCCTCTGCTAACCACAAGGCAATTATCCAGTGGACACCAATTGGGTATCTTATAATTCTATTCTGACACCATCTACCTGGAGATAGTGACAGATCTCACAAGTTGGGGGCTGGGTCCAATAAGACTGCACCCACTTCAGATGCCATTCTAAAATCTGCGCCACCCATTCTTCTGACCCAACAGCTACAAACCAGGGTTTCCACGACCTCTTTTTAGCAGGGAGGTTCATTAATTTGCTAGGATGACTCAAAACTCAGAGAAATGCTTACTTACATTTACTTGTTTATTCACTTATTTTTATTTATTTATTTTTTTTTGCTAAACATCTCCTTGCAGACATTTACTGGGTTATTGTAAAGAATATTACAAAAGATAAGCTCCACAGCCAGATGAAGAGATGGACAGGACAAGGTATGTGTGTGGATGGGAGGGCGACACGGAGTGTCCATGCCCTTTCTGGGCATACCATTCTCTAAGCACCTCCATGTGCTAAACAATCTGGAAGCTCACAGAGAGCTGTAGTTGTATAGTTATTGTCAGGCCTCTGAGCCCAAGCTAAGCCATCATATCCCCTGTGACCTGCACGTATACATCCAGATGACCTGAAGCAACTGAAGATCCACAAAAGAAGTGAAACTAGCTTTAACTGATGACATTCTACCATTGTGATTTGTTGCTGCCCCACCCTAACTGATACGATATAGTTTCCCCGGCCCTTAAGAAGGTACTTTGTAATATTCTCCCCCACCCTTAAGAATGTACTTTGTACACCTATCCCAAACCTATAAGAACTAGTGATAACCCCACCACCCTTTGCTGACTCATTTTTCGGACTCAGCTCGCCTGCACCCAGGTGAAATAAATAGCCTTGTTGCTCACACAAAGCCTGTTTGGTGGTCTCTTCACAGTGACAGGTGTGACAGTTATATAGTTGTATAGTTTGTGTAGAGCTTTGTCTGCAAACCCCATACCATTTCCTGGAGGTTGGCCAGTGGTGCTAAAAGTTCTAACCCTCTACTCCTCTGATCACTTAGTCTTTCTGGTGATTGGCCCTGTCCTGAGGCTATCTAGGGGCCCTACCCTAACTTATCGAATTTAATAGCTCAGGTGTTATCTAATTGGCTCACTATGAATAACAAAAGACACTCCTAAGAATTTTCACTCAGGACATTTCAAGGGTTTTTTTCTCAGTACAAAGACCAAATATATTTCATATTATACCACACCTTCCATAACAGTTTCCAGCCATTTTCAGCTTCCTATTAAGATTTTTTTTAGCTCCCGCCTATCCAAAATCAATGCCACGTATTTTTGGTTTTCAATATTGTAACACCTCACTTTCAAGTATCAATTTCTGTATTGTGTAGCCATCGCTGAGTAAAAAATCACCCCAAACTCACTGACTTACAACAACTCTTATTATTGTTCATCTTTTGGGTCTCAGCTGAGTGTGGCTGATCTAGTCTGATGATGAGTTCTCATGCCTTCAGGGTCCCCCCTTCCAACACCTGCCTAAATTAAAAAAACAAAACAAAACCAACACCTTCATAGCAGTGACCACATGGCCAGAGTTAGCCACTTATTCCAGAGTTTTTAGAGATATGAAACTTGCTCCAAAAATCTCCACTTAAAGAAACTGAAGATTAAGAAACAAAACAAAACAAAAACAAAAAACACAGATTGGGTGCAGTGGCTCAGGCCTGTAATCACAGCACTTTAGGAGGCCAAGGCGGGAGGATCACTTGAACTCAGGAGTTCAAGACCAGCCTGGGCAACAGAGCGAGACCTTGTCTCTACTAAAAATTAAAAAAAACAGCCTGGCTAACATAGTGAAACCCTGTCTCTACAAAAATACAAATATCAGCTGGGAGTGGTGGCACGCGCCTATAGGCCCAGCTACTCCTGCGGCTGAGGCAGAAGAATTGCTTGAACCCAGGAGGCAGAGGTTGCAGTGAGCTGAGATAGCACCACTGTGTTGTAACCAAGCGAGTTATAGAGAAATGCCACACTTTGAGACTAATTCAGGAGTCCTTTATTGCCGGCAACTGAGAGATGGCTAGCGCTCAAAATTCTCTTGGCCCCCAAGAAAGGGCTAGATTTTCTTTTACACTTTGATTTATAAAGAGGAGGGGGAGCCTAGCTGAAGCAATCTTACAGAAGTAAAACAGACAAAAAAAGTTAAAAGACAAATGGTTATGGGAAAACAAACAGTTCCAGGTGCAGGGGCTTTAAATCCATCATAAGGTGATAGATGCAGGCCTTTTGGATACCATCAACCGGATACAAATGTGGGGGCTTAGGGTACTATCAACCGGGCGAATACCTGGGAACTGTGGATATAGCTTGCCACAGTATCTTATCAGTTAAATGCATTCTTTGATGTGCTGGGAGTTAGCTTGCACAAGTTAACTCCTTGAGGAAGGGGGTGGGTAAGGGGCTGCAGGTGAAGAAGCCAAAATGGAGTTTGTCTGGCTCTCTCAGCTAAGGGAGAGTCAATTCAGGTTAGAACAAGGTAGGGTATCACAACTGTACTTCAGCCTGGGTGACAGAGTGAGACTACATCTCAAAAAATAAAAAAAATAAAAACAGCCGAGTGTGGTGGCACACATCTCTAGTCCCAGCTACTCGGGAGGCTGAGGTGGGAGGATCATTTAAGCCCAGAGGTTGAAGCTGCAGTAACCAAGCCTGGACAACAAAGCAGGACACTGTCTCAATAAATAAATAAATAACCAATACCTGAAGGAAAGTAACATCTCAATAGTGCCTGTTTAAAAAGCAGAGAGGGGCTCCTCAGGAAGCTGACTTATTCCTGATTCTGTGTGACTCTTGAGAAGGTAGAGAAAGGGAAGACAGAAGAATCTCCAAAGACGAGACCCCTTGCCACTTCATGTCACATTTTCCCCATTCCTACTCACCTCCCCTTATTCTCACTTTCCTGATCCTCCTCATTTCCCATACTGTATTTATTAGCTTGGAGGGATTTAAACATCAACTCCAATGGTTTATTTTTTTTGTTTCTTTTTTTCACAAGCCCTTTCTCATAATATCTCTTGCTTATCTCCCTCCTTCTCTCTCTCAGAAAGATTCAAAACTTTTTTGAGATGATCAGGTTGGACTTGGAGCCACTGTTTCTTGCTGTAGGAGGGAAGAATGGATTGGAGGACAGATGCAGCAGTCACAGAAGGCCCTGAGTCGCCCCCGACTCCCACACCAATCGTGCAATTAGGGGGAAAATACTTCCTCAGAGTTTCTCATCAACTTTTCTGGGGTATTTTGTTTTAGCTCCCTTACTCTAAGAGTGATTCTCTGCTCAGTGACTGTAACATGCCTCAGACTTCCCATTTAGACAATAATTTTTCTTTCAGAAATGAAATGGGGGGAAAACAGAAACGATGAATTTACTTCCTGGTCCATTTCACCATACCAGGCTATTTGTCAGGAATGTTCCATCCTGGTGGGGATTTAAACCTTAAACATGTGCTTGGATTCACACACTTTATGATGATTTCCAATCAAAAGTCATCTAAATGTATACATCTGGAATCTAGAAAATGATTCTAGGTTTTTCAAAATGGAAGGGACAATAAAAGTTATAAAAGCCAAATATGGCTGTGCGCAATGGCTCAAGCCTGTAATCCCAACACTTTGGGAGGCCAATGTGGGCAGATCACCTGAGATCAGGAATTTGAGACCAGCCTGGCCAACATGGTGAAACCCCATCTCTACTAAAAATACAACAATTAGCCAGGTGTGGTGGCGGGCCCCTGTAATCCCACCTACTCAGGAGGCTGAGGCAAGAGAATCCCTTGATCCCAGGAGGCGGAGGTTGCAGTGAGCAGAGATCGAGCCACTGCACTCCAGCCTGCAGGACAGAGTAAGACTCTGTCTCCAAAAAAAAAAAGCCAAATACCTTTTAGACCTGAAAGAGAATGAGGGCTCTGATTGAGAAAGAAAAAAAGCAGGCCTGACAGCTATCAGCTGAGAACAGGTCAGGCACTCCCAGCTAGGCTGTGTGTTTCCTACTGAAAGTAAGAAACTTCACAGAGCACTAAATATCAAACAAGGCTATTCTGTGACTGTGACTGAGTGAGATAAAAACAAGACCACTTCATAATCATGCCAGAGCACAGACAAAATGACCATACATACCCCTCTCCTGGCTAACCAGAGTAACTGCTGCTTCTTTACCAACTACAACTTGAGCCTTCTCTGTTCTCCTACCTCCTAATAAAAAGCACTGGAATAGGGCCGGGCACGGTGGCTCACTCCCATAATCCCAGCACTTTGGGAGGCAGAGGCAGGAGGATAGCTTGAGCCCAGGAGTTCAAGACCAGCATAGTGAGACCCTATTTCTACCAAAAATACAAAAATTAGCTGGGTTTGATGGTACACACCTGTAATCCCAGTTACTGAGGAGGTTGAGGAGGGAGGATCGCTTGAGCCCGGGAGGTGGAGGTTTCAGTGACCTGAGATGGCACCACTGCACTCCATCCTGGGTGACAAAGTGACACCTTGTCTCAAAAACAAAAACACACAAAACATTGTCTAATGCTTCATGACATTCATCCAGATCAATCCATTGCTTTCTTGAACATCTCCCAAATCACCTACAACAAATTCCTCCCATACTTTCTCGTGGGTGATGTGCTCCACCTTCCAATTCCCCATGGTGTGTGGAATCTGCCCACAGTGTGTGGAATCCAGGCTGCTGTAACAAGTATCCATAAACCCACTTGGTTGGGCTCCAGGGGGCTCCAGCTGATGAGGTTCAGCACGGCCACAGGTCAGAGCCCACTATAATCCTCCCAGTGCCACTCTACCCACCCCAAACTTGGCCCTAAGACTTTTCGTTCCCAGGTACAGCAAAATTTCCTAGCATCTAAAGCCAAAAGGAACTTCCCACAGATTTCTAAGAACAAAAACTGAAACAAAAAGCAAGTTCATGATTTACTGATAATGTTTCAGTAATCAGGTATTCACAGAAGGGAACAGTTGTTTCATTGTGTGTTTCATGCACACATTCCATCTTCCTTCCGACATCTTTAACTCAAATGATAATTTTTTTTTTCATTTTCTAAATACACTCATCAAAGGGCTTGAAAAATTCTGAGTTTTTACCCCTATTGTTCCACAGACAACAAACCTTTTATAAACCCCTCCGTTACTGCAAAATGGAAAAGAGCACAATTGTGTCCAGGTCAGAGAGTCTTCACTTCTCCAGGATTCTGAGCTCCTTCCTCCCAAGGGCTCAAGGCCTCACGATATATGAAAATGAAGAATATTTGAGACCCTGTCTCTACCAAAAAAAGGAAAGTAGGGTGAAGTCAGGACAATAATGAATTCATAGGCTGCTCCTAAGATGTCTAAGTCTTGCATTTTCACATTTATCATAGCCTGTCCTCGCGCGGGAGAATGTACACCTGTTTTGGAAGGATCTACCCCACCAGGTAACAGTAAGAAAGACTAAGATGAACAGATATGGAAGATAGCTCAGAGGCTGCAATGGGATAAATTCTGGGCAGAACTCAAACAGTGGTCCACGCAACCTTGATCCCTTCCCTGAACTCTTTCTCTCTTACTCAATCCAACCTCAATTTATTGGCTCCCATAAGTTCCCTGTCTACCCCTCTTGTTCTAGGAACTCTCCATTTCAAAAGTACTTCCAAGAATATAATTCAGGGACGTCCACACTCTACCAGATCTCAGCCTTTTGCTTCCCCAGGGCAAACCCCTGCTAACCCCTCTTCCACACAGAAGTCCACCATCTTCATCTCCACACCATCTTCACTTCACTTCCCCTCCACCTTCACATATGCAAGCTGTTGTGCATAAATTACACAAATTATAATTATAACATTATACAAACTCTGTATGTATAATTTTAACACGGGCTTGGTAAATAGCGGAATTATGTCACTGTAATAATGTTGAAGCACCATTAGGTCATATCTGATTATTACTACCATATCAATAGTGTGTGCCCCCAAGAAAGAGCAGCTGACCACAAAGCTCACTAGTAAGCCACAGAAGAATACAGTATTGTACATGATGCCCATTCACCCCAGTCCTTTGTCTTGGCTCAGTATGGCCACATGTATAACAAGCCCAAGACCTTGAGCCACAACCATCCCTCAGAGGCATCTCCATAATTCATGCAAAGCTGGTAGCTGCCTCTTCACAGAAAGCTTCTGAATAAGGAGCAAGATAAAGAGCTATAGCTGGGTGGGTGCAGTGGCACGTGCCTGTATTCCTAGCTACTGGAGAGGCTGAAGTGGGAAGTCCCTTGAGCCCAGGAATTTTGAGTCCAGCCTGGGCAACATAGCAAGACCACCCCCCAACCCCACACCCTACACCGAACACCACCCCCACTCAAGAAAGAGAAAAAAAAAAAGAGCTGTAGGCAGTAGATCTTGCCCTGTGGACCTGTGGACCAGAGCAACTAGCAGTGAGAATCCTGGTCCTATTCCAGACCTACTAAATCAGAATCTCTTTTTCAGTAAGACCCAAGTGCTGCTCTGGGAAGAATGAAGAGAGGGGATTGATAAATTACCTGATATGCTTGACTATGGAAACTGTGCTTAGAGTCAATTAGAGGAGTGGGAAAAACCTGTGAGGGGAATAAAGAAAACTAAACAAAGGAACAAAAATGAATCATTTCACCCCCTCCCTACTCCTAAAAAAACAAGAGGTTGTACATGAAAATAAATGTAATCATATATGATACTTGGTCCCGTAAAACTATAGTTACATAGCCACAGTATTGGAAATATGGAACAGAATTTGTGATGTATTACTACTGGTGGTATAAGAGAGCTAAATCATAATTGATCATAATAGGGTATAGAAAAGTAATATCTAGAAATGGATATATAGAGAAATAGCAGCATAAATATGGTATTGTCTCTAGAAATATGCAGATAAGTACCAGATAAAACAACTGAGCACTTAAAGAAGCTGTTTCTGGGGATTCAGGAGTAATAGGTTGGAAGTGGGAAGTGGAACTGACATTTCTTAAAAGCACTTTGTCCCATTTGGTTTTTTTTTTAAATACATGTAATACATATAAAGAGCTTTTTTAAAAACTTTGACAGAATGATATTGTCTTGAGAAATATGTAGATAAGTACCACATAAAACAACTGAACCACATTTAAAAAGAAAAGACGTTGACTGGGCGTGGTGGCTCACACCTGTATTCCCAGCAGTTTGGGAGGTCAAGGCAGCCAGATCACTTGAGGTCAGGAATTCAAGACCAGCCTGGCCAACACGGTGAAACCCCATCTCTACTAAAAGTACAAAAATTAGCCAGGCATGGTGGTGCATGTCTATAATCCCAGCTACTTGGGAGGCTGAGGCACGAGAATCGCTTTAACCCAGGAGGTTGTAGTAAGCCGAGATTGTGCCACTGCACTCCAGCCTGGGCGACAGAGTAAGACTCCGTCTCAAAATAAATAAATAGACTCAAATGGTTGCCTCAGTGATGAAAGTCAAGTAAGATGAGAACGAGAGTAACCATTGAATTTGACATGAGGATAACACTGAGAAATTTGAACAGATTATAGTGAAAAGCAGGGAGGGGAAACAAATGCTGACATTTTATCATTAGGTTCCATATGAAGCATATCATATTCCTCAGCCCAAATGATTTCATGTCTAAGAAGAAGAAGTTTTTGTTTCTATCTCGCAGTGGGCCTGGGAAGAGCAGGAACTTCCTAAGAGCAGCACCACTTCACAAGGCCTCTCCCATTCAGGAACCATGACAGGCAGGGGCATCCTAGGGGCATCCTAGAGGTTCTGTTCTCTAAACCTTGGGAAATTTAGAGATCCTGTCTTTCATTGTGTAAGACTGATGACTTGGTTTCTGTCAAAAAGACCCAGATGCTATCCAATCAAAATAGTGTCTGTTATGCAATAGCTTGAGCTCCAAGTACTTTCTTCTTCTTTCCCCCAGACCCTTTCTTTTCAGTATGGCTCCGTTAGTTGCAAGTAAAAGCTCTTTTTCCCCCCTGAAAACAATGTCTTATGAGAATATGAAGCATGAGACAAAAGTATCATTGAAAGGGGCTGATAAGAGAAGTGAAATGAGGAAGGGGAAATAGATTATAGGTGATATGATCAGAAAGTTAAGCATGAAGAGGAAAATGGGACAGGAGCCTTTCAAACTAGGAAGGCTAAGGAACGATGGGTTTGAATGAAGCCACAAATTCTATTTCAGTCTATGTGCTGATGAGAAGACAGGGAGTAAGAACTAGGAAAGCTCAGTTTAAGAGGGGAAGACAAGCTTGGAAACAAAAGATGACAATAAACACATCTGCTTCTGAAACTAGGGCTCAGATCAGGTGTCTGCCATGAGAAAGGGACCAAGTGTCACAGGATACACCTGGCCCATCTTCCAGGAAAGCCTACTTCTCTTGGAGGGGACAAAGGCTAATCAGGAGAAGCCCTAGAAGTGAGGTTGCATCTGCTTGATGCAATGTCTGAAAGACATTGCAGAAGGTGCAGCCCTTACATGAGCTTTTGAGGGAAGAATAGGAGTTCATCATAAAGATAAGAGGGAACAGGCTAGTCGCGGTGGCTCACACCTATAATCCCAGCACTTTGGGAGACCGAGGCGGGTGTATCACTTGAGGTCAGGAGTTCAAAACCAGCCTGGCCAACATTGGGAAACCCCACCTCTACCAAAAATACCAACAAAGCCAGGCGTGGTGGGGCACGCCTGTAGTCCCAGCTACTTGGGAGGCTAAGGCAGGAGAAATGCTTGAACCTGGGAGTCAGAGGTTGCAGTGAGCTGAAATTGTGCCACTGCCCTCCAGCCTGGGTGACAAAGTGAGACTCCATCTCAAAAAAAAAAAAAAAAAAAAGTTAAGAAGAGACAGAATATTCTGGAAGGGGGAAGGCAAGCACTGCTATCTGGAGGCCTGAGAGGCATTGTGGGTTGAGGTAACCACACCCACTCCAAATTCAGCCTGTGGGTGGACAAGCAGGGAAGGAGAAGGGGAATGGAGAAAAAGCCCTCAGGAAAGAAGCAAGGAGACTGCCAGAGTATTTTCTTGACCAGATCAAGCTAGACCTACAGTATTTTCCTAACCAGATTAAGGTGCATAAACTTGATGCTGAAGTCACTAGGGAGATGTGGAAGGATTTTTAAGCAAAAAGTGATATGATCAGATTTGCATTTGGGAAAGATCATTCTCTTGGCAGTCTGGTGGGTGAAATGGAGCAACTGTCTTTTGTCTTAATCACAATTCCAACTCAAAGATAAATAACAAAACTGGGAAGAATGTTTGTTACAAATATAATACAGGATTGATATTTTTAAGTTATTAAAATTCACACAGATTGCTAAGAACTAGCACCAGGACCAGTCTTGAAAACAATGGGCAACTGGCCTGAACAGCTCATTTCTAGAATGTATTAAATGTCTAATTAACACATAAAAAACTCCAGCCTCGCTAACATATAAAGGCACAATAAATAATAATTTAATTAACTTGACCCATCCCAATAGTAAGGATGTGAAATAATAACTTCTCAGTGCTAGCAGGGATTAGGTGAGGGCACCTCCATTGAGGGTGTGATGGATTCAACATTTCAGGAAGGGACTGTAGAAATATGCTGATACTAGGTCGGGCATGGTGGCTCACACCTGTAATCCCAGCACTTTGGGAGACCAAGGCAAGCAGATCATTGAAGCTCAGGAGTTCGAGACCAGCCTGGCCAACATGGTGAAACCCTGTCTCCACTAAAATACAAAAATTAGTTGGGCATGGTGGCACGTGCCTGTAATCTCAGCTACTCAGGAGGCTGAGGCAAGAGGAAAATCCTTTGAACCCTGGAGGCGGAGGTTGCAGTGAGCCAAGATTACGCCACTGCACTCCAGCCTAGGCGACAGAGTGAGATTCCGTCTCAAAAAAAAAAAGAAAAGAAAAGAAATATGCTTATACCATTTGATCTGATGACTCTATTTCTGGAAATTTATTAAACAGTTTATCAGGACATTATCCAATTTGCAAATAAAGACTTATATATAAAGTGTATTATTTACAATAGGAAAAAAATCCCAAATGTCCCACAATCATGGCAATTATACAACTATTAACAATATTTTGAGTTACACAAAAAGTCTAATTGATTGCTTTTATGATATACATAAGCATAAAATAAATCTTGGAAGGACTATGCCAAAATGTGAATTGAGGCTATCATTAGTTAGTAGATTAAGTGTGACCTCCATTTTATAAAAATATTTTTCTGTATTTTTAAATTTTTTCATAACAATGAGAGGTAGGTTTAGTATAAATTAAGGAATTGTAGGCCTCATGATGAGTTGCTTCAAAAGAAATAATTGTCAGGGAGGCAACTTTTGGGCCCTGTAAACAGAATTCACAGCCTACCCTTAAGACTGGCCTTTAATGGAGTTGTTCCAACAGACACAGCACCTAAGGTGGACGGACGCTCCAATAACGAAGATGGCTATAGACAGAGGCTACTGCTACCTTGGCCTCTGGGCTTTCATTTTTCAACCCGCAGAAATAATAATAGAATAACAATTTATCCTCCGCTGAGTTCCTACTATGTGCTAAGCACTTTACCTGCTTAATCTCACTTAATCCTCCCAACACCTCTTCAAGAAAGGTATGATCAATATTATTACCATTTTAGAGATCAAAGAACTGAGGCTTGGAAAGAGGAAATAACTGGCTGAAGCCATCACATCTCATTTGTGTGTTTCCTTGCCTCTCTTCTCTTTTTCTCTTTTCTGCCTTTCATTTGGTCCAGCTCATCAATGCATATCTTGATTTCTGAGCTGAAGACCACAAATCCAGTTTTCCATCTCTCTGAAAAACTTTTCATCTCCCTTTTTTTTTTCCTCAGAGTGAATATACCAGGCCACCTGGAGGCAGGCTTTCCTGAGAGCACCTCCCGCTTCCTTTTCCTGCTGGCTTTTAACTTTTGCCCCGGGGGCCACAGCCAGCTTTCTCACTTGGTAGCAGTGGCCTCTTGTGCCTTTTTCTCCAAGATCACCCAGGTCAGTATGTGTGGTTACTCTCAGCTCCCTGAGGGAGTGAGCAGCCAGAGGGGCATAGCATACTTCTCTCCCTCCAGCTCCTTTCTCCTTGGTCCTAGGCCCTCTACTCTTCAAGCCCTTTTGCTTGCTTCAGCTCCTGCTTCTTGCTCCATCTCCTCCCATCTTTTCTCTCTTCTCCAATTCATTTCCTTGGACTCCATTTCTGCCTTTATACCCTTATCTTTATTATCATTGCCAAAAGCAAATACCAAATTCTTGTATTTGAAAAAAGACTTTGGCCAGGCACGGTGGCTCACGCCTGTAATCCCAGCACTTTGGGAGGCCAAGGCGGGTGGATCACGAGGTCAGGAGTTCGAGGCCAGCCTGGCCAACGTGGTGAAACTCCGTCTCTACTGAAAATACAAAAAATAGCGGGGCATGGTGGTGCGCGCCTGTAGTCCCAGCTACTCCGGAGGCTGAGGCAGAACAATCGCTTGAACCCAGGAGGCTGAGGTTGCATTGAGCCGAGATCATGCCACTGCACTCCAAGCTGGGCAACAGAGCAAGACTGTCTCAAAAATAAATAAATAAATAAATAAAAAGGAGACTTTTTTTTTAGTGCAGTGATTCCAAGATTTGTTCATCGATATGCAACCAACTAATGAGTGTTATGCCTCACAGTTCCCTTCTCCTAAGTTTTAGAGTTAGAGTAGTGGGTGGGAAGGTGATAACCACAGTGTAAACTAAAAATCCATACTGGGGATGGAGGCTGAGAGGAGGTTTCAGGGGCAAATGACCAGAACACTTGCAGCTGGAAAGAACTGTAGAGAGGACTTTGGAAAGCGGAGGGTTGACAGAGCCGGTAGTTGTCTCCTGTCCATTCATCTCCTAGGCTGAAGCTCCTGAGGGGACTCACATCAGTTATCTTGCTGCTCCAGAAGGGTGGGAGATGGCAGTTTTCCCAAGCTCCGGTCTCCCCAGATGTCTGCTCACCCTCATTCTCCTCCAGCTGCCCAAACTGGATTCAGGTAAGTCTCTCTCTCTCTCTGGGCTGCATAGTTGAAATATATCAATAAATGTAAAATAAACAATCCCACTTGGCTCTCCCTGGAGACCTCCACTGGATCCAGACAAACTCAGCTGTCAAAGGAGTAAGAGAGCGCGGGGCACTGCGCTTTGGCGGGAATCTGGTCGGTGTCTGTCCGTAGTTCCCATCTCCACATCCCGTCTGATCCCGCTCGTTTTTCGGCAGCTCCCTTTGACGTGATTGGACCCCCGGAGCCCATCCTGGCCGTTGTGGGTGAGGACGCCGAGCTGCCCTGTCGCCTGTCTCCGAACGCGAGCGCCGAGCACTTGGAGCTACGCTGGTTCCGAAAGAAGGTTTCGCCGGCCGTGCTGGTGCATAGGGACGGGCGCGAGCAGGAAGCCGAGCAGATGCCCGAGTACCGCGGGCGGGCGACGCTGGTCCAGGACGGCATCGCCAAGGGGCGCGTGGCCTTGAGGATCCGTGGCGTCAGAGTCTCTGACGACGGGGAGTACACGTGCTTTTTCAGGGAGGATGGAAGCTACGAAGAAGCCCTGGTGCATCTGAAGGTGGCTGGTGAGTAGACGGGTTTTGACTTTCTCCGACGACTCCCCTGCTGTATACACTTTCGTATGGATCAGTTACTTTGGAAACCATCAGATTCATTCTCAAAATCTCTTTTAGGTTGATGTCGCCGGGGAGGGACGACTATCTGGGCGGGAGGCGAGGGGGGGTAAAAGAATTTACCAAGACAGTTGTAAAGAAAGGCAGATTTACTTTTAAAAGTATGAAAATACTTTTCGAGGAGGCAAAAGGCAGGATCAGCAAAAGAGAAGCTGACTGCCAGGAAACAAAGGCTTGCTGGATAATTTATAGAATAGTTTTTATGCTGTCTGTTGAAGATGGCTTTGTGCAGTATCTATAAGGCAAAGGTTGCAGTGAGCTAACTTGCAGGTGTTTGGTGATAGTTGGACACAGGAAGGATGACTGTGAGTTATTTGCACAGGAGGGCTGTGTACTGGACCATGAAGAAAGGCAGACTTGCAGCTTATCTGCCTTATCTCTTTGTTTTCCCCTGATTAGGACTCCACAGCTAGAAGGTACTGAAGGTCCTACAGTAGGAAATCAGTGAGAAAGGGTTTTGAGTTGAACATGGAGAGAACAGTGCAATGTCTTTATTGTAGAACTTTATTTCAATTATCTCCAGCCCTTTTTCAATAATAGGGTAAGCATTTCTTCATGAAATAATTAAATACATATAAGAGTTATATAACATTCTTTTATACAAGTACACCATAATTTACTTCATCGAGTCCCTGAATTGTACATTTAAATTGTATTTCTCACCATTACACATCTTATGGCTGTGGTGAGCATACCACACACTTTAAGGCTGGCTTATGGATTAGTTTCTAAAGACTGACATCCTAAGATTAGAGAGCATGGCGGTTTGTCACATTCCTGATTCATATAGAAAAGATTCTGTTCTTGTTCCCTTTTTTGCTTCAAGCCAGAATTCAAAGGGAAACAATAAAGAAAATAATAAGCTTTGAGGAGGAAAGTACGCATTGAGGTCTGACTTTCTCAATTCCTAGTGAATGACATCAAGCAAATCTCTTTCTGATTTTTACTGTAAAACTGAGGATGTTTTTATCTAAGATTATTTTTCAAGAATAAAATAGTCTGGGACCAGTGGCCAACTCCTATAATCTCAGCGCTTTGGGAAGCAGAGGCAGGAGGATCTCTTGAGCCAAGAAATTCAAGGTTACAGTAAGCTGATGGTTGCCACTGCACTCCAGCCTGGACAATAGAGTGTGCTGTCAAAAAAAGAAAAAAAAAAAGTGGGATGTGGTGTCTCACGCCTGTAATCCCAGCATTTTGGGAGGCCAAGGCGGGTGACTCACTTTTGATCAGGATATTCAAGACCAGCCTGGCCAACATGGCAAAACCCCATCTCTACTAAAAATACAAAAAGAAATTAGCTGGGTCATACCTGTAATCCCAGCTACTCAAGGAAAATCGCTTGAACCTGGGAGGCAGAGGTTGCAGTGAGCTGAGACTGCACTACTGCACTCCAGCCTGGGCAACAGAGTGAGACTCGTCTCTAACAAAAAAAAAAAGAATAAAATAAAATTAGACAATATATGAGAAATGACCTCGCCAATTCTAAAAACATTATAGACTTATTAGATACTATACTGTGCCTTAAACTGATCTAAAACATATAATATACAAACATATTGCCTTTCACATATATATCATATATGTATATATTATCTAAATCTATATGCATATATTATATATATATATACATAGATATATATTCAAGTAAATATAAAGTTTGAAAAATACTTGGGTGAAATGTGGGTCCCTGCTTCACAACAGGGTCCCCCAGTTGCAGCATCATGTATAATTCAAATTTTGACATTTTGTTTTTAGGGAAGAAGTATCTTAAAGCTTGATTATAAAAACATAGAAATTTGATGGCATAAAATGTGTTACCTTTTATGAGTGGCAGACACCCTTGAGAATCTGCTGAAAGTGGCAGCTCCTTCCATGAAAAGAATATATATTCTTGTATATACACACATTCTTGGAATGTGGATTTTAACCAGTGGTTGTGGAAATGTGTTTAAGAGCTCTTTTATGCAGCTCAGTGTTTTTCTGTACCATGTGGAATTACAGAAAAAAATAGGCTAAACACACAAGAAAAGCAGCTTTATGTTTATATATAACAGGCCACAATTATGTGAGGGAATATGAAGTTGAGACCATTTAAGAAAATTTCTGAATCAACATCATAGATAAAGAAAGCTTAAATTGTCAACTATAATCTCAAGCCAAAGAATCGCCAATCCTCTCCTCAAGGATATTCCTCTGTTCATCCTTAAATACCCAGTCCTATTTCTCCTCCTCCCCACCAAAGTCTTCTCATAATGCTCTCAGCCTAGACCACTAACCCACCTCTGAGTTATTGGTCTTAGTGTTCCTGCTGGCTGGACAAGCACCCCCAAGTCTGCCCACCAAACTGCTGCAAACATTTCAAAGGCTTGATCCCAACAAGGCATCCTTCTCTGATAAGGTATATGAAATTCCTTTTATTGGTACTTCAATTTCCTTTAAAAAAAAAAAAAAACTTTTTTAGAAACAGCATTTCACTCTGTCACCCAGGCTGGAGTGCAGTGGTGCCATCACAGCTCACTGCAGCCTTGAACTCCTGAACTCAAGCAATCCTCCAACCTCAGCCTCCCAAGTAGCTAGGAATACAGGCAAGAACCACCATGCCCAAAGAGATGGGGTCTCATTGTGTTGCCCAGGCTGGTCTTGATCTCCTGGACTCAAGTAATCCTGCCTCAGCCTCCCAAAGTGCTGACATTACAGACATAAACCACTGTGCCTGGCCCTCAGTTTCCTTGTATATTGAAATATGGAGATGAGTTCTTCCCCCTACTAGTCCACTTGTGCCTTTCTGTCTCTCTCTTTCTCAAACTATGTAGCTCTCTGGTTATAAGGCTCCCAAAAGGGGTCCGCTAAAACATTAAGTCCAGATTCTCTCTCCATAGCTCTGGGCTCTGACCCTCACATCAGTATGCAAGTTCAAGAGAATGGAGAAATCTGTCTGGAGTGCACCTCAGTGGGATGGTACCCAGAGCCCCAGGTGCAGTGGAGAACTTCCAAGGGAGAGAAGTTTCCATCTACATCAGAGTCCAGGAATCCTGATGAAGAAGGTTTGTTCACTGTGGCTGCTTCAGTGATCATCAGAGACACTTCTGCGAAAAATGTGTCCTGCTACATCCAGAATCTCCTTCTTGGCCAGGAGAAGAAAGTAGAAATATCCATACCAGGTTAGTGGAACCAATGCTGCTGGATTCCTATGTTGACACAGCTTCAGAGCCACACCACCTGGGACACCTGCCCAGATGTGACCTCATGGCAGAGTTGTCTACTTTCCCCACCTAAGCTCTTTTCCAGTGACTTAAGGGAACCCCACCAACTTTATTAGAAGAGTTAAGATACTGAAGACATAAACCTACCTTGATCTCAAATAAATTTCAGATTATTTATCTATTTATTTTTTGAGACAGTGTCTCACTCTGTTGCCTAGACTGGAGTGCAGCAGCAGAATGATCTCAGCTCACTGCAAGCTCCGCTTCCCAGGTTCAAGCGATTCTCCTGCCTCAGCCTCCAGAATAGCTGGGACGACAAGTGCACACCACCGTGCCCAACTAATTTTGTGTATTTTTAGCGAAGGCAGGGTTTCACCATGTTCCCCAGGCTGGTCTTGAACTTCTGGCCTCAAGCAATCCACCTGCCTCGGCCTCCCAAAGTGCTGGGATTATAGGTGTGAGCCATCACACCCAGTGAAATTCCAGATTTTCCATTTCAGGAGATCTAAGTGAGATAGAGAAGCTTTGTCCCTGGAGGCCTTCCTGATCCAGAGCCTTCTCTCCTCAAGTAAACAAAAAGACTAAGTTGGCCGGGCGTGGTGGCTCACGCCTGTAATCCCAGCACTTTGTGAGGCCGAGACAGGCAGATCACAAGGTCAGGAGATCGAGACCATACTGGCCAACATGGTGAAACCCCGCCTCTACTAAAAATACAAAAAAATTAGCCAGGCATGGTGGCGGGTGCCTGTAGTCCCAGCTACTTGGGAGGCTGAAGCAGGAGAATGGTGTGAACCCGGGAGGCAGAGCTTGCAGTGAGCTGAGATTGCGCCACTGAACTCCACTCCAGCCTGGGTGACAGAGCGAGACTGCATCTCAAAAAAAAAAAAAAAGACTAAGTTATTTTTCTACTTTTGCCATTTCCACCCATACTCACTTCTCCTTCCTATCCCATGCTAGGGCTCTGTCTAGGTTTCCAGGGTCCTCAGGGAAGAAAATCCTCTCATTATTCCCCAGATACTGTCTCTGGTTCAGGCAGAAACCTTTCCTTATTCTTTGGTCAATGAGTCCCATTCTGTTACATACAGAGGCACACTTCCCCTTCCTTATTTACCTCCTTCATCCTCTTGGCTCCCATTCTGCACTGATAGTTAAGGAAGAATTTCCATAATGACATGAATTGGTCCATTATATTTATTATTTCACAGGTCCTGTCCCAAAATTACTCGTCATTTCTCTCTTTCTCTGCTGACTCCTGCTTGAAGTCAATTTTTTTCTGAAAAGTTTAGAGTGGCATTGGAGTGACTATTTTTTTGCTATATGAGGGATGAGAGTGGTCCAGGCCATCACCTCTTCTACCCTCCTTTGGAATGTGGAGAAAAGCTGGACTTGCTCAGAATTTCTCAACTAATGTCCTTCTTGGGGATTTTGTTTTAGCTTCCTCCCTCCCAAGGCTGACTCCCTGGATAGTGGCTGTGGCTGTCATCCTGATGGTTCTAGGACTTCTCACCATTGGGTCCATATTTTTCACTTGGAGACTATACAACGAAAGACCCAGAGAGAGGAGGAATGAATTCAGCTCTAAAGGTAAACCATAGAATCCACAAGGGCTACGTGTCAGGAGTGCTTCAGAGGCAGGCTGGATCCAAGTCCTTTAGAATGACTTATTTTAGGATGACAGGAAGATATTTGAGGCTGGGCATGGTGGCTCACGCCTGTAATCCCAGCGGTTTGGGAAGCCGAGGTAGGTGGATCATCTGAGGTCAGGAGTTCGAGATCAGCCCGGCCAACATGGCAAAACTCCATCTCGACTAAAAATACAAAAATTAGCCAGGCTTATTGGTGAGTGCCTGTAATCCCAGCTACTCGGGAGGCTGAGGCAGGAGAATTGCTTGAACCCAGGAGGTGGAGGTTGCAGTAAGCCGAGATCGTGCCATTGCACTCTAGCCTGAGCGACAGAATAAGACTCCGTCTCAAAAAAAGTAGAAGATACTTGATTCTAGAATTCTGAAAATTGGAGGAAATCATAAGGGTCCTGAAGTCACAGATGCCAATATGAAGAAGCACAGAGGATTGGGGCATAGGCAGAGTCTAATCAAGATATCAGGGCTGATGTTTACTCACTACCCACCCTCAGACCCTACTCCCACTTTTAACTCAATTGCCCAGTACCAATCTTATTATTAAAGATCTGAGGC
This sequence comes from Homo sapiens, assembly GCF_000001405.40. Lineage (NCBI taxonomy): Eukaryota > Metazoa > Chordata > Mammalia > Primates > Hominidae > Homo > Homo sapiens. Next base: position 26,507,444 of record NC_000006.12, read on the forward strand.
CGGGCGCAGTGGCTCATGCCCGTAGTAATCTTAGCACTTTGGGAGGCCGAGATGGGTGGAACACATGAGGCCAGGAGTTCAAGACCAGACTGGACAACATGGTGAAACCCCGTCTCTAATGAAAATACAAAATTTAGCCAGGGTCGTGGCCCACACCTGTAGTCCCATCTACTCGGGAGGCTGAGGCGGGAGAATGGCTTGAACCTGGGAGATGGAGGTTACAGTGAGCAGAGATTGCACCACTGCACTCCAGACTGGGCAACAGAATGAGATTCTATAAAAAAAAAATCTGATCCCAAGCCAGTTCCAATATGTAGGAACTTCCTGCATCTTTCTTCGAAAACAAAGCAAAACAAAATCCTTGTTCTTGATTTATTGGCAATGCTTCAATATTCAAATAGTCATGAATTAAACAGTTCCTCCTTTGTGTGTTTCCCACACGAGTTTTGTCCCCTCCTTTACGTCCACTATAGAAAGCCATTGAGGTATTTTTGTTTGTTTTCCAGAGAGACTCCTGGAAGAACTCAGTAAGTTCTGTCTTCTTGTTATTTCACCCACAGAGTTTTCTCTCTCTTATTATATAACCTGTCAATGACTATCTTTCTCTTTTGTTGCAGAATGGAAAAAGGCTACCTTGCATGCAGGTCAGTGGCTCTGAACTTCTCTAGGGCTCTGAGGCTCTATCCCCTAGGAATTCAAAGTGCTATGATACTTGGAAATGAAAACACTAACACTTTAGTGATGAGGACAGGAAGGGAAACGGTGATGACAGATGGCCTCAACAGTTTCTGTGAGGCACATAGAGAACCCTTGGAAGATGGCACTTCCGACAGAGTCCCATTAGGCCCTAGGCACAGTTAGCTCTTACATCACCCTCTGGCTGCTGGTAAGGGGGGATCCTGTGGTGAATGGAGACCCCTGAGCAGGCCAAACATCCCCCCACCTCCAGAAGACCTGTCAACTCCTACAACAGTGTTCTGTTTCTTAGGAGAAGGAAAGACAGTCCTGCAACCTGTAATATTCACTGATGTCAGACCTGCTGTTTCTTTCTCTCCAGTTGATGTGACTCTGGACCCAGACACAGCTCATCCCCACCTCTTTCTTTATGAGGATTCAAAATCTGTTCGACTGGAAGATTCACGTCAGAAACTGCCTGAGAAAACAGAGAGATTTGACTCCTGGCCCTGTGTGTTGGGCCGTGAGACCTTCACCTCAGGAAGGCATTACTGGGAGGTGGAGGTGGGAGACAGGACTGACTGGGCAATCGGCGTGTGTAGGGAGAATGTGATGAAGAAAGGATTTGACCCCATGACTCCTGAGAATGGGTTCTGGGCTGTAGAGTTGTATGGAAATGGGTACTGGGCCCTCACTCCTCTCCGGACCCCTCTCCCATTGGCAGGGCCCCCACGCCGGGTTGGGATTTTCCTAGACTATGAATCAGGAGACATCTCCTTCTACAACATGAATGATGGATCTGATATCTATACTTTCTCCAATGTCACTTTCTCTGGCCCCCTCCGGCCCTTCTTTTGCCTATGGTCTAGCGGTAAAAAGCCCCTGACCATCTGCCCAATTGCTGATGGGCCTGAGAGGGTCACAGTCATTGCTAATGCCCAGGACCTTTCTAAGGAGATCCCATTGTCCCCCATGGGGGAGGACTCTGCCCCTAGGGATGCAGACACTCTCCATTCTAAGCTAATCCCTACCCAACCCAGCCAAGGGGCACCTTAAGGAATATCTCAGCTCATCTGTTTTCCTTTCCTCTAACCCCTCTCCTCCATAGCCTTCTGAGGCTTCACCTGCTAGCTTTACCCAGTCTGTTTCTTCCTGTTGGGTGGCAATTAATTAATCCTGTGAAGGTTACATTGCTGCTGCTAGAGAGGGTGGGGATTGCACCTTCCAAATCTGTTTCTGTACCAATATTTGGGGGATGGAGGGGTGACTCAAACTGCTTCTAGTGTTCTCCTAATCCCTTAAGACTAGAACCTATAGGAAACTACTTGGAGCAAACTCAAAGGACAGATTAGGGATCGAGATTGGGTCAGGTTAGCATGGGGTTGTGGTTGAAATATCTTGGTATCCAGGATAAGGGTATGTGGAAAAACAGGCTTTAGGCAAGTGGAAAATTCAAAATGTGCTGTGAAAGGACAATCTCAGGCTGAAATCCCATAAAGGAACTTGGAGGGAATATTATGATGGAGGGAAGTGAGGTGAATCCAGGCACATGATGAACACCTGGCTCATCCATAGAGTTTTCACAGCCTATATCGCAAATTTTCTAAGCCACGTCCTATAGGACAGAGGAGACTGGCCCCACTTCTATGGGTCTGAGCTGTGGAAAAGGGAGAGCAGAGAGGAACTGAGATGAGCAGGGATGAAGGGTCAGGCAGAAAGCGTGATAGAGGAGAGAATTTTTGACAAAACTCAAAAGTTGTTTGCACAGCTGTTCTTTGTACCCTGTTCCTTTCTCTGCGCCCTCCTGTTTCTCCCTTGCCTGGAAGTCATTCCACCCTCAATTTGTTGATCCACAAGTTTCCAGTTGTCCTCTTCTTTTTGTTATAGCATCTCTCTATTTCAAAGACATTCCTAGAAGTCATCCTTCAGTGATATCACCACTTGCTCAGTCACCATCTCAACCTTATGTCACCTCAGCCCTCATCTCAATGCCCAAACCCCTTACACACACCTTCAGTTAGCTTCAACTGCCTCCGTTTCCACACTGTGCACCTTTCACTTTCCCTACCCAGCTTTCCTACATGCTGCCTCTCCTCAGGGTCCCCTGAATGCTGCATCATTGTGTTCAGTGCAGCTGGACTGATTGCACCTGTGTATTTGCCCCTGAGCACTTTCCTTTACACATGTGGCTTGTCTTGCCAATAGACTCCAGGCTTATACCTTCCATTTCCATCGTATTCTCCAGTTTCCAGGATAGACGTTGCTCATCGTCTTTACCTAATAAATAAGTTTGTCTGATTGCTGAAAGCAACCTCTTAACCTTTCTTTTTTAATATCAACTGAAACAAAATAAAACATAGGGCAAGAAACCTGCATGGGAATGCAGCTGTCTAAAGCTTTGCCATTGTATGTGGTCTAAGACCCATCCCTAGGCCTGATGGCAGTGGGCTCACCAGGGCAGGTGCACATGGGGGCTGATGCCTCATGAGGGAACAACTGCTTACCAGGGTCTTCAAGCAGGAATACAGAATCTCAACTCAGGAACAATTTTTTATTAGTCCATCCTCATATTTCTGTAAAGAAATACCTGAGACTGGGTAATTTATAAAGATAAGAAGTTTAGGCCGGGCACGGTGGCTCATGCCTGTAATCCCAGCACTTTGGAAGGCCGAGGCGGGTGGATCACGAGGTCAGGAGTTTGAAACCAGCCTGACAAACATGGTGAAACCCCGTCTCTACTAAAAACACAAAAATTAGCCGGGTGTGGTGGCAGGCACCCGTAATCCCAGCTGCTCAGAAGGCTGAGGCAGGAGAATCACTTGAACCCGGGAGGCAGAGGTTGCAGTGAGCTGAGATCGCGCCACTGCACTCCAGCCTGGGTGACAGAGCAAGACTCCATTTAAAAAAAAAAAAAAAAAAAAGATAAGAAGTTTAATTGGCTCATAGTTATGTAGGCATGACAGCTTCTGCTCAGCTTCTGGGGAGGCCTCAGAAAATTTACAATCATGGCAGAAGGCGAAGGGGAAGCAGGCACATCTTACATGGCCATGGCAGAAGGAAGACAGCAGCAGGGACGGGGGAGGAGAGAGGGGGGAGCGGGGGATGTGCTACACACTCTTAAACAATCAGATGTCATAATTAGTCACTCATTCACTATCACAAAAATAGCATTGGCCGGGCATGGTGGCTCACGCCTGTAATCCCAGCACTTTAGAAGGCCGAGGCAGGCAGATCACCTGAGGTCAGGAGTTCAAGACCAGCCTAACATGGTGAAACCCCGTCTCTACTAAAAATACCAAAAAAATTAGCCGGGCTTGGTGGCACATGCCTGTAGTCCCAGCTACTTGGGAGGCTGAGGCAGGAGAATCGGTTGAACCTGGGAGGCAGAGGTTGCAGTGAGCCGAGATCATGCCACTCACTTCACTCCAGCCTAGGCGACAGAGAGAGACTCTGTCTCCCAAAAAAATAGCACTGAGGGGATGGTGCTAAACCACTCATGAGAAACCGCCCCCATGATCTAATTACCTCCCAACAGGCTGCACCTCCAACATTAGGGATTACAATTGAACATGGGATTTGGGTGGGGACTCAGATCCAAACTATATCAAATAATATCCAAAGATCACCCACCCCATTTTTTTTCTTTTAATTACAAGGCCTTAACATTAAAGATTTCCCAAATATTTCCTCCTCTTGCAAAAGTACTGTTAAAGAGTTGGCTTCACTTACCTATACCATTGACCAGGTTACCTTTACAGTAGTAGAAATGAAGTTCACCACCCAAACAGGGGCAGAGGGTAGGTAGCCATTGGCACTCTGGCCTTTTGGATAGCTGAACACACGGAGGTTTCTGGAGGGCAGTGTGTGCACAGAGAAAGCTTCGGAGCTGCATGCCCCTTCCCACACATCTTGCCCTGTACATATTTTCCATCTGTCTTTTCATCTGTATACTTTGTAATATCCTTTATAATAAATCAGTAAACATGTATTTGCAGGATAGGTTGGATAAAATCAAGAGTAAAGTCTATTGAAGGAAGGAGGAGGCTTAGTAGCATCAGTCCCCGGATTTAAAAGGGATGTTTGAACGAAACTGGGATTCCGAGAAGAGGAAAGAGAAGACTAAAAAAAGGAGCTAAAAGAAATTGCTCGATCTATTTATAATACATTATGATGTATTATGAAAGTAAATACCACTCTAATACTTTCAGAATACATTATAATCCTCCCTGCACTTACTTGCTTAAATCCAGCATCTATTTCTGCAATATTAAAATCCTCCAAAGCATTCTATTTCTTTTAGGGGCAAGTAGGCAGTGGAGAAGCTGTGAGCCTGCATTGCATTCTAGTGTGGGCCACAGAGAAGAGGACTCTCAAGTTGAAGAATGGATGGTATCAGCCAGAAAGAGGAAAATGGGCTTGTTTCTGGAGCTGAGGGGAGAGAAAAGGGGGTCAAATGGGAATTCGCTTGGGGTTATACATTACATTCAAGTGTGTATTTAGATACAAGCCTTTACCTCAACACCTTCCTTACCCCCATTCTGAATAGATCTCATGCCAAAGTAAAAATAAAACCAATTCATAATCATTCTATTAAAAATAATAAATATTTAAGAACCTCAGGCAGTTGCTTTACTGATTTAATGTGGAATGTATATCTTAAAATGTATCTCTAAACCTCACCCAGAATAGATGGACTGCCACAGAAATCCCCCTCTGAGAGTAGGGAAAAAGAACAGTCACAGATTATAATCAGCTCTATGACTCCTCTTTCCTTTTTCCCCATGACCTTCCAGGAAAATGGTCACTGGGCACAGTAGTGAGCTTGTGGTAGATTCTTAGGAGATACAATGTCCTTCCTTTTTCCCTCCAGCTCCAGCCCCACACACCCCTTAGAAAGAATTTATGTGGGCCAGGCGCGGTGGCTCATGCCTATAATCCCAGCACTTTGGGGAGGCCAAGGCGGGCAGATTGCTTGAGGCCAGGAGTTCTGAGACCAGCCTGGTCAACATGGCAAAACCCTGTCTATACTAAAAATATAAAAATTAGCCAGGCGTGGTGGCACACGTCTGTAGTCCCATCTATTCGGGAGGCTGAGGTTGGGGGATGGCTTGAGCCTGGGAGGTAGAGGTCGCAGTGAGCCAACATCATGCCACTGCACTCCAGCCTGGGCGACAGAACCAGACACTGCCTCAAAAATAAATAAATAAATAAATAAATAAATAAATAAAATAATTTATGTGATAGAGCTAAGAACCTGCCTTTGGCTCCCTGTCCTGGTGGCACCAGCTATAAGAATTGTGCCCCAGAGATAAGGAAATTATCAGTCTCAGTATGTCTGGCCTTATTTCCAAATCTCCTAAAAGACAAGAAATGTTGCATTGCCAATGCTTTACCAAAGCCTGTCTGAGTTACCCAGGCAAAGTAGGTGACACTATGAGTTCAAAAGCACTGAAACTAACTGAAGTATTTGTTAATGTCTGTTTTTATTTTTAATCTAGAAACAAATACCTTTCCACCCTACAACTAAAAATCATACTAAAAATGCACTTACCCCTAAAATAATAATAGCTGACTTCATTTCACACTGCCAAATGCCAGCTCTGGTAGTCACATGTTTCTGGGAGCCTGCCTCTATTTAACAGAGACTATGAGGTAACTAAGCCCAGACATTCAGATTGTGAGAAAAATAACTGAACAACTTCCCTCTTCCCTAATCAATAGCAGCTCTTCCATGCCATTCCTCCACACATCTTGAGTCATGTCTCTTCTGCCTCCAGACAGCACTCATATTTCCTCAAATCCCCCTCTTGCAATAGTCCCTGACAGCCCACTCCCAAATACATACACATTTACTCTTGCGCTCATTGTATTATTTTAAAATGGAAATAACTTATTTTCCTAAAAATACATGAAAGTATATTTTACAAAGTAAAAATGGTCCCAAATCTCATCACTCAAATATGACCAATGCCAATATTTGGGTTTATCCTTTCATTTAAAATACATATATATATATGTATGCACACACACACACACATATATATACACACACATATATAATATATGTGCACATATATATATTATATATATATATAAAATATATATATGTGGTGCCAACAGCTTCCAAGAAAAGGTCAGATGAGCAACAATCATCCATCATAGAAGACTGGCTGACCATGGAGGAGAGCACTGCATAGGGATTCCATGCATACTTTAAAGCATTGCTACTCATGCTGATTCTGGACTGTCTTGTTAGAACCACAGAACTTTAGATCCCACTGAGAACTCCTGAATCAGAAACTGCATTTAACAACATGGTGATTCATGTGCACTTTAATGTTTGAGAACAGACTAGATGTATGCTTCAAAATATTACGCATCTACTTGGGATTAAAGATCTTAGTTGAAGTAACAAGAGTCTTTCCAGAGGAATATCTCGCTGGGTGCGGTGGCTCATGCCTGTAATCCCAGCACTTTGGGAGGCTGAGACGGTGGATCACCTCAGGTCAGGAGTTTGAGACCAGCCTGGCCAACATGGCAAAACCCCGTCTCTACTAAAAATACAAAAATTAGCCGAGTGTGGTGGCCCACGCCTGTGGCGCCAGCTACTCGGGAGGCTGAGGTAGGAGAATTGCTTGAACCCGGGAGGCAGCGGTAGCAGTAGCCAAGATTGCACCATTGCACTCCAGCCTGGGTGACAGAGCGAGACTCCATCTCAAGAAAAAAAAAAGAAAGAACAAGAAATATCTCCAAATTTTGATCATCGTGCAAAATGCATTTACGTAGCAACTGAATATGCATACTCATAGTATTAACAGTAACAAAGTACTTATTATGCGTCAGGTCCTGTATTTTGTGTGCTGTAATTCCTGCCATTTTTCAGACCCCTAGGAGGTAGGTAGGCATCAGTGCAGTCTCCATTTTACAAATAAAGACTCTGAAGAGCAGAGAGATAAAATGGCTTCTATCACCCGCTAGAGAGTAAGCAGAGATGAGATTTGACTCCAGGCCATCTGACTCCACGGTCCATGCTGTTGGTTAGGTACAAAGTACATTGTCCAGAAAATGACTTTCAAACATTCCTATAAGCTGAGCAAATCTTGTGTTAGTTTACAAAGCAGTATACAACTTAGAACAAGTAGGAGGTAAGAAAGTTAACATAACATCAAGCTACTGCCACAGAAAGACCTTGTACTGGACTGTACAAGAATTTGGCCTCATGTTCTTCCAAGAGAGAGAGGTGAAGGCAGCCACCAGTTCCATTCAAACAGCAAAATAGCAGTGGAAGATAATCAAGTGCCAGGACAGTGGCTTTGGATTGTAATAACCACAGTGAGACACTGTTACATTGTTGCAGTTGTTGAATTGTAGTTCTGGCTGACTAGTTTATTGTTGTTTAAAGCCTTTTAATCCTTTCAAGAGCCTGCTGAAGACTTAATTTTTCTCTCCGTCTGCAGCATTAACTCTCACCTATCGGCTCACTACTCCTGAATCGATGACTCTGGCCCCAACATGGTTTCCAGAATGGCCTTACTTATTCTACTCCTGAACATCTTCTCTGTGACAAATAATAGGTACCTCAAATTTAAGGGGACCAAAGTACAACTCTAGATTCCCTCTGACCAATTTACACCTTACTTAATCTTTTCCACTCCATTAATGACTCTGTGATCCATTTTCTCGAGCCAAAAATATAGGCATAAGCACTAATTCCTCTTTTTATCTCATTTTCCACCTCCAAACGCCTAGTAAGTCCTGTCAGCTCTGCCTTCAAAACATATCCTGGACATGAGCACTTCTTTCCTTCTTTACCACTAGCTCCCTAAGCCATCATCACTTCTTACCTGGATTTTTTATATAGCACCTGCTTCTACCCTTGCCTCTATGGTCAGCTACCCACAAAGACCAGAGTATTGTTTTGCTTGGTTTGGTTTGGTTTGGTTTGGTTTCGTCTGGTCTGGTCTGGTTTGGTTTGGTTTGGTTTGGTTTTGAAATAGAGTCTCACAGCCAGGCGTGGTGGCTTACACCTGAAATCCCAGCACTTTGGGAGGCCAAGGCAGGTGGATCATGAGGTCAAGAGATTGAGACCATCCTGCCCAATATGGTGAAACCACATCTCTACAAAAAATACAAAAATTAGCTGGGCATGGTGGTGTGCGCCTGTAGTCCCAGCTACTCTGAAGGCTGAGGCAGGAGAATCGCTTGAACCAGGGAGGCAGAGGTTGGAGTGAGCCGAGATCATGCCACTGCACTCCAGCCTGGCGACAGAGCAAGAGTCCGTCTCAAAAAAAAAAAAAAAAAAAGAATGAAAAAGAAAAAGAAAGAAAGAAATAGAGTCTCACTCTGTCGCCCAGGCTGGCTAATTTTTTTTTTTTTTTTTTTTTTAGAGACAGGATCTCCCTATGTTGCCCAGGATGGTCTCGAACTCCTGAGCTCAAGCGATCTGCCCTCCTCAGCCTTCCAAAGTGCTGGGATTACAGGCATGAGCCACTGTGCCCCGCCCAGAGTATTGTTTTCAAAGACAAATCAGATTATGTTATCAAAATTCTCCAATGGCTTCCCAATGCAGCCTCAGGATTAAACTCAGGCCCTACTAACACCATCTGGTCCTTGGCTATCTTTGCAATTTCATCTCTTTCGTTCCCTTATTCCTCCTCTTCAGACACAGAAGCCTTTTGTTCCTCCTTCATTCTCTCCCCAAGTTCTTTGCCCTTGCCGTGCCCTCTGTGTGTCCCCTGGATATGTTTGTCTCGCCCCCCATTTCATTCAGGTTTCTGGTCAAATGATGTCTCTAACCACCCTCTGTAAAAAAGCACCCCCCCCCCCCCCACACACACACACACACTTTTCTACTTTCTGACTCATCACCCTGCACTACTTTTCTTTTGGGAAAACTCCTGCACAATTACTATTTTTCTTGAAAGTACTTATTAATACTTGAAACTATAAGCATATTTGTTTTTTTAATAGTCTTTCTTCATCACAGAGGCAAGAATCCACAAAAGCAGAGATTTCCTTTGTTTGTAAATAAAGTACCTGGCACATATTAGTTGCTCAATAAATATCAACCGACAGATTAAGTTATGAGTGTGCGCAAAGTTCAAGGAAGTTTGAAACTGACCTGGAGGTCAGGGAAAGTATGGTTAAACTACATGAAAGAGATGGCTGCTGGCTGTTTTTCAAACACACGTGTGGACAGACCAAACCCTACCTCCCAAGTAGGCTTTTATTGACTCAGCCTCTTTGGGAGTCAGAAAGTAATGTATTTTAATGTTGGACATACTTAAACTAAAAAGTCATTCATTGTTTAGCTGAAATTCTAATTTAACTATGCATCCTGTATTTCATCTTATTTGAGAGCCCTGAGCCCTTATACCCTCTGGCTGAGTAAACCCCACGCTTCATCAGAAAACAGCTTACCTCAAGAAATTTGTATGAACACCCACTCTCTATCCTCTTCTTATCTTTCACCTGATTTTCAATTTTGTGTCTTACAACTTAGTTTTTCAATTCTTAATTTTGTTTCTTCTCACTATTCTTTAAGATTACTGTGGTAGATGGTTGTACAAATACACCCAATAAACCTTTCCTCCCTGGGCCCCACTCTTGCAGTACCCTCTCCCTACACTGCCTTTAGTTTGGGCCCTGTGACTTGCTTTGGCCAATGTGAGGCAAGCAGAAGTTGGATAAGAACATGGCACTGGGGCAAGACCTCGGGGAACTGCTTTCCCATCACGTCTAGCCTCCTTGGGAATGAAAGACTTTATGAAGAGAGAGGCTTAGCATCTTGGCTGAATGGTGGGCATAAATGAGCCTAGGCAAAGCCAGCCGGAGCGGGGGGTGGGGAGGTGGGGGGTAGGGGGGTGGGGAGGTGGGGGGTAGGGGAGTGGGGGGTGCGGGGTTGCGGGGAGTCGGGGGAAGTTTCGTTCTTGTTGCCCAGGCTGGAGTGCAATGGCAGTCTCGGCTCACTGCAACCTCCACCTTCCAGGATGAAGCGATTCTCCTGCCTCAGCCTCCCGAGTAGCTGGGATTACAGGTATGCATCACCACGCCTGGCTATTTTTGTATTTTTAGTAGAGATGGGGTTGAAACCCCCCATGTTGGCCAGGCTAGTCTTGAACTCCTGACCTCAGGTGATCCACCCGCCTTGGCCTCCCAAAGTGCTGGGATTACAGGCGTGAAGCCACCACGTCTGGCCTTCGTTTTGCTTTCTATATTTTTAACCATTTATTTATTTGAGATGGAATTTTGCTCTTGTTGCCCAGGCTGGAGTGCAATGGCACGATCTCGGCTCACTGCAACCTCCGCCTCCTGGATTCAAGCGATTCTCCTACCTCAGCCTTCCAAGTAGCTGGGATTACAAGCGTGTGCCACCACGCCTGGCTAATTTTTTTTTTTTTTTTAATTTTTAGTTGAGATGGGTTTACACCATGCTGGCTAGGCTGGTCTCGAACTCTTGACTTCACGTGATCCACCCGCCTCGGCCTCCCAAAATGGTGGGATTACAGGTGTGAGCCACTGCACCTGGCCATTTTCAACCTTTTATAAAACTATCTAGCCAGGGCAACATAATAACAAAACAATAAAAAACAGCCAGGCCAGCTGGTGTGTGCCTGTAGTCCTAGCTACTGTAATCCTTGCTCCTGTACTCCTCCTGGGAGTTCGAGGCTACAGTGAGCCAGGATCATGCTGCTACTCTCTAGCGCGGGCAACAGAGCCAGATCCCGTCTCAAAAAATACATACATGTATTGTTTCTAAATTGGGCTTTTCCTCCCCCACTTCTCTTTCTTTAGAGGGCAATTCTATTTTTCACTGGGGAACTAAGCTGGGATTTCTCATGAGGCCTAGAGACTGGAGTTAAAATAACTACTTTATTAGAGGTCTCAGCTTCTCTCCATTTTATTATTTTTTTTAATTTTTTATTCTTTTTTTAAAAAAATAGAATGCTCCCGTCGGGCTCAGTGGCTCACGCCTGTCATACCAGCACTTTGGGAGACTGAGATGAGTGGATCGCCTGAGGTCAGGAGTTCGAGACCAGCCTGGCCAACACAGTGAGACCCCCGTCTCTACTAAAAATACAAAAATTAGCCGGGCATGGTGGCGGGCGCCTGTAATCCCAGCTCCTAGGGAGGCTGAGGCAGGAGAATCGCTTAAACCCGGGAGGAGGAGGTTGCAGTGAGCCGAGATCGCGCCATTGCACTCCAGCCTGGACAACGAGAGCGAGACTTCGTCTCAAAAAGGAATGCTTCACAAATTTGCCTGTCATCCTTGTGCAAAGGCCATGCTAATCTTCTCTGCATTGCTCCAATTTTAGTGTAAGTGCTTGCCGAAGGGAGCACAGCTCTGTCCATTTTATTTCATGTTTCTTGGGCTCACTGCCCCATTATAGTGTAAGCCCTTCGATGGTGGAGCTTATTCTGTCTGTTTGTTTACTGTTGGATCACCAGCACCTAGAATGCTGCCTGGCACATAGTAGGTACCCAATAAATATTTCCTATATGTTGGATGAATTGCCTCTCTCCTCATCTCCAAAGTTGGTATCCACCACTACCCTGTGAAAAGAGCAGAGGTGACTGAATTTTAGAGGCCTTGCAGAGGACTTATTAAACACTTACTGTGGGACTCTATCCTCATAACTTTTTAATTTACTTATTTGTATTTTTAAAATCAACAAATAAAGATATATATATTTATGATGTACAAAATGATGTTTTGTTCTATGTGTACATTGTGGGAAGGCTAAATCAAGCTAATTAACATATCCATTACATCACATACTTATCTTTTTCTTTTTGTGGCAAGAACATTTAAAATCCACTCTCTTAGCAATTTTCAAGTATTCAATAACGTTGTTATTAACTATAGTCACCATGTTGGACATAGCAAAACTTCTGAATCGGTAGGCCTGAGAAGAACAGAATTTGCCTCTAATTGATTCCCTGGAGATGGGGATTTAATGCTTAATTTAAGGGATTAAACATTGTATTCTATCAATTGAACTCACGATGAAAGTATTATAGGTGTCTAAGAAAGCTGTTTCTAATGTCCACAGAAGCAAAATGACTTATCTAAGATTCTCCAGGTAGTGACCAGTTCTAGTTCTGTCTGAAATTCGTACTCAGGTCCCCTGACTTCCAGTCAGTGATATTCCGACCATGGCATCCTGACTGCTAACCCTTGCTAACAAAATTTGAAGTAGGTCACCTCTGACCTTTGTTTATGTTTAGAAAAGTTGTTGTGCTCAAGGCCTTCTATCAAGTACCCGCTGCGCCAGGTTTAGTAAAATACATAAGCTACTCCCCATTTTTGTTGTTGCTGTTTTTGCTTTTGCTTTTTAAAGTTTTTATTACAGTATAACATCCACACCGAAAAGTGCGCAAATCCTCCATAAACTCCGACAGAGAGGCAAGACAAGCCAGGCTTCCCACGCTCCTGTCCCCTCCACCGGCCCTGCCAAGGGTAACCACGTGCTGGGAGATTTGCAGCACAACGCAAAGGAGAAGGATTAGCGAGCACCTTGTTCCAGCAAAAACTGGAGCAAGCCTAAAACTTCCTGGGAATTAAGTGTAAATTTAAGCCAGGTATTCTAGTAATGTTGAGTTCAACAGGATTGCCATTATTTTAACTAGAATTCAGTTGAGAGCAGAGCGCCATCGCCGTCTTCCGCCTTAGTCACTCGGCCCTGGGCTGGCTCACGCCCGCCCCGCCCCCTCCCCGCCCCTCCCACGCCCGCCCCGCCCCTCCCACGCCCCCGCCCCCGTCCCGCTCCCCCTACCCCGACCCGCCCTCCCTCGCCCGCCGCCCCACCCGCCGCAGCCCTCCCCGCGCAGCCTGGGAGTGACTCGGCGTTCACTCGGGAGACGCCGCTCTGTGGCCCGGACAACCGGTCCTATGCAGCGCCGTCCGAGGCAGTTCGCGGAGAGGCGGCTTACCTTTTAACCCAGGAATGCCCATATCTTGAGAAAAAGAACAACAAGGGGGTGGGCGGGGGTGGGGACATGGGGTAGGGGGGCGGCTGGTGGATGGGGAACTAATAGCGTTTAGACAAGAGACAGAAGTGAGTCCTGAGCACAATGTAGCATAAGCGCGTCAGGATGGCCGAGCGGTCTAAGGCGCTGCGTTCAGGTCGCAGTCTCCCCTGGAGGCGTGGGTTCGAATCCCACTCCTGACAGTTCGTACTTTTAGTATTTAGACACAAATCGAGTTTAAGTTTACGCTACGTTTTCCTACCTGCTCTTTGTGACATGGTCTTCTCTCTTTTTAAAAAATAAATTTTCCGAGTTCCGGAATAAAAGCACTCTTTGTTTTTATTAGCCACTCCAAGGACAGCAAAAAGTACTCTGTACTCCGAAAATAATTTCAGAACCTACCGGTGTTTTGAAATCTCACCTCCTTTTTCCGTTTCTCCTCTGTCTCTAGTTGTCTTTCCCTCTCCCTCCTTCACAGGCAGAGTTGAATAAATGTTACTCTTCAGTTCATGGCTCATTACATTACTGCAGGGCTCCTCTTTATTTAGTTATAGTTATCTTTTTAATTCCATTTCTTCAGTCTCATTCCCCACCTCATCCTTACTCCCCGTAAGAAATCACTGCAAGAGTTCCGGTCTGGCAGAGAGCGCGGAGAGACGCAGAGCGCGGGCCGCTCCTCCAGGGCGCTCCAGGCCCTCCGGCCCCGGGTCGGCGGGTGAGCTAGGGGGCGCCCCGGGACAGGCCGCGCCCTCTGCCCTGCAGATACCGGAGGCCTCTGCTGTGGCTGCCCACTGGCTGGGCCCAGGCCTTGAAGCGGTGGCGAACGTCTCTTCCCTACCCTACCTCGGTGACTGATGGCGGCGGCGGCCTCTCCCAGTCCGGACCCTGCCGGCCGTCGGGTCTCCCGGCCCAAGCCTGCCGGGCCTGGACGAAACCCCCGCCGAGCAGCCTGGACGCAGCGCCTTTGGGTGGCGGCGGGAGTAGCGTGCCGGGAAGCATGGCGGCCGCTCGAACGCCGCGCGGCGGAGGGCGTTAGGGCATGGAGGGCCCGGGAAGGCGGCCTAGGGACGCAGGCAGGCTCGGCCGCCTCTTCAGGCCACGGAGCCGCCAGATCTGGGTCCCGGGTGACCACTCTGTCGCCATTGGGCGAGACCTACCTAGTCCTAACGACAACGGACAAAGGCCTTAACGGGCCTGGGAGGTGAGCGAAGTCCCGAACGACGACGGGTGGAACGGTTAGCGGCGATCGGGCGGTTGGTCTCCGTACTACCAGACCTTGCTGTCGGAAGAGACAAATGGTAGAATGACAGGCCACGTTTGGCCCGTTGGAAATGCCCTCCATCCTCTGGGAAGATTCACAGGCCGTTTACGGAAGGCCTGTGTATATAATATGAAAAAGCTGCTCTCAACTCCACCCCAACCTTTTAATAGAAAACATTTGTCACATCTAGCCCTTCTAGATGGAAAGAGGTTGCCGACGTATGATAGAGTTAGAAAGTCACACATCTTGTAAATTCTCATTTGTTTAAAAGAAATCATAGAAAATACATGTCTTCCGGAGTTGACTTTTGGAAACTGAGTTGTTAGACGGCCTCTAGAAGCGATACGTTCACGTTTGTTCAGTGGGTTAGATGACATGGAGCTCGAAGACCTGAGAAGGAAAAAAAGAAGGTTCTATGCTAGACTGGTCATATTTAGAAGACATTTTCATATTCTATCCATTGTTTTGTGTGCATTCGCTTCCTCACTACTATGTATGTAGTTGACAATGCTAAGCTTTTTTGAAATGTCTATTCTTTTTAGATATTCTGAAGTGTCTGATATATGTTAAAATTAGAGGTAGTAAAACCACATTTTGTAAATATCTTTTTGTTACAATTCATAGAAATGTTGTTTTTTGGGGGGAATGGCCAAATCACCTGTTGAGTAATACTCATTGTGTTTGTGCAGTAGTTCAGGGGAGGAGAGAGGAGGGGGAGGTGCAGAGAGCTCTATGCCATCCTGCTTACAGCGAGGCAAGATGAATCACTATGTCTGTGCATTTTGTTTTATCTATGTATATAATGTACATAAAGGACAAACGAGTCCTAATTTACAACATCTAGTCTTTCTGGATGTTAAAGAGGTTGCCAGTGTATAACAAAACTAGAGTTAGTAAACTAATATATTTTGTACATTTTGTTTTACAAGTCCTAGGAAAGACTGTCTTCTGAAAATTTGAGCATTCTTGCCCACTGGGTTGATGGAGATGGGAAGGGTTCTAGGCCAGAATGTTCACATTTGGAAGACTCTTTCAAATTATAACTGTTGTTACATGTTTGCAGTTTATTCGAGACTGCTGTGTACATACATAGTGGACAAATTAACTCCTTACTTGAAACATTTAGACTATCTAGATGTTTAGAAGTGCCCGATGTATATTAAATGTAGAGGTAGTAAAATACCAATTTGTAAATATCTTTTTGCTAAAATTCATAGGAAATACTTTTGGAAGTTGAATTGTGAAGCCACCTTTGTGAGCAGTATATTACTGTCTATACTTGCTCAATGGTTTAGAGGAGGTGGGAGGGAAGAAATTGCAAAAGATAATATGCTAGTGTGTTCATACTTGGACATTTTCAGACACCATTTTTCTGTATGTTTTGTGCATTTTGTTTTGCTCTGTATATAGTGTATATAATGGACAAATAGTCTTAATTTTTTAACATCTAGAGGTTGCCAGTGTATGACAAAGTAGTAAAATTAGCATATTTTGTATGCTTTGTGTTGAAATTCATAGGAAAACTTGTCTTCTGTAATTGACTTTTGCATAGGAATTTGTTCAGCCATCTCTAAGCATTACACATGCGTGTACTTGTCCACTGAATTGAAGGCAGAGAAGGAAGAGAAGAGGGAATGATTCAAGGCCAAAATGGTCACATTTAGAAGATACCTTAGATGATAACCATTGTTATGTGTGTGCAGTTTTATTTAACAGTGCCGTGTACATGGTGGACAGGCTATGAAATATCTAGTCTTTAGATATTTGGAAGTGCTTGATGTATTTTAAAGTAGTAGTAGTAGAATAACACTTTTTGTAAATAGCTTTTAAAAACTGATGGGAAATGCTGTTTGGAAGTGGATTTGTTGAACCACCTGGGAGGTGGGAGGGAAAAAATTGCAAAAGGTGTTTTGCCATTGTTTATTAGAAAATTTCAGCTTAATCCATTGCCTATATGTTACAAGCATTTCATTTAACTTTGCTATACTGTATATATTGTGTATATACTGGACAAATGAGTCCTGATTTTATAATATCTAGTCTGTAGCTATTAAAGAGGTTGCCAGTGTATGACAAAAGTAGTTAGTAAACTAACGCATTTTGTACACTTTGTTAAAATTCATAGAGAGGCTGTCTTCTGAAAAGGACTTTTTGGAAGTGAAATGATAACATCAGCTCGAAGTGACACATGTGCTTATATCCACCAGGTTGGTGGTGGAGAGGAGTTGGAAGGAATGAAGGGTTCTAGACCAGAATGTTCCTATTTAGAAGACACTTTCAGATATAACCATTGTTACATGTGTGTAGTTTATTCAACAGTGCTATGTATATAGTGGACACACTTAAGTCCTTATTTGAAATATCTAGTCTTTCTAGATGTTTAGAAGTGCACAAAGCATGTTAAAAGTAGAGGTAGTAAGTAACACATTTTGTAGTTATTTTGATATGAAATATTGTCTTGGAAATTGATCAATTCTCTGAGAAGTACACGTTATGATATTTGTGCTGGTTCAGGGGGAAGAAGGAGCACAAAGTTCAAAGGGCTTTCTACCAGTGTCCAGTGTGTTTATGATGAGGCACATTGACCATTGTCCCTTATGTCTGCATTTTCGTTTACTGTGCTGTGTATATAAGCAGACATAGGAGTCCTAATTTATATCTAGTCGATGTTAAAGAGGTTGCCAGTGTATGGCAAAAGTAGAGTTAGTAAACTAATACATTGAGTACACTTTGTGTTAAAATTCATAAGGAACACTTCTTAAAAACAGAAGTAAAATTGTTAAACGCCCCCCGCCCCCAAGCATTACAGATGGCTTATAGCTGTCAACGGGGTTGGTAGAGGTCAGAAAGGGAAGTGTTCTAGGCCAGAATGTTCCTATTTAGAAGACACTCAAATTATAGTCTATGTTATGTATATATGCCATTTATTCAATACTACTGTGTATATAATGGAAAACTTAAGTGCAGTTTGAAACATCTAGTCTTTCTAGGTGTTTAAAAGTGCACAATGGTCAGGTGCGGTGGCTCACTCCTGTAATCCTGGCACTTTGGGAGGCTGAGGTGGGCAGATCACGAAGTCAAGGGATCGAGACTATCTTGGCCAACATGGTGAAACCCCATCTCTACAAAAAATACAAAAATTAGCTGGTCGTGGTGGCACATGCCTGTAGTCCCAGCTACTCGGGAGGCTGAGGCAGGAGAATCGCTTGAGCCCGGGAGACAGAGGTTGCAGTAAGCCGAGACCACACCACTGCACTCCAGCATGGCGACAGAGCAAGACTCCATCTCAAAAAAAAAAAAAAAAAAAAATTCCACAACATAGGTTAAAAGTAGAGGGCTAAAGTAACACCCCTCTAAGCATTTGTTTTCAGTACTTCCTAGGAGTGGTTGCATTTGGGAATGGAATTGTTAAAACTTGATGCTTAGGAGCGTATGCTGACTATTCACTGCGTGGTGGGGTGGGGAGGAGGAGGAGGTATGCAGGGAGAAGGGTTCTGTGCCCCTGAGTTAGATTAGTTCAGATGGTCTAACCATTGTTCTATGTATGCATTTTATTGTGTTAATATTGTGTATTAAAGGATAAACAAGTCTTAATGCTCAAAGTATGTTAAAAATAGATGTAGTGAATCAGTCCCTTTGTGAATGTCCTATTGTTAGTTTTTAGGAAGGCCTGTCTTCTGGGAGTGACCTTTATTAGTCCACTTCTTGGAGCTAGACGTCCTATACTTAGTCACTGGGGATGGTGAAAGAGGGAGAAGAGGAAGGGCGAAGGGAAGGGCTCTTTGCTAGTATCTCCATTTCTAGAAGATGGTTTTAGATGATAACCACAGGTCTATATGAGCATTTTTAGTAAAGTGCCTGTGTTTATTGTGGACAGAGTTTATTATTTTGCAACATCTAACCTTTATGAATATCTGAGGTGACAATGTGTGATAAAAACTAGAGCTAGTGGGCCAGGCGCGGTGGCTCATGCCTGTAATCCCAACATTTTGGGAGGCTGAGGCAGGCAGATCACAAGGTCAAGAGATCGAGACCATCCTGGTCAACATGGTGAAACCCCATCTCTACTAAAAATACAAAAATTAGCTGGGCGTGGTGGCGCGTGCCTGTAGTCCCAGCTTCTCAGGAGGCTGAGGCAGGAGAATCACTTGAACCTGGGAGGCGGAGGTTGCAGTGAGCCAATATTGCGCCACTGCACTCCAGCCTGGGCAACACAGCAAGACTCCATCTCAAAAAAAAAAAAACTAGAGCTAGTGAATTAGCCAATTTGTAAATACCTTTTTATAAGTGATAGAAAAGATGCATCTTGGACATGGAATTGTTAAACCGCCTCTGAGCAGTATATGTCAGGACTTGTTCATTAGGTTGGCAGCAGAGGGGCAGAAGGAAGTATACAGGGAGAGATGTATGCAGATGTGTCCATATGTGTCCATATTTACATTTTGATGATAGCCATTGATGTATGCATCTCTTTTGGCTGTACTATAGGAATACATTAAGTAATTCAATGGAAATATACCTTGCTAATATTATAATGGTATAGCTCTGTTAATGAATTCTCTTAGAAACATTATACTTAATGTATTCTGTTGCTGTATGTTTCATTTTAATTGAGCATTAAGGGAATGCAGCATTTAAATCAGAACTCTGCCAATGCTTTTATCTAGAGGCGTGTTGTCATTTTTGTCTTCTATGAAATTTTTGTCCCAAGAAAGGTAGGACTACATTTTTTTTTAACAGATTAAGTTGGTGTAGTGTATTCTTGTTTATCAAAATACTAATAAAGCTTTGGGATTTTGAATTGGTAAATATTCATGATGTGTCAAAAATCATGATACATACTGTACAATCTCAGTCCCATAAGATGGGATGTTGTGCCTACACACACACAGGACCTAGAAGAACATGTCAAACTGTAAACTGCTTGTGATTGTGAATGACTTTGTTGTTTGCTTCTTGTGATTTTCAGTTTCCTATAATGCACATATTAACATATTAACTTTTTAAAATAAAGGTTATTTTAAAAGCCTGTTTAAAAAAAAAAATCACTGGAAAAGGCATCCTTTTCTTTCTATATGCTTTTATAGAACAGGTACGATTGGTTTGGGTGAATGTGTTTTTATTTTATGTAAGTGGTACTGCGTCATAGATCTCTTTCTTATTCCATTGGTACCGCAGTTTTGAGCTATGTTGCTGTGTGCACATCTAAACCAACTATTTTCATTGCCACATAGAGGTCTGCAATGTGAAGTCACCTACTCTTCCACTTTGCCACTACAAATAAGGGTTCCATCAATGAACATCTTCCTATATTTCAATTATGAGGCTGTGTAAGATTTTCCTTGAGATACAGCAGGAACACATTGCACGTCATGAGATCTGACAATCTACTAATTTTGCAGTTCAGAACAGGACCTAGGACCCAGGGAGCATGATGTATACACACAGAAGTTCATGTTTAATGACATCTCCAGAAATATTCCTCAAATTGAAGTTTCCTAATGTCTAGCCTGATCATCCTGAGCATTAATAGCTACTGTTAGAAACATGAATAGGCAATGTTTCTATTTTGAGCTCATAATTTACTGCAAAGCCTCAATTAATCAAAAACCTCAGATGACTGGAATTTTCTCTTCATTATTCCTTTTTAAAAAAGAAATTCAATCTAATTACTGAGTTACCAAAGCAGAATATAGAGTGAATCTGTTTTATGATCATTGATATTCAAAATTTTTCTGCCCTCTTTCTCTCCTAAAACACTCAAACTTCACAAAAAGATTCAAGCATGCACTAAAAGAAAAATGAATTGATATGTGTTAGAAATATCATCATCAGCAAGGCTAGAAAAGAACAAAGGTCCCCCTTATTGCCCAAGTATTCACTCCACATATTCACTCCATTTCTGCCTACCCTGACATTCTGATCAAACGTGGCTTTGAATCCCTCCTTCAGAGGTGGCAACATAAGAGAAAGGAGGAAATGGCAAATAGGTGTACCCCCTAGGGTAGCAGAAAAAACACTTAAAGGTGCTTGGAAGGCCAGCAGATTAGTCGAATTCAATTCAGGCTGCCTAGGCCCATCTCTGGACGTTGCCACTTGCCAGCTACTTACCTTCCAGGAAAGTGACTTTGCATCCTTGTGCCTCAGTGCCCTTCTCTTTAAAATGGAGGAAATAACTGTACCTTTCCTCATAACTATGCAGTAAGGATTACATGACTTGGAATATGTAAAAAGCTTAGAAGAGTGTCTGGCAAACAACAAATGCCTGATACATTGTATTTTTTTTTTCATAGTTGAGTACCTGCTTGTATTAGGGTCCTTCAGAAATACCGAACTAATAGTCTATCTATCTATTAACTATGTATGTATGTGTGTATGTATCTATCTATCTATGCCTGTCTATGGAGAGAGAGACAGTAATTTATGATAAGGAATTGGTTCACACAATTATGGAGGAGGCTGAGAAGTCCCACAATCTGCCATCTGCTAGCTGGAGCCCCAGAAAAACAGGTAGTGTAATTCAGTTTGGGTCTCAATCAGGCCTGAAAGCCCCGGGAGTCAACGAAGTAAATCCCAGTCCAAGAGCAAGAGGAAAAAAAATGAGATGTAAATCAGTGGGGTAGGGGGAGAAGAGGTGAATTCCTCCTTCCTCAACCTTTGTTCTATTAAGGCCCTTAACAAATGGGAGGGATCATACCCGGGAGGGCAATTTGCTTTACTGAGTCCCTGATTCAGATGATAATCTCATCCAGAAGCACCCTGAGATAAGGTCTCGCTCTGTCACCTAGGCTAGAGTGCAGTGGCACAACCAGGGCTCGCTGCAGCCTCGATCTTCTGGGCTCAAGCATTCCTCCCACCTCAGTCTCATGAGTAGCTGGGACTACAGGTGCGTACCACCACACCTGGCTAATTTTTAATTTTTTTTTTTTTGTAGCGACATGAGGGCCTCACTATGTTGGCCAGGCTGGTCTCAAACTCCTGGGCTCAAGCGATCCTCCTACCTCGGCCTCCCAAAGTGCTGGGAGTACGGGCATGAGCCACCAAGCCCAGCCAGAAACAATGTGTAATCTGAGTATCTAATGAACCACTCTAATTGACACATAATATTAATCATCACACTGCTGTTGGCCAGGCCCTGTGCTGGTCTCTGGAGATACAGCAGTGAAGAGGACAGGCACAGCCCTTGCCTTGAGAAGTAAACAGGCTAGCTCAGACAGATATGAAGCAAGTAGATGAGCATCGCTACTTAGAATGCAATGGGAAACACAGTCCCTTCTAGCTCCACCTGCCCATAGGAGAACCTCAGCAGCTGAGCTAGAGGCCCTACTTAATCCACAACTTGTAAATTCAAATGCTATCCAAACTGCTTTGGTAAGGCATTGTCTTTTTAAAAGAAAGCATGAAACACCTGACACTTATCAACTGCCAAGTCAAATGTTCTCCGCCTATCTCCAGACAAAAAACAGTTTTAAGACTTGCACATACCCTCACCTAACTGCTTTCCACTTATCTGAACTGAGCATTCTCTTCCTCACCTTTAGTTACACACTGTTCCCTTTGCCCAGGGCATCTATTCTACTCCTCCCACGTCTATCCTCTTTCCTTGACAAGTTCTGTGTCTCCCTCATGGCTCAGTGTGGGTATCACTTCTTCCATAAAGTCTTCCTTCCACCTTCGCCCAATCAGGGTTTTTGTTTGTCTGTTTTTCTGTTTTGTTTTGTTTTTTTCAGCCTCAACCTCCTGAGCTCAAGAGATCCTTCCGCCTCAGCCTCCCGAGTAGCTACGGCTACAGGTACACACCATTATGCCAGGCTAATTTATTTTATGTAGAGATGTGGTCTCACTATGGACTATGTTGCCCAAGCTGGTCTTCAGCTCCTGGCTTCAAGTGATCCTCCTACCTTAGCATCCCAAAGTGCTGAGATTACAGAGGTGATCCCCACTGCACCCAGCCCCACACAGACAGGTTTGTTTTCAAATGAGGCTGCAGGCCAGCGCAGTGACCCATGCCTGTAATCCCAACACTTTGGAAGACCTAGGCCAGAGTATGTCTGGAGCCCAGGAGTTGGAGAACAGCCTGGACAATATTATGAAACCCTATCTCTACAAACAAAACAAAAATCACCTGGACGTGGTGGCAGACCCATAGTGGCACACACTGGTAGGCCTAGCTACTCAAGGAGGCTGAAGCAGCAGGATTGCTTGAGCCCAGGAGTTCAAGACTGCAGTGAGTTAGGATTGTGCTATTGCACCCCAGCCTGGGCAACTGAGCCAGACTCTGTCCCTAAAAAAAATAAATAAATAAGCAAATGTGGGGCCGAGCGTGGTGGCTCACACCTGTAATCCCAGCACTTCGGGAGGCCGAGGCAGGTGGATCACTTGAGGTCAGGAATTCGAGACAAGCCTGGCCAACATGGTGAAGCCCGTCTCTACTAAAAATACAAAAAGTAGCCGGGCGTGGTGGTGGGTGCCCGTAGTCCCAGCTACTCGGGAGGCTGAGGCAGGAGAATCGTTGAACCCAGGAGGCAGAGGTAGCAGTGAGCCAAGATTGCGCCATTGCACTCCGGCCTGGGCAACAGAGCGAGACTCCATCTCTAAATAAATAAATAAATAAATAGGCAAGTGTGGCTCAAAGCACCCTGTACTCCCAATAGTATTACATCCCACTATACTATAACTGCCATTAAATTGTTCTCCCTTCCCATCAGCCTCTTCACCCATGTGTGATTAGCATGGTAACTGCCACATAGTAATTGGCCATTGACAAATAGCCACTCACTAGACAAACAAGCATCTGATTGCAAACCATTTCCACTTTTACACATAAATTGTTTCCATGATGTATCCATATATGGAGAACTAGGAAGACATAGGCTTTTGGGAAAGATAGTGAGACTCATCACCTGGAATATTCAATAGCTTCAGTAGCCAGTACCACTACTGCCAACTCAGTGTACAGACCATGCAATCTGTTGAGGGCCACTTGGCCACAAGCCTCCTATAAAGGTATTTCTGGAGCTGATGGAGCAGGAGAGTGGAAATGAGGCAGGATTGGTAAGGGGATGAATTAGTGATTTAGTGTTGACATCTGCACCAGTGACCCAGCCTGTCTTATCATTTGAGGGAAGTTTGTATCTGGGCCTAGGGAAAAAGAACAGAAGATAGAAGGCTCTAGTGAAAAAAAAGAAGGGTCTGCCTTTCCATTGGTGCTTGATGTTTATAAAGAAAAGTGGGGAATTGGCCGGGGGCGGTGGTTCACACCTGTAATCCCAGCACTTTGGGAGGCCGAGGTGGGCAGATCACCTGAGGTCAGGAGTTCAAGACTAGCCTGACCAGCATGGTGAAACCCCGTCTCTACTAAAAATACAAAAATTAGCCGGGCATAATAGTGGGCGCCTGTAATCCCAACTACTCGGGAGGCTGAGGCAGGAGAATTGCTTGAACCCTGGAAGCAGAGGTTGCAGTGAGCCAAGATCACACCACTGCACTCCAGTCTGGGTGACAGAGCGAGGCTCCGTCTCAAAAAAAAAAAAAAAAACAACAACAAAAAAGAAAAGTGGGGAATTAAGCTGCGGAATGGGAGTAGAAAGTCTCCATAAAAGTAGAGTTGCTTCTGAGCTGTTCCTCCAAGTGTTGGGATTTTGTCTCCAGAGCTAGAACAGGAAATCATATTGCAAGCCTTGACAATCTACATAAAATAATATGCTCTGAAAGCAAAAGCCAGAGAAGTGGAACTTTCTGTGCCAGGTGAGCTGTGGGCTGGGTCTTGGGAGATGGGTGAGAGGGTTGGTAATAGTTACAGTGAACTTCCATTTCCTTGGTCTTGTGTTTCTATGTGGAGAACTTCTGCTAAGAGTAAAACTGACTTCTTTCCTACTTCTCAATTTCTCTTTCTTCCTCTTGGAGAGTTTGGGAGAAGGCATCTCAACCCTTCCTGGACTTCTTCAAGTCAGCCTGTTCTAGTGGGCCCCATAAGCAAATGGAGGCTTCTCTGACAGCTTCTTTTCTCAAGTCTTGGTGACAAATATTTGTTTTTGCTTTGATTTGTTCCTTTCCAAAAAACTCTGAGTACAATGCAATCTTTTTAAATAGCGAATCACAGCTTGTTTTATGTGGCCAGATCTTACTGTTTGCTGTGAATTTTCAGAGATGCTACAGCCTTCTCAACAACAGATTATGAATCATTCCAAAGATTGACCTTCTAAAAACATTACCTGCAGATTCTGACAATGAATCTGTTTAGGATTTCCCCAGGAAAGAAAATAGAATGACTAGAGATTATGATGTTGCTTGTAGTTTAAATTTGGTGTTTGCCTTCTGCTTTCCCTGGTTCCTCTCGTACATGTTGTAAGATATAACATGTGGAAGAAAAGTGTAAGAAAAGCAAGAAATTCAGAATTTCATTATTCTGAAAGAAAGCCAAATTTATCTTTGCTTCTTTTTCGTAAACAAGGAGGTTTCACACCGGACGCATATAAAACACTTTGATGGAGCCCCATAGGGGAAAATAACCTTTCACGCATACTTCAACTGTTCCGTGGGTACTTTGAATGCAGGAAAACTACAACAGGCCCCGCTGGGATTCGAACCCAGGATCTCCTGTTTACTAGACAGGCGCTTTAACCAGCTAAGCCACGGAGCCACCATGCCTGCGGTGGTACAAATGAGCATAGAAAAGAGATGATCTTTGCCTTTGTTCTGTGCATTGATACACTTTCTTGTTACTGAGGTTTGAAAGTAGCTACACGCTTCTTCAGACACTGAAGATTAACCTTGGCTTCGCCCCAAAAGACCTAAGAAACCGCTCAGCTGCAGGATAACGAGGTTTTTCGCGTGGGGGAGGTGGGGGGTGAGGGAAAGGCTGGCGATAGCCTGACCCCCGCCCCGGGGCGAACAGGAGAGTCCTCCGAGAAACTGCCTCAAATAGCAAGCAGCTCATCCTAACGTGGATAAAGTATGACCTCGGGCTTCAGGGAGAAGAGGGTAGGAGAGCGGGTAGCCAGCCACATTTACAGAACACTCCTCCGAGTCGTGTAATGCATTTACACCAGAACACTTACGGCACCAAGAACTGATCTAGCAGGAAGGAAGCTATTTGTTTCTTATTTCATGGCTTTTAAATTAAACTGGAATTAGATTAAAATTCCAGTCATTCCTTACCCCATTTCTTTCCGTTAAAACTGGGCTCCACCTACCTGCTTCTTGCTTATTAAAGATTAACTAATGGGGTTCCAGAGTTGCTTCTTAAAAATGCAAGATTTAAGAATTAACAACTTAATCTTGGAAAGAGATAAAGAAGTCCCCTTCCCGGTATAGCTACACAGAAAGAAAAGCTTTCTTGTCCTAATACTTGTCCAAAGGATCTGATTTGATGTGTCAAATCAGCATTATATATATGTGTGTGTGTGTGTGTGTGTGTATGTGTATATATATATTATATATATATAGAGAGAGAGAGAGAGAGAAAATTTCTATATTGTCATGGGGGCTTATGTGTTTCCAACTTATTCTGTTCTCTATTAAAAATAAATCTGATCTTGGGAGTATAATTTGAATAAAGGGGTTTAATGAAATTCTGAAGAGTATACAAATTGTTGGCACAGCTGTGAAAGTAACTTCCCAAATGAAACCTGTAATTATGTTTGGCTGTTTTACTTGAAATCTGTTGTCCTGGTGGTTATGCTGAAACAGACATTTCAGTATTCCTTAGCTGTATCAATATTTGAAGGATTTCTCTGTCACAGTCTAAGGCAGACATTGGCATGTACCTTTGCCTATGTATGCGATGGGGGGAACAGTAAAAGGTCACGCCGACTAGAGTTTTCATTTTTATAAAAAGATGCAAGTCGGCCGGGCGCAGTGGCTCACGCCTGTAATCCCAGCACTTTGGGAGGCCGAGGCGGGCGGATCACGAGGTCAGGAGATCGAGACCATCCTGGCTAACACGGTGAAACCCCATCTCTACTAAAAATACAAAAAAATTAGCCAGGTGTGGTGGTGGGCGCCTGTAGTCCCAGCTACTCGGGAGGCTGAGCCAGGCGAATGGCGTGAACCTGGGAGGCAGAGCTTGCAGTGAGCTGAGGTCGCGCCACTGCACTCCACCCCGGGCGACAGAGCGAGACTCCGTCTCAAAAAAAAAAAAAAAAAAAAGATGCCAGTCTATGAATTCAGCACTCACTTTGATTGAGACTCATGAAATAAGCACTTATTACTTTATTATTATAAGATTAGCCATCATATTATTAGTGTGCTTGGAGCCAATATAATCATCATAAATAGCACAGTCACACCTAATATGGCTTTAACCCAACTGTGGCAGGCCCCAGACAGCAGAGCCAATAGTATTTTATTTTGGTTTTTCCTTTGGCAGCTGACGAAGTTTGCACAGAATTTCTAGAATGTCAAAGGAATTGTTTAGCCAGAGATGAGCCTTGGAAGCAAATTGAGACTTTGAGCAATCATTTACAGAACTCTTGGTGTGAACCATATCTTCTATTCAGTTCCGACTGTGATTAGGAACCATGGAACCCTCACATTGGCTCCGCTCCACACGTCTGAAATTGGAGAGGATGCAGGTGGCTGTGTCACAGACTGCCGACAGTCATGTAAAACAATGTGAGAGTGGCAGATGGTGTAGTTTTCCATGTGCCTGGGAGTGAAACTAAAAAAAACTGCACTGAAACACAGAGAAGAGTCCACCACTGTCATAGTTGTATGTGTCAACTTAGGCTACCCAGTTATTCAATTAAACACTAACCTACATGTTTCTGTGAAGTTATCTTGTAAATGTGGTTAACAATCAGTTAACCTTAAAAAAAGATTCTCCCTTATGTAGATGGGCCTTATCCAATCAGTTAAAAGGCTTTGAGAGCAAAACAAAGGCCTCCCTAAGGAAGAAGAAATTCTGTTTCAAGACTTCAGCATCAGCTTCTGCCTGAGAGTTTCCAGCCTGCCCTACAACCCTACAGGTTTCAGACTTGCCAGTCCTCACCCTAGATATATATAGATATATATCTAGATTTATATATCTGGACTCTTTCTCCGATATATGCTGAAGAAAAGACTGGAAGTTGAAACTGGAACTGTCAGAAAAGATGTAGAAAGATTTCCAAGAGCAAAGCAAAAGCATTTCTTTTTTTTTTTTTTTGAGACAGAGTTTTGCTCTTATTGCCTGGGCTGGAGTGCAATGGGCGCGATCTCGGCTCACTGCAACCTCCGCCTCCCGGGTTCAAGTAATTCTCCTGCCTCAGCTTCCCGAGTAGCTGGGACCCACGTCCGGCTAATTTTTTGTATTTTTAGTAGAGACGGGGTTTTACCATGTTGGGCAGGCTGGTCTCGATTTCCTTACCTCGTGATCCGCCCACCTCGGCCTCCCAAAGCGCTGGGATTACAGGCGTGAGCCACCACGCCCAGCTGAAAGCATTTATTGTAGTGAATATGGCTAAGAAATTTGAGGCACCCAAGGGAGGTCTTCAAAGCCTGCAAAACACAGATAAATTTTTATAGACAAACACTAAGGAGACTGAATGTGGACAGAGCCTACAGCCAGCTGGGTTAAAGCTCATTTTTAAGGTGCTAGGTGGGACCTGTGACTTCCAGGGATGCTCTAGCCTGACCAGCATGGAGAAACCCCGTCTCTACTAAAAATACAAAATTAGCCGGGCGTGGTGGAGCATGCCTGTAATCCCAGCTACTTGAGAGGCTGAGGCAGGAGAATCGCTTGAACCCGGGAGGCAGAGGTTGCGGTGAGCCGAGATCGCGCCATTGCACTCCAGCCTGGGCAATAAGAGCAAAATTCTGTCTCCAAAAAAAAAAAAAAAAAAGTTTTGGTAACCTATTTTAACATAATTAGTTTTCTTTTGAAATCTTACATATTTATCTTTTCTTTCGTGTATTTAAAAGTATTATTCTGAGATAGAGTCCAGAATCACCAAGCTGCCCTTGGGGTCCATAGTACAAAACCTAACGAGAAGATCCCTATGCTATTGCCTAGGGAGTAATCCATAACCTAGGTCTACCTTAATATTTATGCAGAAAGAGCAGAATATTTTTTGTAACGGCTGTTGAAACCTTATGAACTGAAAACAAATATTTTCTAATCTCAAAGTGTATATTCTCAATATCAGGCAGTTTTACTTCTGTTTAGTAGACCTCATCTTATTTAAAATGCTCACCAGGCATGGGGATGATTTATTCTCAGAAATATGGACAAACTAAAACACACACATATGAGACGTTTGTTTGCTTTCAAAGTGAAAAAGTGAACATTCATATGAGTGTCCGGGTTGATGATGCTCCTTATAAAGCTGTCAAATTCTGAGATCAAGGCCCTGCAGTAGAAGCAGCATGCAGTGAGGAGGCCTAGCACAGTTTCGCTTAGTAAAATATTTGAAGAAAAAAAAAAAAAGACCCACAGAGAGACAAATGAAAACTCAGACCACGTCACCGTACAACGGCTTCCAGTTTCCTACAGAATACCAGCCAGAGTCCTTACAAGAGCCTGTAAAGCTGGCCAGAGTCCTTACAAGGGCCTATAAAGCTGGAGGTGGTCTCCCAGGATCTCCTATTCCTCTCCACTGAGCACCGGCCTCCTCAACATAACTCCCAAGCCTGCTTCCACCTCCAGGCCTTTTCCCTAGCGATTTTTCCCTGTTCCAGATCACTCATTTCCCCGATATCAGCATTTATCCCTCATTCATCACTTTCACTGCTGGCCTTTCCTATCCTCTTTCCCTGTTTTATTATTATTTTTCTCCAATCGCTTATCACTATTATTTTGTTTATTTAATGCTTTATTATCCGCTTCCGCCACTGCCATGTAATCTTGAGGGCAAGGGTCTCTCATGTTTTCTTCACCGTTATCTGCAGTGCCTTGAACACTAATACTGGTTGAATGAACGAACGCATTAATGGAGCGGTGATATTGGGGCAGAGAGGATGCAGGGCTTGCTTTTCACCGCCATTTTTCAGCCGGCAGAGACAGACCGAGAAAGGAATGAAGGCCACGGGGCGTGTGCAGAAGTAGCTACCAGAGAGTCCATGCGCTGCGAGCCTGGACCAGCGGGCAAACGCGGCTTACAGGCGTTCACCCAGATATTACGGGTACAACCTAGTTTCTTATGAAATACCTCGCCCCTAAGGTACGCGCAGGGCCAGTGGCGCAATGGATAACGCGTCTGACTACGGATCAGAAGATTCCAGGTTCGACTCCTGGCTGGCTCGGTGTAAGCAGGGTCGTTTTACAACTTTCTGACTCCGCAGGAGTAAGGAAATTCCTGCAAGATAAATTTGCCTGGAAGACTCAGAAGCAAGAGGGGCAGCTCCCGACAACATATGGGGTTATCATTTCTTTGCGGAGCATTCTGCCACTGACCACGTGGTAACGCCAACTACGCCAGAGAAACGCTCGCCCTACCCAAGTTGTGCCCAGCCTTGCCTGGCCATTTTGGCCGAAGAACGAAGGACCGTTCAGAGATTAAATTAAAGTCTCTATTGTGTTCTTCCCTATTCAGTCATTTGTAGAATAAATTCTATGGCTTCAGTTTGAACACTGGAGGGGCTGGGTCTGAGCTTTTCATTGGTTTTTCTGGTTTGAGAGGTCGGTACAGAGACGCACGCGCACATCAGCAAAACACGCACTTGGAACGAAGAAACACGGAACTAGGCAGGAAGAACTATTTACTCTGAAAAATAAGCCCTTAGTGGGTTTCCGTAGTGTAGTGGTTATCACGTTCGCCTCACACGCGAAAGGTCCCCGGTTCGAAACCGGGCGGAAACACGTTTTTTTTTCCTCATCTTACTACGAAATTCTTCCAGTGTGTATCTTTTAAAGACTTTTTCAGGCTGTCATAAATTTCCTGTCTTCTTGTCTTGCTAGATCGGGGCAGCAGTGCTTAGGGCGGGCCTCAGAGGCTCACACACGTATCGCCAGGGGGAGAACCAGCTCTCTCCGGCTTGGACTCGGGGCGGCTCCCCGCCTGCAGCCCCGGAAGCGCATCCTCACCTTCCCTCGCCTTCCTGTTCCTGGCGGAGCCGGGCTCCGCTCGTCTTCTCTGTCTTAGGGCTGGTGCTGGCCCTGCCCACGCCTAGGGCTCCGGCGCGTCACGGGCCTCAGCTGGGATTCCCGCGCCCCTCGGACGGCCACGAGACTCGGGTAAGTGCCTCACAGACTTTGTGCGCTACCCCGGAAAATGAGGGGCGTGGTGGGGGGGGTCCCGCCGCCCTCCGTATACTTAGGACCCTCCTGCCAGCTGGCCCCGGTCATGATTAGGGGCCTTGGGCCCCGTCAGCCCCGCCTGTCTTCCCGTCTCCAGAGTAATCGCAGCATCTCTCCTGAGCTCCGAGTGTGAATCCCTGGGAAAAGCTGAATCCAGAGGTGGGGTCACAGAGAGCCGCAGGCCCGACCGGGATGAGAAGTCCTAATCGGCGTTCTAGGGGCGTTCTAAAAGAAGGAAGGAAGGGGATTTGAAAGGATTGCTCCCGCAGGGCTGTGGCCTTAAAGAGGTGGTGACTGGCAGGTTGGACTGACCTGCCGTGGGCTCTCCCTTCCTCCCCAATTTACCTTCGAGAAACCCTCGTTGAGGAGACACCCAAGGGCTGAGTCCTCCTCCACTTTGACCTTTTGCTATTCCATCACAAAGAAAAAATGGATCCCAAAGTTAAGAAATGGACCAGCACTTGTTTAGAATCAGGACTGGTGCCTTGGTGTTTGGCCTCTTACCTCTGCCACATGGCTTGCTTACAAGTTAATCGGATTAATCAAACGCTTTTATGAGAAAGTTTTGTTGTGTCACCTGGCAGCCTCGGGTGTTCCCTAAGAGGGATTTCTTTCTTAGATGTATTACTACTTTTTCTAGGGATTAGCCAAGCCTAGCCTCTCAGATCATATTGCTCCAGGTTCCCTCAAATGACTAATAAGAATGTGATGTGTTTGTTTTTGTTTGTTTGTTTTTGAGACGGAGTCTCACTCTGTTGTCCAGGCTGGGGTGCAATGGTGCGATCTCGCTCACTGCAACCTCCACCTCGATTCTTGTGCCTCAGGCTCCCGAGCAGCTGGGACTACAGGTGTGTAACACTACACCCGGATAATTTTTGTATTTTTAGTTGGAGACGGAGTTTCACCATATTGGCCAGGCTGGTCTCAAACTCCTGACCTCAAGTGATCCGCCCGCCTCGGCCTCCCAAAGTGCTGAGATTACAGGCATGAGCCACCGCGCCCAACCGAATGTGATATTTTTATGACCATGAGAAAAGAAGGGCTGCATTCTTTGGTGGGTCCGCAAAATTAAAAAAAAAAAAAAAAAAAGAAAAGAAAAGAAAGAAAAGGACAATGTTAATGAGCTGTTTTCTTTTTATCATTTTCTTAAACAGGCTGCTTGGGTAGACGTTGACTTGAAAGGTCCATTCTTTTGTCATCTTGCTGGTTCCCTTAACAAGACAACACCTTGGCTAGCAAGATAATATCTTGGTTAGCAAGACAATAAACTTGGGCATGTGCTCAACAGCAACCTGTCTAATACATTTTCATTTAAAATCCCCTCTGTACTACTCAGAAATATAAGCAAGTTATTATGGTGCCCAGAAAGGGGGCAAAGGTTCCAGGGTCCTAGGAGATGACAAGGATTTATCCTCTTCATCTTTCTCCGATCCCAGTTAGCAGGAATACTTTAGCCTGGAAGGTGAGTGTGCCCCTAACCAACCTTTACAGATGGGTGACTGTTTGGGAGCTTATGGCTCACTCCTTCTCTTTAAAGCAGATGCATTCTGGCAAGCTGCAGCAGCAAACCTACCCTTTTAGACACCCTGCGTTTTCTCATCTTTCCTTTCTACCCCTGCATCTCCCAGTCTCTCTCACTTAACCTCCGTGGAAACTCATGCTGCGTCTCTAATACTTTGGAAGATGAAGAACAAACGCCCTGGAGAGTGACTGACACCATGTGACCTCTTGCTTCTGTAGCACACTGCATCTTGCCTGTGAATCTTTTTTTTTTTTTCTTTTTTTTTTGAGACCGGGTCTTGCTCTGTCACCCAGGCTGGAGTGCAGTGGCACAATCTTGGCTCACTGCAACCTCCGCCTCCCAGGCTCAAGTGATTCTCCTGCCTCAGCTTCCCAAGTAGTTGGGACTATAGGCATATGCCACCACACCCAGCTAATTTTTGTATTTTTAGTAGAAATGGGTTTCACCATGTTGGCCAGGCTGGTCTTGAACTCCTGACCTCAAGTGATCCACCTGCCTCCACCTCCCAAAGTGCTGGGATTACAGGCGTGAGCCACCACGCCCAGCATTTGCCTGTGCATTTTTTATTGTATTTTAATTATATCCTTTATTCTCTCCTTCCTAAGCTTGGTGTTCTTAACTTTCTTCCAGATCTTCCCTCCAACCCCCAAACACGATCTCTCCTTAAGTAAGAGGCAGGGAGGGAGAGGGGAACCTTCTGATTTCGGGGTGGGATTGAGGCTAAAACCCAAGTTAGAACTACCTCCCAGAAACCCAGTTCCGTATCCATCGAGTGATCAAAAAGATGCTGCTAAAATGTGCCTTGTGTTTGCTAGGGATGAGGTGAAAATGAGTATTGAATGAGGTGGCATTTTGGTCCATGGATTTGCTTGCTATGAAAGAGAAAAAACATGGAAAAATATATTTTGAGAGCTGGGTGAGACCCCCAAATTAATCTAATCCAAGATGTTTCCCTAGTCATTACATTCCTTTTTTTTTGAAACAGAATCTCACTCTATTGCCCAGGCTGGAGTGCAGTGGCGCAATCTCGGCTCACTGCAACCTCTGCCTCCCGGGTTCAAGCAATTCTCCTGCCTCAGCATCCTTAGTAGCTGGGATTACAGGCACGCACCACCACCCATGGCTAATTTTGTATTTTTAGTAGAGATAGGGTTTCACCATGTTGGCCAGGCTGGTCTCGAACTTCTGACCACCTTGGCCTCCCAAAGTTCTGGGATTACAGGCGTGAGCCACCACGCCCTGCCTGAGTCACTAAATTCTTACACTGTTCCCTCCTATGTTAGTCCGCTAGGGCTGCCGAAACAAGGTACCACAGGCTGAGTGACTTAAACAACAAAAATTAATTTTCTTTGACTTCTGGAGGATAGAAGTCCAAGATCAAGATGTCGGCAGGTTTGGTTTCTTCTGAGGCCTCTCCTTGGCTTGCAGATGGCCACCTCCCACTACATCCTTAGATGTGTTCCTCTATGTTGTCTGTATCCTAATCTCCTCTTCCTATAAGTACACCAGTAATATTGAATTAGGGCCCACCCATAATACCCTATTTTGCTTTTTATTTCACTATTAGTTTTTTTTTTAAAGCTATTTTTGCCAGTTAATTTAAACATCATGATCTTCTTCTAATGATAAAAATGCAAGTCTTCATGCTAACAAAAGGATTGGAAGAAGGATGAAGCAGATGTTTCTTCTCCCCTACAGCAATCTGGTTAAATGAGGAGTTAAATTGAGAGCTTTCATGAGAATTTCAGTCCAGTTCTGTGCAATGAAGACGAGTGATTCAAAACTTTCACTAACTTGCTCTGTTGTTTGTAATATAATGTTATTGGAAGAGTTATTTTAACAAAGGGGAACTGTTATATTTCTAAAACTTTTAAAATTGTTGCCATGTCTTGGGAAAATAACTTCAGTATCTGTCTTGATAATTTCTTGCCCTGATGATACCATTGAAAGTCATTTCTCTATGTTTCCAAAAGTTGTACAATTACTAGTAAGATTTATCTGCCAGTTAATAATTTTTCTTTTCTTCCACATGCATGAAGGAGTATTTGTAATGACTTTTATATTTTATCATTAACATTATTTTTTTGAACTCTTAAAATGCGTATTTTTTTTTTACATTAATAGACTTCCTTTTTTCAGAGCAATTTTTGGTTTACAGAAAATTGAGCAGAAGATACAGAGTTCCCACATACTTCCTTTCCCCCACCTCAGTTTCTCCTAAGTTATTAACAACTTACACTGGTGTGGTACATTTGTTACAAATGATGAACTAATATTGATAGCTTATTATTAACTAAAATATATAGTTTACATCAGGGTTCACTCACTGTATGAAGTTCTGTGGGTTTTGTCAAGTGCATAACATCTACCATTTTATAATATATGCCATTACAGTAGCATACAAAAGAGTTTCATTTACCTAAAAATCTCTTCTGCGCCACCTCAAATAATTTCTTCTGAGTTAAAACCACTGTGTGGTGAGAGCTCCTTCCTTTTCCAACCTCCTTGTCCTTTATGGAAATGGTAAGAGCTTTTACCCATCTCTCTGGTCCCTTTTCATTATGTGTGTATCTGTCTCCCACATTTGTAAGGTCTCTAGAGAGTCAGTGACCTGGTCTCCTAATCAGCTTCCTAAAGGTGAGTTTCAAGAATTAAATCCGTATTTATATACTCAGATACAGCATCCAGGCAGTGGCCTATTTTTCCTGATTTTATTTTGTCACCTGCTGTATTTTGGCCTTTGACATGTGGAGATCATGGCCCCCCTACTTCGGATGGACTTCAATGGATCTAACTCGAAGAAGACTGAACCCAGGAAAAGAGACTGTGTGAGCATTCTCACACCAGGAAATGGGCTGAGAAACAATTTTGGAGTGAGATGGAAGGAGAATGGTATGGAGTATCTATTCTTAGGGAAATGTGTGCTAGGCCAAAATCTCACTTTTTGGTTAAACACTCTCATTCTCTGATAACATAAAGGCCTCTAAAAATATATGCAGAATATTTGGGGTAACCTTATTATTCATTGCCCAAGTTAGGTCACCTTTCAAAGTAAAAGGGAACATTATGAATAATTATACTAGGGCAACAGGTATAAATCAAGTCACCCTACCATTAGACCAAGTGATTTTCACTGGTTCCTTCATTGTAAGAGTAACTCCTTTTGTTTCCTAAAAATTGTTAAAATGATTCCTTAATGTTGCATTTGAAATAAAGGGAAAAAGACAAAAATTAGCAATAAATTCATGTAATGTCTAGGCAAGGATTTCTTCAGAAGAGAGCAGGTCAGGTGTAGTTAGATCAGTAGAACTGTATGTCTCAGTGGCACCATTACCTTTTTTTTTTTTTTTTTTGAAGCAGAGTCTCACTCTGTCCCCCAGGCTGGAGTGCAGTGGCACAATCTCGGCTCACTGCAACCTCCGCCTCCCAGGTTCAAGCAATTCTCAGGTGGATCACCTGATGTCAGGAGTTCGAGACTAGCCTGGCCAACACGGTGAAACCCTGTCTCTAGTAAAAATACAAAAATTGGCTGGGTATGGTGGCGTGCGCCTGTAATCCCAGCTACCCAGGAGGCTGAGGCAGGAGAATTGCTTGAACCCGGGAGGCAGAGGTTGCAGTGAGCCGAGATCGCACCACTGCACTCCAGCCTGGGTGACAGAACGAGACTCTGAGACTCTATCTCAAAAAAAAAAAAAAAAAAAAAAAAAAACTGGAGCAATTTGGAGACAAGATTAAAAAAATAATAATAACATTGTAGAATGGTGGCCACTCACAAGGTTACAGAATTTCCCAGTAAATGTTTTCAAGGGTGGGGCAGAAGGTATGATAGACAAAAGCTTTAAAAAAGTCACACAGTGCCCATGAATGCCAGCCCTAGGCCTAAGTCCTAATTACTCAAACTCAAACTATTTTCCATTTCCTACCTGTGTGGCTCTCAATCTGTGCTCTGGGCTACCCACATTTTTTAGTACTTTTATTAATTCTTGAGCAGACACATACAATTTTTCTGTGTAAGACATAGGTAATACTCCAGCCATGTGCTTCCCCTACAGTTTAAAGAAGAGAATGCAACCTCCCCCATCTCTGGACTAACCTCCATGCCTTCTCCAACTACATCCCTTTCCCAACTCCCAAGAGATGACCACTGTCCAATTTTTATTTATCCCTTTTTTTTTAAGTTTTACTATATGTTTGTGGCCTCAACATGTCATAGTTTTACATGTGTAAATGGATCTATAGTGTACATATTCTTCTGCAACTTGCTATTTTTCTTCGGCATTATATTCTTGAGATTCATCCTCGTTTTTGAACCTACCTGTAATCTATTTGTTTCTGCTGCTGAATGGTATTCCCTTTTATACATACTACCAAAATATATGCATCCCTTCTACTATTGAAGGACATTTGGGTGATTTACAGGTTTTTGAAATTACAGTGTTGCTAGAAACATTCTTGTGGAGATCTCCTGTCCACACCTCCAAGAATCCCTCTAAGTAAACACCTAGAAGTAAAATTGCTTTACACAATACCACTGTTTGCAGAGTGCTTTACAAATAACCACTGTTTCCAAAAGCAAATACACTAATTGGCACACACACACAGCAGTACATAAGGGTTTTGATTGCTCCATATCAGCTGAGCCCTTGATATTGTCAGACAACTTGGTTTTCCTCAGTTTGATAGATATGAAATGTTATATCCTATGCTTTTAATATGTACTTCTTATATATTTTTAGGTGCTTATTCCTCACTCATGCTTCCAAGAAGTACCTGTTAACATTTTTTGCCATAGTTTTAAAATTTTCATTTTGTCCTTTCCTCATGGATCTATAGGAATGCTTTATGTATTCAGGATTCTAACATTTTGTCCATTATATATTTTACATATATCTTTGCCAAGCTGGTACTTATTGTTTTACTTTTATTATGCTATCTTTTTTGATATACACGAATTATTAACAATATAGTCAATTTGATTTTTAACGTTTACATTCGTCAGTCTTTCCCTTTATGGTTTACGCTTTTTGTGTCTTGTTAAAGACATCTTTCCAGGAACAGCGTGAGGAGGACAGAAGCACCCAACAGGACTGCTCAAGCCACCTGCGAACACTGCTGCTACCATGCCCAAGAGAAAGGCAAAAGGAGATGCTAAAGGTGATAAAGCAAAGGTGAAGGATGAGCCACAGAGGAGATCAGCTCGGTTGTCTGCTAAACCAGCTCCTCCAAAACCAGAGCCCAGGCCTAAAAAGGCCTCTGCAAAGAAGGGAGAGAAGCTTCCCAAAGGGAGAAAGGGGAAAGCAGATGCTGGAAAGGATGGGAACAACCCTGCAAAAAACCGAGATGCCTCTACACTCCAGTCCCAGAAAGCGGAAGGCACTGGGGATGCCAAGTGAAATGTACATTTTTGAGAGCTCTGTACTTATAGTGACTCTACTGTTTGAAATACTATTTTTTTAAATCAAGTTTTATAAAAGTGTAGAATTTTGGCTTTTTTAAGTTATGTTGTTAGCACACAGGACACTTCCTTGTTGTCTTTTGTGGAAAGGGCAAGTACCACTAATAGGGTGTATCTCAGAAACTGAATTGAAATAAGGGAAAATAGGATTTTCTGTCCTGGTTTTTGAAGATTGTTCTTGATTCCCTTGATTCCCAGGAGAGATTCTCTGACATTCACGTGTCAGCCACTTTGGCACGGAAGCCTTACAGTGTGGGGAACCAAAACTTCGTGTCTCCCCTTTCCCCGATGCCATCAGCATAGACTTGACTTCCTTAAACCGAGAGTTTTGATGTGGCCTTGGCAACCCTAAAATCAGCTGTGTTAGGTAACAAAACTCAGGCTTTCTGTTGATGACATCGAGATGGTGTCACTTAAAAGAGCCAAGATTCCTGTTTTCAGTTTGTGGATTCATCCTGCTGGTTTTACTTTAGTCCCTCCATGTCAAAGTGGGCCTGAGAAAAGCTCATACATGCCTCATGTGAAGTGTCCACCCTCTCTGAAAATCTTTCTTGTTCAAAACAGCAACGACATATCTTGTTAACTTTTACGGTGACTTTTGGAGGAGGGGAGTTTGGAAATTGTAAAATGTTATAGATTGTTGCCTATTTCCTGCTGAAAGTAAATGTTTTTAAAAAGTATCATATAAAGCTGAATAC
The DNA here is from genome assembly GCF_000001405.40 of Homo sapiens. NCBI lineage: Eukaryota > Metazoa > Chordata > Mammalia > Primates > Hominidae > Homo > Homo sapiens. Next base: position 26,546,240 of record NC_000006.12, read on the forward strand.
AAATTGGTTTGGGGGGAGATCCTTTCCTACCCAAAGTCATAAATATATTCTTTACTGCCTTGTGGAAATTTTATAGTTTTGCCTTTCACATTTGTCTTTAGTCTGTCCTGAACTGATTTTTGTGAAAATTATGAGTTAGAAATTCAACTTAACATTTTTCATATTCGAAGTGGTTGTCTCTGCACTATTTACTGAAAAGTTCATCCTTTCCCCAGTGATTTGTAACACTGCCTCTTTCATAAATTAAATTTTTGTGTATGTGTGTGGGTCTTTTGATGGTTTCTATTCTGACTGACATCAATTTGTCTAATCTTGTAGCAGTACAGTACAGTCCTGATTATTGCAACTTTAGGAAAAGGTCTGATAAAAACCAAGATGCCTCCACATTTTGTCATAATTGTAACCAATTTCACCTCTGTCTCCAGTATCACCACAAAATTGTTCTTCCTTGGAGTGTCTTGGCTATTCTTAGCCAACTGTTCCTCCATATTACTTCTAGAATTAGACCAACAATTTATAAATCAAACAAACCCAAGAGCATTGAAATTTTGATTGGATTTGTATTGAATTTATAGATTAATCTGGTAAACCATGTCATCTTTACAATGTTGTCTTCCAATACATGAATATGGTACAGCTCTTCATTTACTTAGGCCTTTGAAATATCTTTCAATAAAGTTTATAATTTTCTCCATAAAGGTCTTCTTGTTAATATTTCCTAGGGACTTTATGCTTTTTAACACTACTTCGTATGGTATATTTTTAGTTACCACATTTTCTGTTTTTAGCTAATGTTGATTTCGATTTTTGTATCCAGCAGCCTTGCTACCTCTCATTCTTGTATCTGCATATTCTTGTGGGTTTGTTTGTTTTTTTTACATAGACAACCATATATTCTGTGTATACAAACAATTTTGTTTCTTCTTAGTCCTTATTATACCTGTAATTTCTTTTTCAAATGGTCAGCGTAGTCTAGGTGTTGGTGTCTGCTTTTTTTTTTTTTTTTTTTTTTTCCCAGACAGAGTCTCACTCTGTCTTCCAGACTGGAGTGCAGTGGTGTGATCTTGGCTCACTGCAACTTCCACCTCCCGGGTTCAAACGATTCTTCTGCCTCAGCCTCCGAGTACCTGGGACTACAGGCGCGCGCCACCACACCCGGCCAATGTTTGTATTTTTAGTAGAGACGGAGTTTCACCATGTTGGCCATGCTGGTCTCGAACTCCTGACCTCAGGTGATCCACCCGCCTCAGCCTCTCAAAGTGCTGGGATTACAGTCGTGCGCCACCACGCCCGGCCGTGTCTCTGCATTTTTTTTTGAAATGGAGTCTCACTCTGTTACCCAGGCTAGAGTGCAGTGGCGCAATCTCTGCTCACTGCAACCTCCGCCCCCGATTCTCCTGCCTCAGCCTCCCGAGTAGCTGGTATTACAGGCACCTACCACCAGGCCCGGCTAATTTTATTATTATTATTATTTTGCATTTTTAGAAGAGACGGGGTTTTGCCATATTGGCCAGGCTGATCTCAACCTCCTGGCCTCAAGTGATCAGCCCGCCTCGGCCTCCCAAAGTGCTGGGATTACAGGCATCAGCCACCATGCCTGGTGCCATTAGAGTTTCGAGCAAAGAAATGGCACAATCTAAGGTGTTTTATATATGTGTGTGTGTGAGTATGGCTGCTGCATGAGCAATAGACTAAGCTGTCACAGCAATCTAGGCAAAACATGTTGATGATTTGGACATGGTATGGAACGGTGAAGAGGTCTGAGAGAGTTGGCAGTAAATAATGCCAAGCTTGGATGATTGCTTAGCCTTTCTGAGCCACAATCTCCTCAGTAACAAAGCAAGAACTATTATCTATTTTGCAAGGTTTTGAAAAGAATTAGAGATACTTTATGGAAATGACTAGTAGTGCAATTTACCTCATTAGCATATTGATGCATAAAGCTCTGTTGAAGATTTGAAAAAAAGATTCATATTTCCCAGAATCTTACATCGCCACTGAAAAACAAGGAAAAAAGACAATTCGATTACTCCACAAAACTGAGACCCAGGCCACTCCATATGGAGCCCTTACTAAAACCAGTAAGTAGCATATATAGTAAAACTGGAATTACATAATAGCATTTTTTTCCATTGTAATAGTGAATTGCTGGCATTTCTACTTTGTCATGCCGTATTACCATCCTTCATCTGCTCAACTATTCCCAATCCATTTTATTTGATAAACAGCAAACATTTATCTGCACTTTATGCCTGACAACAGATTAGGATCAAAGATAAAAGAAATATTCCCTGTTCTCAGCTCAAAGTTGAATGAGAGCCTGGTGCAGTGGCTCACACCTGTAATCCCAGCACTTTGGGAGGCCAAGGCGGGCAGATCATTTGAGGTCAAGAGTTTGAGACCAGCCTGACCAACATAGTGAAACCCTGTCTCCTACTAAAAATACCAAAATATTAGCCAGGCGTGGTGGCGCATCCCTGCAGTCCCAGCTACTCAAGAGGCTGAGGCAGGAGAATCGCTTGAACCGGGGAGGCGGAGGTTGCAGAGAGCCGAGATGGCGCCACTGCACTCCAGCCTGGGCGACAGAGTGAAACTCCATCTCAAAAAAAAAAAAAAAAAAAAAAAAAGTTGAATGGGATAGAGAGATAGGTCACCATACAGTAGTGTGCTCTCTGTTATAACACAGCAAGAGACCCAAACCCTGATGCCAGGGCATGAAGGTGCCTTAGGGAGGACTTCCTGGAGTATGTTGACATATGACCAGCAAAATGAAAACAGAAAGGAGCTGGTCAAGCAAGGAGTGGGGAAAAGGCTTCCAGTAAGAATAATAACATTTACGAAGATGTTAAGAGAATATGGATAGTGCATATAGATGTGCATAGTAGTTGTTTACTTTTATTCTTTTTCACCCCTCTTGCTGTCATCTTAGGTGCATAGTAGATGTTCAATAAATTATTGTTGGATCAAAAAATTAAGATGAATAACCAAATTATATCAGGTTTCTGACTATAATAAAAGAGAATTATTAAGTGTTGTTGCCAAACTGTGTGCCCAGTGATTTACATGAAAAATTTTATTTCGAAAACCCTATGAGCTGAGTAGTATTGTTCTCATTTAACTTTACATTTAGACAAACATAAATTTAGACATATATCAGCCTGGGTGATCTAGAGGTTTTTTTGTTTGCTTGTTTGTTTTTTTGAGACGGAGTTTCACTCTTGTCGCCCAGGCTGGAGTGCATTAGCGCGATCTCAGCTCACTGCAACCTCCGCCTCCCGGGTTCAAGTGATTCTCTTGTCTCACCCTGCCGAGTGGCTGGAATTACAGGCGCCTGCCACCATGTCTGGCTAATCTTTTGTATTTGTTTTAGTCGAGACAGGGTTTCACCATTTTTGCCAGGCTGGTCTCGAACTCCTGACCTCGTGATCCACCCGCCTCGGCCTCCCAAAGTGCTGGGATTACAGGCGTGAGCCACCACGCCCGGCCTAGAGTTTTTAATAACCAAATTTCTGACCCTCACATCTGAGGCACTGAGCATGGAAGAGTTGGAAAGAAGAGGGAGGGAAACTTATTTTTCTGTATCTGTTCTTGCACCACTACCTTCTTTTCTCAATAGTTGTTGTGTTACAGAAAAAGGGTCCCGATCCAGACCCCAAGGGAGGGTTCTTGGCTCTCCCGCAAGAAAGAATTCAGGGCGAGTCCGCAGTGCAAAGTAAAAGCAGGTTTATTAAGAAAGTTAAGTAGTGAAAGTACAGCTACTCCATAGACAGAGTAGGGTGTTCCTGAAACGCGGAGGAAAGTGTCCACCCTAGATACATACCTGTAAGTATGGGGAGATGTGCTCTGCTACAAGGGTCTGTGATAAAGGATTAATTTTCTTATTATATTTTGTAAGAATCGATATTATTATCTTTAAAGCAAAATTTGGAATGCCTTTGTTCTCCAGATATGGGGACATCTAGACACTCCCAAGTCTGGGTCTGTTTAGTAAACATTATTAATTTGTTCCCTTAACCATAAACATCTAGAGGCTAGGAATGCCTGACTTTCTGGGAATGCAGCCCAGCAAAAGTCCCGGCCTCGTTTTCCTAGCCCTCACTCAAAATGGAGTCGCTCTGGTTCGAATGCCTCTCACAGAAATCCCGCTAAAATGTACCTCCCTCGGTTGCGGTGAGCCGTGATCGTGCCACTGCACTCCAGCCTGGGAGATAGAGTGAGAACTCCGTCTCAAAAAAAAAAAAAAAAAATACCTCCTTCTTCTCTCAAAACTCTCCAATGGCTTCCACCCTGGGTCATCAACATGGCCTGGAAGAGCCGTACTCTGGATACCCGAGGGCGCGGCCCCAGCGCCGCGACGCCCCGCCCCTCTGGCTGCTCCGCTCTGGGATGCACTTCCGACGCCCTCTAGGCTTGGGAGTTCCGCGCCTCTCGGTGTCGCCTGGGGGGCGTGCTCCGGTTGGCGCACTGATTCCCAGTTGGGTAGGGGAGGCTTGACTGAGCTCCCACCCGGAATTTCACCTTAGACCTTTAAAGACCTTGCTCCGGCCTCCCGCGCCAGCGCTAACACCTAGTCCTCTTTAGTGGAGTTCCGGCGGAAGGGGATGGCGGGCACCCGACGGTGGTCTCCTCCCAGATGGCGAATTTCCGCGGCTTCTTCATCTTTTAGCTCCCAGGGAGCCCTCTGGCCCCAGCATGAAGCCCATGGAGCCCTTTTCAAAATTGTATTTTTAAAAGCTTTTAAAAAATACACAGGATTTTAAAGAAAGCCAATTGTACTACAAAACAGTTTTCAAACGATTAAAATAATTTCATAGAGTAATGTGTGCTTCTCATTAATGCATTAAATATTAAACATCAAGACCCGTCTTATGACTGCTGTAATTTTCAAACAGTTGTCTTGGGTATTTGTAACAACTGTATTGTGATACAAAAATATGTGATTTTTCTTTTCTTTTTTTTTAGACAGAGTCTCCCTCTGTCGCCTAGGCTGGAGTGCAGTGGCGTGGTCTCTGCTCACTGCAAGCTCCGCCTCCCGGGTTCACGCCATTCTCCTGCCTCAGCCTCCCGAGTAGCTGGGACTACAGGTGCCCGCCACCAATTTTGTTTTTGTATTTTTAGTAGAGACGGGGTTTCACCGTATTAGCCAGGATGGTCTTGATCTCCTGACCTGGTGATCCGCCCGCCTCGGCCTCCCAAAGTGCTGGAATTACAGGCATGAGCCACCACCCCCGGCCAAAAATATGTGATTTTTCTTGATGACAGAGTCGTAGTTACTTCTCTTTCAATTGTGGTTTGTTACCTGTATTAGTAAGTGAAAGATATGTTAAATTTCAGTTAGAATAGACTAGAATCAGAAATAATCAGAATGCAGTGTGTGTGTTAAGAGTAAGGAATAGTTCATGCAACTTTTGTTTCTGTTACATATGTATGACTGAATTACGATGTAAACTAAACTAAATTGTAGGTCACCACCAAAAAAATGAAAGCTACTGCCACTAGGCCCAAGTTCTGGGTGAAGAACCACGTCTGTTTACCTGGGCAACCCCATGGATCAGGAAAGCAGGGGATCAGAAAGGAGCACGCTAATAGAGAAAAGAGGGAGCCTGTGCATTTTTGTTGCTTTTCAAGAAAGAGTTTAACCTTTAACAACTTGTAGCCATTGTTATTGCAACTTTTACTCCTATTGCAGATGAAAAGCTTTGTGCGCTGTGGCTCCCTTTCCAAAAGGCCCATCTATTTTCTAAACAGCTCCTAGGTTATGAGACCTATGGTCAGCTCAAGAGTCCTTCATTTATTCGGGGATATCAGCCCGTGACTTGACCTTAACCTTCCTCTCTCTAACTGCAGTAACCTCTCCCGCCTTGTCCATAGTTTCCCTTCCGCTGTCTCAGTTACCCCCTTCAACCGTGGTCCAAAAATATTAAATGAAAATTCCAGAAATAAAAAATTCATAAGTTTCAAATAACTCCCCTTTCTCAGTAGCGTCATGAAATCTCCCACCCGCCCGAGGATCATCCCTTTGTCCAGACTATCCACGCGGTATGCGCTCCCCACATCTTAGTCACTTAGTATTCATCCTGGTTATCAGATCGAAAAAACATAGTATACTATGGTACTATCCGAGGTTTCAGGCATTCACTGTGTGTCTTGGAACATATCTCCTGCTGATAAGGAAAGAATACTGTACGTATTGGGTTAAAAATGAAGAAATGGAAATAAAAAAGGAGAAATACAGCGACACCTGAACAGGGACTTGAAACCTGGTTCCTCAGATTAAAAGTCCATGGCCATACTGACTGAGCTACCAAGCTTCATACAAAATGTCCAAACTGCATCAACCCTGGTTTATTAATCTATGTATCTGACCTAGAAGGTGATTTTAGAAGGTTCAGCTGCGATTTTAATAAGGACCTGGTAATTTAGAAATTCTTGCTAATAACAGCACAGAAGCTCAGCCATAACGAGGGTCCGTTTTAAGACCGAGGTCTAACCATATTACAAATCCATACTAACATCCCCCCAAAATTCTATCTATCTATCTATCTATCTATCTATCTATCTATCTATCATCTATCTATCTATCTACCCACCTACCCATCTACCTATCTTTCTACACGCATATATATGTATTCATATAATCCAGTCCAGTCAAGGACTAACAGAATGCTCGCCTTCAGTTCCTAGGCTTCCCAGATAAATATCTCAAATCCTCTCTCTAAACTTGGGCCCAAACAAAACATTTTCAAAAGTAACCTGATCTGACGCTGGTGCACATAAAGGGGAGTAATTGAATCACCTTTTCGGCGACGGACTTAGGGAAGCTGTTGTGAGACGAAAGATAGAGAAAACTGATTTAGCAGTTCTTGGTTTCACCTGCCTTGGTTTTCCTTAAAAAAGGAAAAATAAATTAAAGAAGTTTGTGAAGAAGCGTCCTCACTCTCCTTTTTCTTGTCAGATTTCCAGGTAGTTGTCAATAGTTCTATCCCTGGGTCAGTAGGTTAAGTATTTGACAAGCATGTCTGATGGCTGGAAGGTTTTCCACACTTTGAAAACTGATGGATGCTGCCCCATTAACCATTTCAGGATTTTGTTCGACAAATAAAAGAGAATTTAGTTTCAGCAGTCCGCAAATCTTAGAATTTTGGGGACAGAGATGGGGACGGGGACAGATATGGGAGGACGGAGACGGCGGGGCGGTGGGGTGGTAGCAGAAATCTTTCACAAACAACTAGGGAGAGCTACAAAGAACGGTTTCTTAGGGTAGGGGATGTAGCTCAGTGGTAGAGCGCATGCTTCGCATGTATGAGGTCCCGGGTTCGATCCCCGGCATCTCCAAGTTGTTTTATCCTATCTGCCCAATACTATTAGAAACTATATTTCAAAATGTGAAATAATTGTGTTTTGTATCCTCCACTTCTTTAACTTTTTATGGCTTTCTTTTAGCCACTGTATGTAGAATTGTATATGGAGCACGGGGAACAAGATTGCTTTGAAGTATTTTGAACTATCTATGTGAAACAAATGGAATTGAGAACACAGAAAAACATGCCCAATGGGGAGATGACAGAAGAGGAGCAACCTGGAAAGTTGCCCGGAACCCATTAATGAGCCCTATTTGTGGTATATGGTTTGCCTTTAGGGCAGAAATAATCTTGGCTTGAGAACATGGAAAGGGGAGGGAAGACGGGCTATTGTTAGTCCTGTGAGTCATAGGATGATAAAAATAGGACAAATATCGAAAGAAGGATGAATCTCAGCTCAGCACGGGCGAATTTGGCTGCTCTAGTGCACCGGTCTCCCGTAGGGGAATAACAAAAATGAAAACATTCCGAAACACTGATGAAATTCTTGATGCAGTTTTTAAAACTTCTTGGAGACAGGTGGCCGGTTAGCTCAGTTGGTTAGAGCGTGGTGCTAATAACGCCAAGGTCGCGGGTTCGATCCCCGTACGGGCCAACTTTGTTTTCTTCCATCACGTAACTTACGGCCAAAGACAAGGAAAAATCAATTGTCTGAGGACTGTTACTACAAGAAAGACTGTGCTAACCTTTATAACTAACACTTTGCCAGAAGTCCAAACCTTTGTAGCAAGTCCAGAGGTCCTGTTTTCTTAAGTCATGGTGCTCAAAATGTTTGCTCATGAGAAGCAGAAAAGCAGTAGGATAGTTTAGGAGTTAGATTTAAATTCAATAGAGGGCAAAACAGTGCCACCAATTTGTTTAGTGCCCCAACACTGTCCTTGAAATAGTCTGAAAACAGATAAATCTTCAGATAATGAAATGTGGGGCAAGTGTGAGAAGGCAGTGTTCATTATCTCTGATTGCCCAATTAAGGATCCCTACTTGGGAAGATCAACACTCACACATCAAGACAGAAATTCCATTCCGAGAGAAACATTTTCTTGTTACTTTGATTTCCCAAGAAAGGACTATGCCCCTTTCCAAAATCTACCTTTTTCACATCAGCAACCTGGACCTGTTGGTCCAGGTTGGCCAACGCCGGGAATAACTGCTCAGTCCACATCTTGATGTTAAATATCCCCTGTTCCTTGTACAACTAATGCTCTCTGTTTATTTACGACCTCACAGCTGTATAGCCTGTTGAGTGATTTTTCAGGTGTTTTACTATTTTCTGTGGAAAATGCTGATCGCAACTCACGAGCTCCACGTGGGCTTTGTTAGCCCCACACCTGTGGGTGAGCTCTAGCGCTTGTCAAAAACGAAACTTACTGGGCCTCGCCTCCAGAGACTTTTACTCAGATTTGAGAAGGAACCCAGATTTCTGCGTTTTAAACAAACGCCACAGCTGTTTCTCAGAAAGGCTGTGTCAAGAGCCCTTTGAGATAACAGTCCTTAGGATTGGATTGAGGGAAAATTCGGAGAAATTCTGAGAGCCTCATTGACCTGATAATTTTTTTAACAAAATTAATTAAAGGTATTATCAGTTATAGTTGCATATAGCTACACGTACATTTAAAAAAAAAGAAATTTGGTAAATATTTAACGCATCTAAAATAATAAATGCTCAGGCGGCTCGTTGGTCTAGGGGTATGATTCTCGCTTAGGGTGCGAGAGGTCCCGGGTTCAAATCCCGGACGAGCCCTAGTTTTGTCCCTTGCTTCTGAATCTGGCTGCTTTCGCCCAACCTTAGTATATAAGTTAAAACTTGCCAGTTAGAAGCGCCGATAATTGTGGCATCGATATGCGTTAGAAACCAACAAGTGAGTTGCGATCTCTAGTTAAGGAGTTTTTTTTTGTTTTTGTTTTTTGTTTTTTTTTTTTTTTTGATTCTCTTTAGTCCGCTCTACAGACTTTTGCAAAGGCAAACGTTTCCGGATCTTCTAGAAGTTCCGACTCCACGATTGTGTTCATGTGAAATATGTTAGAAATAAAATGGTCACATCTTAATTCAATGCTATTTATTATTGATTCATTACATCAAAGGATGGATTTAAACGGGAAGATCAAGAGTCAAGGTGTTAGGAACCTTTGAGTTATTTAGACTTTCCTCGTTGCTACAGCGTCAAGTACTACTCTGTCACACAGATCACGGTTCTGCTTTCTTCTGAGAAGGAGCATTTTTTCTCTCCTCCTGGAGCGTACCATTGGTATACTCATTAAGTAGATTTTTTTTTTTAATCTGTTGTGCTGAATCTACTTTTGCGGTTGGCGGTAAACACAACATACAAAAATCACTGCATCCTATATTGTAGTGGTTGTCAGATACTTTATATTAAAATATAATTGCAACCCTGCCCCCTTTTCTACGTGTGCCTTGATTATGAAGGACAACAAATGAGCAAACATACGGGTCCCGCAAAGGTGGGAGAACACCGCAGACATTTTCTTGAGGGCCATATAGCTTGGCAGGAGGGGCAAGAATTGATGGGTTATGAGAACAAGAGAGGAACGCCTCACTGGGCCACAGAGAGGGTCCAGGAAATTGTTTGGGCTCGAGGACCTAAGGTCCTTGGGACTATGCTTGGAGCCACATTGGTAACCGGGTCTGGAGTTTTGGGAGTGCCAGTGCAGGGGTCACTCTGGTAAGCATCCAATGACACTGACTTTTAGGTCCTGGAAACATTTTGCGGCCTATCAACACAAATTGGTGAGAATGGGGAAAAGAGGGAAAATGTAGAGAAAGTGACTGGAATGCATGCTAATGATTCAGGTTACGTTTACGTCCTTTGAGTTTCATTTCATCTTACCTATAAAACCAACATAGACATTGAAATCTAGAATCCTAATCATACCAAAGAAATTATGTATTCTCTTAGTGTATTGGGGGAAGAGCTACGTTCGGGTGAGCCCGGCTAGCTCAGTCGGTAGAGCATGAGACTCTTAATCTCAGGGTCGTGGGTTCGAGCCCCACGTTGGGCGCTCTGGTTTTCAATCCTAAAATGTTTTCAGGTTTCTCATTGCGGTCCAAAAAAAGGGCATTATTAAAGCTCATCCCTCTGGAAGAAGGGAATTGTGTGATCATCGTGACCATTTTAGCCTTACTGACTTGACTGACGCATTCCAGCCTTCTCTGAAATTCTAGCTGAACTTAGTCTCAGTGATCCCTGGTGTGGATACACTTCTCTGGCCTAGAGGTTTTGTAAAACCAGATATACTTAAACATAGGTTATGTAAGTCGTTGGTAGGGCATGAGCTCTTGTATATTTAACAAGTTCCTGGGCTGATTCTAAAGCACAAATCCCAGCAAAAAAGGTTTAGGAGGCAGGAAGGACCCATGACCATGAGTTAAAAAAGCATACCACACACCTCTTCGTTGATTTCAAAAGCCCAATTAGCCACATACCTTCCTCTCACTTCACTAACATAGTTCTCATCTCTTCAGGTCTCAGGACAATATAAAGAAAATGCTCTAGCTCAGGTGTCCAAGACTGGCTGTACATGTGAATCACCTGAGGCACTTCTAAAATTTTAGATTCCTGGGCTCACAGGATCTGAATCTCCAGTGGTTTAGAAACCATTGTTTTATAAGGTCCTTTTTTAATTTTATGATACATATAGCAAGTTGGCTGCCTACTCAGTCTAGAATTCCACAGGAAATCAATGCCTTATGGAAAACATCATCTTTCTATAATAGGTGTAAGGTATTAGCTTTTTGGGTTGAGAAACTTGATGTTACATGTTTTCCTGCCATTCCCAGTGGCTGCAGCAGTATGAGAGAAGAATGGCGGGGAGGAAGTCAAAAAGATATGGAGCCTTCTGGGCTTGTAAGGACTTTAGATTTAACTGAGAGATGGGAAGTCTGTGAAGATTCTGAGCAGAAGAGTAACAGAATCTAACTTACCTTTTAAGAAGATAATTCTAACTGCTGTGTTGAGAAAAGACCTTAAGGGCACAATGATAGAAACAAGAAAACCAATTAAGAGGCTCCTGGTAACAAAAAGTAATAAGAAAGATCAGAGTGCTAACAGGGGAAGAGGAGAAGTGGGTCTATCTGGAAGGCTGAATCAGTAAGATTTCCTGGTAGATTTGAATGGGAGCGAGAAGAATAGTCAAGGATAACTTTAAGGTCAGAACACCAACCTTATACATCGATACCAATGAATAAAGTGTTAAGTGGCCCAGTGTATTTTTTAAAAATTGCCCTCAAACTTGGAAAGACTGAATTCACATGAAATGTTCTCTACTATATAATCAGAGCAAAAGGGGTTCAATGACAACAAGAGTTATATCACTGTGAAGACTTGATATATCAGGTCTGCAGCCCACATCATCTGTAAGGAGCCCCAGAATATGGATATTGCATTGAAAGAATGCTCACCTCTGAGCACACTGGAGACACAGTGACAAATTACCACTGTCTGTCCTCTGCCATCCAACCCTTCCTTTCTTCTTCTTCTTCTTTTTTTTTGTAGATCTCCCTATGTTGCCCAGCCTGGTCTCAAATCCCTGGCTCAAGGAATCCTCCCCCCTCGTCCTCCCAAAATGCTGGGATTACAGGCATAAGGCACCACAGGCCCTTTTTTCTTTACTCAGTAACCTAAATATTATCAGTAATTTATCACTTGCTCCATGTGATATGTTATATCCAGTTTTAAAATGATTCTATATTTTATCTACTTAGATAAATGGCACTTACAGTTGGGCACAGGAAATCATGAGTATTAAACTGGACGGGGCCAGTCACAGTGGTTCACGCCTGTAATCCCAGCACTTTGGGAGGCCAAGCTGAGTGGATCACTTGAGCTCAGGAGTTCGAGACCAGCCTGGCCAACATGGCAAAACCCCATCTCTACAAAAAATACAAAAATTAGTTGGATGTGGTGGTGCTCACGTCAAGTTCCAGCTACTGGGGAGGCTGAGGAGGGAGGATCGCTTGAACCGAGGTGGTGGAGGTTACAGTGAGCCATGATTGCACCACTACACTCCAGCCTGGGTGACAGAGCAAGACCCTGTCTCTAAATAAATAAATAAACTAACTAACTAACTAGATGGACTCCCTAGGATTTGGGTGTATTGTTGGTATATACACCATGAAACTGAGAATTATGAGTTAACACAAAATGGATGAATTTGACCACAGTAACTTTTCTTGAGTACACTGAGACTTGACTGTTCTCTAAGTCTACTTTATAAAAGATACAGTGTCTTTCAAAACAATTGACAAACACATTTTTATTAAGCACCTTTTCATTGCTGGACATTTAATAAAAATATGAAGATGATATAGTCCCTGCCTTCCAGAAAGTTGCCATCAAGACTACTTTCAGTGATCGTTTCTATGCTTTGTTACTAGAGAAGGTTCTCTGAATGTATAGAGCACTGCAAGAAAAAATAAATAAAAAAGAAAATTGCCATATACCTACTGGGTGAATGTGACTGATTTAACAAAAATTACATCCACAGCTATATTTTAATTGTCTGGCAATAGGAAATGAAGATGCAGCCAGGTGCAATGGCTCATGCCTGTAATTCTAGCACTTTAGGAGGTCAAGGCAGGAGGACTGCTTGAGGCTGGGAGTTCAAGACCAGCCTGGGCAACATAACGAGACCCTGTCTCTGTATTTAAAAAAAAAAATTCTTTTTCAATAAATACAAAAATTAGCTGGGTGTGGTGGTGCACACCTGTAGTCCCAGCTACTTGGGAGGCTGAGGTGGGAGGATCGCTTGAGCTCAGGAGGTTGAGGCTGCAGTGAGCTGTGACGGAGCCACTACACTCCAGCCTGGGTGACAGAGCAAGACCCTGTCTCAAAAAAATTAAATAGGCCGGGCGCAGTGGCTCACGCTTGTAATCCCAGCACTTTGGGAGGCCTAGGCGTGCGGATCACGAGGTCAGGAGATCGAGACCATCTGGCTAACACGGTGAAACCCCGTCTCTACTAAAAATACAAAAAAATTAGCCAGGCGTGGTGGCGGGCGCCTGTAGTCCCAGCTACTCGGGGGCTGAGGCAGGAGAATGGCGTGAACCCGGGAGGCGGAGCTTGCAGTGAGCCGAGATCGCGCCACTGCAGTCCCGCCTGGGCGACAGAGCGAGACTCCGTCTCAAAAAAAAAAAAAAAAAAAAAAAATTAAATAAAAAAGGATAAAACATTGTGCATTGCTTTATGCTTCTGTAAATAATTCTAGGGTTTGAGTGCTAGAAATAGCATCAAAAAATGTTAGTGGGGCCAGGCGTGGTGGCTCATGCCTGTAATCCCAGCACTTTAGGAGGCCGAAGCGGGTGGATCACCTGAGGTCAGGAGTTCGAGACTAGCCTGGCCAACATAGTGAAACCCCATCTCTACTAAAAATACAAAAATTAGCAGGGTGAGGTGGTGGGTGCCTGTAGTCCCAGTTACTTGGGAAACTAAGGCAGGAGAATCATTTGAACCCAGGAGGCAGAAGTTGCAGTTAGCCGAGATCGTGCCACTGCACTTTAGCCTGAACAACAAGAGCGAAACTCTGTCAAAAAAAAAAAAAAAATTAGCCTGCCGGGCATGATGGCTCATGCCTGTAATCCCAGCACTTTGAGAGGCTAAGGCAGGTGTATCACCTGAGGTCAGGAGTTCAAGACCAACATAGCAAAACCTCATCTGTACCAAAAATACAAAAATTAACTGGGTTCGGTGGCTCGCACCTTTAATCCTAGCTACTTGGGAGGCTGAGGCACAAGAATCGCTTGAACCCAGGAGGCAGAGGTTGCAGGGAGCCGAAATCGCACCACTGCACTCCAGCCTGGGTGACAGAGTGAGACTCCGTCTCAAAAAAAAAAAAATTAGCCTTGTATGTATACATGATTTTAAATATCGACTTAAAAGCAATCTAAAATGAAAATTGAAAATATTTGGGCCGTCTAATGTATTACAATATGAAATGCCAGCAACATCTACGAAATCCTTTTGCCAAAAATATTTTAAGTTGAATTGAATCAAGTTTCTAGACATACCTTCTAATTTATAGAACATAGAGGATCAAATGCAACAAAACTATGAATCAAATGGTCTTTAAAAAGTCAATGTTATAAAAATATTAAGAGACTAAAGACATTACAGTCACATGTAATGAGTGACTCTATACTGAATTCTAGTTCAAAAAAATAAATACATAAATATATTCTTGGGATAACTAGAGAAATTGGGTCATAAGCCAGTTATTAGACACAATGAAATTACTGATACTTTTCCTAGGAGTAATAATAATTTTGTGATGTGTAGAATGCTCTTACATGTAGGAGTGCTTGCTGAAGTGTTTAAATGGTAAAGTCATCACATCTGTCACTTATTTTCAAACAGCTCAGCAAAAGAAATGTACATGCTGTGTGTGTCCATACACAAGAAAGAAAGATTGATTTAAAGCGAGTATGGCAAATACTAGCAATTGTTGATTGTGGAGTGTATATATTGTTCACTGCAATATTATTTCAACTCCTTTTTGTAAATTTAAAACTTTTCATGGTAAAAACCCTATAGGGCGAAAATAACCTCCTTCAAGAGCAACATAAAAAACATGACACAACTAAAAACTGTGATAATTGTGTCCCTTTTGTCATTTCTGAGAATCCCAAAACATTGTCTTGTATTCTTTTGTAAAGGAAGAAAGTTTAGTCAAGAGTTTATTTTAGGGACAAGCCTAAGAACATGTCCTCATTTATTATTTCTGTTTTAATCCAAAGAGCTTCTTCAGATGTCAAAAGTCATGTAAAATTTGTGTATGGATGAGATTATACAGCAAGGCAAGTTCCTAGCTAATGATTCACATTAAGGGGCTGAACATACTGGGTTTGAAAATGGCTCAGGCTGGGCGCTGTGGCTCATTCCTGTAATCATAGCACTTTGGGAAGCCAAGACCAGCCTGGCCAACATGTTGAAACCCAGTCTCTACAAAAAATACAGTAATTAGCCAGGCGTGGTGGCAGGTGCCTGTACTCCCAGCTACTCGGGAGGCTGAGTAGGAGGATGGTTTAAGCCCAAGGAGGCAGAGCTTGCAGTGAGCCATGTTCATGCCACAGCACTCCTGTAGCAGGAGGAGTCATGGACAAAATCCCTCAGACACTGGATTGGGGAAGGAAAGAGCTTTATTCAGCTGGGAGCATCGGCAGACTCGCGTCCTAGAAACCGAGCTCTCCGAATAAGTAATTCCTATCCTTTTTAAGGGCTCACAACTCTAAAGGGGCTGCATGAAGTGGGGGTTATGATCGATTGAGCAAGCGAGGGGTACACGACTGGGGGCTGCCTGCATCAGTAATCAGAACGAAACAGAACAGAACAGGGAGTTTCACAATGCTTCTTCATGCAATGTCTAGAATCTATAGATACCAAAAGTGGTGAGTTCAGGGGTTGAATTTTAACTACCAGGCCCGAGGCGCGGCGCCGGGCTGTCTGACTATGAATTTCACTTCTGCCTATTCTTTTAACTTCTACCTTTTCAGCAAACAAGAAATTAAATATAAGACAATATGAGGAGTGGTCTCCTCTTTCACTCCAATCTGGGAACAGAGCCAGACCATCTCAAGAAAAAAAAAGAAAAAGAAAAAACAAAGAAAGAAAAGAAAATGGCTCAGTAAATTGGATTGGGATTGTTGCGAAATTTGAGAAACTAGGTATTAAAGCATGTACAGTGGCAGCATCTTGTATGCACTATATGCTAATAAATAATTACTTAATATTGGTGAGGTTTGGCAGGGTAATGGAATATGTGTTAACTGAAAGAGGACAACAACATCTAAAAAAGGCAAAGTTCTTACCAGCTGAGAGCTGAAAACACAGCTAATATTTAATTATTCATAGAAGGAAAATAAAATGAAGAAAAATCTCGACTGATCTATCTTCTAATGTTCTGAAATTTACAGCTCATTGCTTAAAGTAGGCCTGGTAAAGAGAATGGAGTCAATGCTCTTTTTTTTTTTTAACCAAATAACATCTATTAACATCTCAAGGAACTATTGATACTCAAGGAACTAACATTTAGCAAAAATGTATTTAGAAAATATGGTTCTTTTCAAATGTAAATTATTAATTGTGACAGGCAAACAACCAGGAAATAACAGAAAAGACTGGAAGAACTGGTTAAAGACACATCTAATGCCATAAAAGTTCACAAGACTACTTACAGATAAATAATAGTTTATTAACAATCTTGTACTTTTAAAATTCACACTGGTAATTCTAAAATGCTTCAAGTGACATCAGAATCACCTAAGATGTGGGCATGACAATCAATTAATTAATTTATAATTAATCTAAGAAAAGCGATATACATTTTAGAGACCAGGAAGACTAAAGTGGCTTCTGAATTACTGTGTTTATGAACCAAGAACTGGATTATGAAGACTTTTATAAAATCATCTTGAGGTAGGGAAAAAACCAACATTCTGGGAGTACGATGCCCATTTTTGTGTGTGTTTACAATATTGTGATTGCTGTAATAATCAGGCAGTGAGAATACTAGCCCTTCATCTGATAAGCCTTACCCTCAGGTCCCTCTTAACCGTTTATAAAGCTGGTGATATGGTGTGATATGGTGTGGCTGTTTCCCCACCTAAATCTCATTTTGAATTGTAGTTCCCAAAATCTCCGTGTGTCATGGGAGGGACCCAGTAGGAGGTAATGAAATCATGGGGGCGGTTGCCCCCACGCTATTCTCTTCATGGTAAGTTCTCACCAGATCTAACGGTTTTTATAAGGGGCTTCTTCCTTCACTTGGTTCTCAGTCTCTCTCCTGCTGCCCTGTGAAAAGTAGGCACCCTTCTAGGGGCATGCATTATCACGTGAAAGTATACCAATGTTAAATGCAGAAACAATAGACTCTAAGGAGACTTCAGAAAGGAAAAACAGTAATATAAAAGAGGTCAGAAAACGGATACCTCTCACTGACACCTATTAGACAAGTACAGGACGAGATCTTGACAGGGAGTGGAAGGATATCCTGCCCTATCTCATTAGGGTTACTCTGTGAGGCAAGACCAGGAGTGGGGATAGGTCTGGAACAGCCATGTTGTAATAAGCTTTCCAAGAAAACGTCACTACATTATTTTGGAGGACAGTATGAAAGGTAATGTAGCTGGGAGAATTGGGGATAATCAAAAAACAGGCTATCTCACTCAGCTTTCTTCCTATTTATTTATTTATGACACAGGGTCTCCCTCTGTTGCCCAGGCTGGAGTACAGTGGCGCGATCTCAGCTCACTGCAGCCTCGACTTCCCAGTGAGGCAGAAAAATAGGGCCTGGAGTCAAGGAACATAAGGCCAACTCACACTTCAGCTATAACAGGAAATATCCTCTCCATAGGGCATACACGGAGTAAATTACTTTGTAACTTTAATTCATCCTCTTCATTTACATAGGGCGTACCCCAAGTAGATGATATTTAAACTCACAAAAACTCTGTAACGGGGCCTTTGAGCTCCTGTGCTCAGCCCCACTCCCACACTGTGGAGTATACTTTCGTTTTCAATAAAACCCTTCATTCTTTCCTTGCTCTGTTTGTGCGTTTTGTCCAGTTCTTTGTTCAAGACGCCAAGAACCTGGACACCCTCCACCATTACCACCATTAACACCAGGCTCTAGTGATCCTCCCATCTCAGCCTCCTGAGTAGCTGGAGCTGTAGGCACGTGCCACCACGCCCAGCTAACTTTTGTATTTTTTGTAGAGACGGGGTTTTGCCATATTCCCCAGTGGTGGCTCACGCCTGTAATCCCAGCACTTTGGGAGGCTGAGGCGGGTTGATCACGAGGTCAGGAGTTTGAGACCAGCCTGGCCAACATGGTGAAACCCTGTCTCTACTAAAAATACAAAAATTAGCTGGGCGCGGTGGCGGGCGCTTGTAATCCCAGCTACTAGGGAGGCTGAGGCAGAAGAATTGCTTGAACCTGGGAGGCGGAGGTTGCAGTGAGCCAAGATCGGGCCACTGCACCACTCCAGTCTGGGTGACTGAGCAAGACTCCGTCTCAGGGGAAAAAAAAAAGTGATTCTGATCAATCGCTTCTTCAAAATTCCTAACTAAGCATGGGCAACATAGTGAGACCTATGACTCAACATACTGAGTCTCTACAAAAATACAAAAACAAAATAAACCAGCCCATTAGCTGGGCATGATGATATGTGCCTTAATCCCAGCTGCTCAGGTGGCTGAGGGGAGATGATCCCTTGAGCCTAGGAGTTCAAGACTTTAGTGAGCTTTGATCCCACCGCTGCACCCCAGCCTGGACCACTGCACCCCAGCATCAACAACAGAGTGTGACCCTGTCTCGAAAAAAAAAATCCTCTGTAAGGACTATAACTCCATCTAGGAGGCTTTCCTTAATTAATCTCAACCAAATCTGATCTCTTACATAGTCTAAATTCTTGTGTACTTAGCTTTTTTTGTGGTACTGTTTGGGACTTGTTTTAATGATTACATTATTACTCGTATGCTTCCTATGGTGTTATTCTTGAATTTTTTATACTCTAATTTCACTAAAGATAAGGCCCAGCGAAAAGGCTTTCAAAGTACTCTCTGTGGGTTCCCCTGTTTGAGCCTGTGGGAGTAAGGCAGTGGACAGCACACTCTGAGAACTGTGCGTTACAAATTCTATTTAATTTGATATTCACAACTATCCCCTTAGGATCTGTATTACCTTCATTATCATCATCTCCATTTTGTATAAGGCATGAGGAAGTTAGGGAAGTCATACTACTAGTGAGACATAGATTCAAAGGTGGACTAAGTGGCTCCAATACCTCTCTGTGTTCTTTCCATTACATCATACATACGAGTAAATAGCCTGTCCATGTTGCTGTAACTTCTACTACCAAAATTCATTATTTACTTTTAAATTGTGTTCAAAAGGGTCTATGTATACAATTAGTTCAATACATATTTACTTTTTAGGAAGCATTACAGTACAGTTACTGTTGAAACACATGCCACAGAAATTGGTTCTTCACTCACTCCCGAGGGACCCAAGCAGCCTCCACTTGGGGTTCTTCCGGCGTTATCTGGCGCTGCTGCACCACGTCCTCCCCTACACGTGGAGGTCGGTGGTGCGATTTCCTCACCCTCAAGGGACTCAAGGGACCACGCGCTCGCAAAGAACCCAGGGCCTCTTCCATCAGCTCGCAGCAGGTACGCAGTAAACCTTTACCGAATGAATGAATGGAAATCAAATCTGCGAATTAACTGCATGTTAGTTTGCCACATGGGCTGCATTTTAAAATTTTATTTATTTATTTACTTATTTTTATTTATTTTTTTTGAGACGGAGTCTCGCTCCGTCGCCCAGGCTGGAGTGCAGCGGCGCGATCTCGGCTCACTGCAAGCCCCGCCTCCCAGGTTCGCGCCATTTTCCTGTCTCAGCCTCCCGAGTAGCTAGGACTACAGGCGCCCGCCACCATGCCCGGCTGTATTTTTAGTAGAGACGGGGTTTCACCATGTTAGCCGGGATGGTCTCGATCTCCTGACCTCGTGATCCGCCCGCCTCGGCCTCCCAAAGTGCTGGGATTACAGGCGTGAGCCACCGCGCCCGGGGGGAACTTCTTTTAATGGTGCCAATCTTATGGACCTCAGACACCTCTCAGTGAGAACTTGCTGGCATTTTGTGTGGAGAACAGAACCGAGGGGACCAATCTGGACAAGGGGAGCCAATTAGAAAACTGCAGGCCCAGGATTATCTTATTTTCATTCTCTAGAGCAGAGTTTCAATAGAGCGCTATTGACATTTTGGACTAGATATTATAATTCTTTGTTGTGGGGGCTGTTCTATGCATTACAGGATGTTTACTAGCATTCCTGTTCTTTACCTACTACATTCCTCAGTCACAACAATTTACCTACTATATTCCTCAGTCACAACAATTAAAAATGTCTTCTTACATTGTCAGATGACCGTTGTGAAGGCAAAATTGCTCCATTAGAGAAATTACTGCTCCACGAGTATGTACCATTGTTTTGGCTTACTATTTATTTTTGAGACAGGGTCTGGCTCTGTCGCTCAGGCTGCAGTGCAGTGACGTGACACAATCATAGCTCACTGTGGCCTCACACTCTTTGGCTCATGGGATCCTCCCTCCTCAGCCAGTCCCAGTAGCTGGGACTACAGGCCCCCGACCACTACGACCCGCTAATTTTTGTATTTTTTGTAGAAACAGGGTTTCACCATGTTGGCCATGGCTGATCTCGAACTCCTGGTCTCAAGAGACTTAGCTGCCTCAGGCTCCCAAACTGCTGAGATTACAGGCCTGAGCCACCAAGCCCGGCCTAGTTTACTATTTATTGATTAGGGTAGTTTTTCAGCTTTGTAAGGGAACGTCGTGATGTGGTGATGCAAATGAACTTCGTCTGATATTTAGTTATTTTCCGTCCTGTAGAAACAGTACAGTTTTATTGTCCTGTAAGGCAGTTTCCAGTTCTCTACCTCACTTAGCAATGTTAATTTACAGCATTGCTTCTTTCAGTGACTATCAATAAATTCTTCGATCCAGTTTTACCAGTTTTACCATCTTGATGATTCCCTCATTAGTGAATTAAACCTTTGACAAGTGTTTATTTCATATTCGTATATGAATCATGCATTTAACCGTTTGAAAAGTGTATTTTGACCAAATGTATAAAAGTAAATACATCTGTGAAATAGGATAACTTATTCAGGCAATTGAGGTTGGAGAGGAGATAAAACATTACATTTAATTCATCGAGACTCGCCCCACTCAAATAAATGTTTCATGGACTTGAGGAGATTAATGGCCAAGTTAAATGTACTTTCAATTTTTGTTCAGAAAAGAAAAAAAAAATCTGTGTGCCATAAAGGAGTGAACATTGGGCTCAATGGCCTACTTGCACAAGAAGGATCATTTGCCCTGTGCATGTTTCATTATATGACAAGGTAATTATCTTTAATGGAACATGAAAAAGAATGAAACAGATTTTTTTTTCTCTTTTCTTTTTTTTTTTTTTTTTTTTTTTTTTGAGACGGAGTCTTGCTCTGTGGAGTGGCTGGAGTGCGGTGGCAACATATCTGCTCACTGCAACCTCTGCCTCCTAGGTTGCAGTGATTCTCCTGCCTCGGCCTCCCGAGTAGCTGGGATTACAGGCGCCCACCACCACCACGCCCGGCTGATTCTTGTAGTTTTAACAGAGACAGGGGTGTCACCATTTTGGCCAGGTTGGTCTCGAACTCCTGACCTCAGGTGATCTCCCCGTCTCGGCCTGCTGAAGTCCTGGGATTACAGAGGTAAGTCACCGCGCCGGGCCATAATGAAACAGATTTCGGATGCCAGATTCCACCACAAGTGGATTTTTTCATTAACAAGGGAGGATAATAGCTATTCTGAGCTTCAGAGTCATAGAAAGCTAGACAAGAATCTTACACTTTGCAAAACTAATATTTGAAATGATATTACCTTGTGTTAATCATTTAAAAATGTATCATTTTAGCACACCCATGGATAGGTTTTTGCTGAGTTAAGAATTAATGTGATGGCCAGCTGCTGTGGGCTCACGCCTATGATCCTAGGGCTTTAGAAGGCCAAAACGGGCGGATCACTTGAGGCCAAGAGTTCGAGACCAGCCTGGCCAACATGGCAAAAATCACAACTCTACTAAAAATATAAAAATTAGGCGGGCGTGGTGGCTTGCGTTTGTAATCCCAGCTGCTCGAAGGCTGAGGCGGGAGAACGGGAGAATCGCTCGAACCTGGGAAGCGGAGGTTGCAGTGAGCCGATATCGCGCCACTGCACTCCAGCCCAGGCGACAGAGCGAGACTCTGTCTCAAAAAAAAAAAAAAAATTATTATGCTTTCGAAGTTGCATTATTTAGCCTGCTCTTCCTTCTCTTCCTCCTGTCAGTTATCTCAATAAAATCCCATTAAAATTGCATTGTTAAAGTGTTTCAAATTCTATTTTTAGGTAGAGGTTAAAATTGGTTATATAATGCATTCATCACAACAAAAGATGGTCATTGCTAAATTCTTATCAGTTCCTTGTGCCTCCTTAACATTTTATGTTTCTTTTTGTAAACTAGTGAGGGTGGTGCTCCCGTTTTCTCCCTGTTTCAGAGAAAAGGGCCTCTGAATATCAGTCAGTTCCGAAGGGGTAGTGGATGTCAAAAGAACATCAACGACGCAGGTAAACAGGACGACAAGCATCCACGATTGCCCAACCTTCCGCAGAGATGGCATCCCCAGCGGGAAGTGAAAGTCGTGTGAATCCTTCGATAGCTCAGTTGGTAGAGCGGAGGACTGTAGTTGGCTGTGTCCTTAGACATCCTTAGGTCGCTGGTTCGAATCCGGCTCGAAGGAGTTCACAATTTTTTTTTTTTGCGTAAGTTTTAAAATTCATTCTCAGAAATGCGTATTTCACTTATACATATCCTCGATAAGAATCTATTTAAAACTATTCTGGATGTGCAGTGAATCTCTTTAATTTTTTATTATTCTCCGTAACAATTTTTAACACGCGCCATCAAGACTTCATCCCTATAATTCGTATAATCCAACCCTCTTAGAAGCCCTGGGCACTGAGGAAGTGAATCAGACACTGGTCCACTGGGCTAGAGATCCACAGAGGCGTCTCCACCCCTCAACCCCGGATCCACAGCCGGGGGAAAGGGGCGGCTGGTGGGAATTACTCGGAGCAACTGGTAATTGGTGGGGCACGCGCGTGCCCTGGTGTTCAGAGTTCTGAATCGTTGCGAGTCAGTTACAAGCTGAACCACTAGCGTCTGAACCCTATACATCTGAAGCCGGGATGAAATTCAGGAGTTCTATTCCCCCTTCTCCTTTTAATTGTCATGGTGGTGTCTTTCGACCCTAGCAGAGAATATGTGGTCGATATTAGAATCACCTGGGGAGATTTTACAAAGCATCTATGCTTGGGTTTCTTTGGAGGTAAGATTCAGGTATTGTAGTTTCAAAAGCTCACCAGCTGACTTTCCTGTACTGCAAGTTTTGAAAAACACTGGTAGAAGAGAATCATTTTAGGAGAAAATAGTACATAAGGGAAAAAATGGACAGGATTTCCTACCCACATAGGGAATTAGCTCACAAAGTAGAGATCTGGCATAACAGTGGTACATATTTGCTAATTTTGTGCCAATCTAATTACAATATATTAATCCCATTGTACCCTTTTGTGTCTCAAAAATGTGATCCCAGATACCTATGGAAGAGTTCTTAATGACAAATATCTTTGTCTAGATCAAAGTAAGGAAGCGTTTTCTGAGGATTTTGTGCCTGGTAATTTCTTGTATGTTCCTTCCCATGTTTCCAAACTTTTATTCTTTATGAAAATAATTCTCAAACTTGGATATCAGAACCACCTGGAAAACTAACAAAAAACACAGAAGCCCAGGCTTATTGAATTAGGGTGGTGGTTGGAGAGCCCTGCCCAAAACGCATTGGAAGCCACTCCTATTAAGGGCTGGAGATGGATCTAAACTGATAGCTCCCCCATGAACTTGCTTTTTGAAAGCTGGTTGGGGGCAAAAGAAAAATGGCCTTTTGTTTGTGGTTTTTTGAGACGGAGTCTCGCTCTGTCGCCCAGCCTGGAGTGCAGTGGCTCCATCTCAGCTCACTGCAACCTCCACCTTCCGGATTCGAGAGATTCTCCCGCCTCAGTCTCCCGAGTAGCTAGGATTACAGGCGTCCGCCACCACGCCGGGCTAATTTTTGTGTTTGTGGTAGAAACGGGGTTTCACCATGTTGGCCAGGCTGGTCTGGAACTCCTGACTTCAGTTGATCCACCAACCTCGGCCTCCCAAAGTGCTGGAATTTCAGGCGCAAGCCACCGCACCCAGCCAGAAAACAAAACAAAACAAAACAAAACAAATAGGTATTTTCAAAGGTAATGTTTGGGGCTTGAATGCAACATTTGTTAAATAGTCCTGGACTAAGCTTCTTGCCAAGGCACAATAGATTTCAGTCCAGATAGATTCTCTGTCACAATTCTCCTCCTATGTGCCAGCACCAGTAACAGCAGCAGACCCCCCCACCCCACCCTCCGGCAAGATATAGCAAGATGACTTCAGAAGAGGAAGAGTGAACGTCAAAACAAAACAAAACAAAAACCCTCAAACATACCTACATACCCTTTGGCTCTCCATCATTTTATTTTTATATATTTTATTTATTTTTTTCGAGACGGAGTTTCGCTCTTGTTGCCCAGGCTGGAGTGCAGTGGCCCGATCTCGGCTCACTGCAACCTCCGCCTTCCGGTTTCAAGCCATTCTCCTGCCTCAGCCTCCGGAGTAGCTGGGATTACAGGCATGCGCAACCACGTCGGGCCAATTTTTGTGTTTTTAGTAAAGACGAGGTTTCACCATGTTGGCCAGGCTGGTCTCGAACTCCTGACCTCGTGATCAGCCTGCCTCGGCCTCCCAAAGTGCTCGGATTACAGACGGGAACCACCACGCCTGGCCCATCCACCATATTATTGAGATAATGGGAGTGCCTTTGTTACAATTGTAACAACTTAAGGTGGTCCTCAATAGGTCGGACATGTAGGAAATAGATTCCAAGAATAAAAATGTAATTTTAAAAATCTTTTAAAATTTGTGATACAGGGCCAGGCGCGGTGGCCCACGCCTGTAATCCCAGCACTTTGGGAGGCCGAGTCGGGTGGATCACTAGATGTTAGGAGTTCGAGACCAGCCTGGCCAACAAGGTGAAAGCCCGTCTCTACTAAAAATGTGCCGGTGTGGTGGCGCACAGCTGTAATCCCGGCTACTCCAGAGGCTGAGGCACAAGAATCGCTTGAACCCGGGAGCCGGAGGTTGCAGTGAGCCGAGATCGTGCCACTGCACTCCAGACTGGGCGACGGAGTAAGTCTGTCTCAAAAAAAAAAAAAAAAAAAAAAAAGGAAAAGAAAAAAATTTGTAATACGTCCTCAGTCTGCTGTGATAAAAATGTAATACATAAATGATCGAAGTGTATAATAGATTTGCCAATGCACCTGGCAGAGGCCAACACTCAGAACTGAAAATAGTGAGAGAAATTCGAAGTACCCAGCTCTGTCTACGATAGAACAATCTGAGGACTAGGGAACCACCGAGTAGATGGGTTTTCATGGGTGGTGAGAGAATCTTGAGCTTGAAGGAAAGACCACCCCCATTATGATACGGGAGTGTGTTGTTAGCTGCTTATGTGTCAGCAAGATATTCATGGAAAGATAGGAGTAAAGGCCAAAGGGTAAGGTGGGAGAGGAAACCACATAAAACTGGAGAATGCGGGCATCGATCCCGCTACCTCTCGCATGCTAAGCGAGCGCTCTACCATTTGAGCTAATTCCCCGTGTGGGAAAACGTCTCTTATATCCTTTACCCTCTTTGATATCTGGAAGTAATTCAGGACTCTCGCTATTTCAATTGACTTTCGTCACTAGCCAATAGGAAAAAAATGAAGAACTGTGTACAATGGTGACTAAAGAGCCTCAGCATGACTTCCGCCCCTCAGCGCCATCTATAACCTGTTTTACCATGTCGGATCCCGTCTGGAGAAGCCCACCGAGTGCAGGTGAACCAGGGAGGCGAAGTCCATAGAAACAGCTGTCTTGGGGGTCCGGGAAGAGTTTAACACTGGAATCACATCTGCGGAAACCGGGAACTGGAAGCAAATTGAGGATGCGGCCAGAAGGGAAAATCAAGTTTTTCAAGCAATGAGGTTCGGCCTTGGCCTAACCAATAGTTTCTACCACTCTCCGCACCCCTAAAATTTCCATCTATTCATCTGGTTCCAGAAACAGATTATCCAGCGTCTTTGTAGATCTACGAATATCCCTTAAAGTCGGGTGCGGTGGTTCACGCCTGTAATCCCAGCATTTTGGGAGGCCGAGGCGGGTGGATCACTTGAGATGAGGAGTTCGAAACCAGCCTGCCAATATGGTGAAACCCCTGTCTCCACTAAAAATACAAAAAATTAGCCGGGCGTGGTGGCGCACACCTGTAATCCCAGCTGCTCGGGAGGCTGAAGCAGGAGAATCGCTTGAACCCAGGAGGCAGAGGTCGCAATGAGCTGAGTTCGCGCCACTGCACTCCAGCCTGGGCGACCGAGTAAGACTCCCTCTCAAAAAGGAAAAAAAAAAAAAAAAAAACAAATCCGCTTTTTGTCTGGCTTTGTCGCTGCCGGAGGACCTTGTGGCCACAAGGGGGCGTGCGTCCCATTTGATTTCTTTATTCTGGTTTCTGTAGTCCTGATTTCGATCCAGGGGTGTACAAATTATTTTTCTAAGGTAAATATTAGCAAGAGAAGCGAATATACTTATGGCTGCAGACTTAGAGGCAGAGTCTTTGCACAAAGACAAATGCTTTAGTTGCCACTTTTTCTTCTGGGCCTATTGAGTACCAGCTACTGTGCCAGGTGCTAGGTGCTAGGTACTGTTCAGCAGAAGCTAGTTGGGAAAAGGAGGATCCGTTGGGCATTACTAGAGTCCCATCACTCTCAAAAAAGCCATACGAAAGCCGTCACCCAACATCTGCACCTTCAACTGCTTCTTTTCCAGAAATTCCATCATTAGAAACTTCCTCTTTTTATTTTCTAGTCTCTATGAAATTGGGGCAAGATACTAAAAATTGAAAGTGGAGAAGACAAAATATCTTATTTAAGAAAGTAACTTTGCTGCGCAGGGCATAGTAGGTCTTTTAAAGACCTTAAGACAACCTTTAATACTTGCTTTTCTCTTTTGCTTTTTCATTGCAATCAGGGCTGACAAAAAGTGGATAACTCTGTTGGAAGAAAACCTCCCAATTTCCTGCCCCCACCATTTTAGACAAGAGAGTTAAAAACTCAGATATTAGCCAGGCGTAGTGGCTCACTCCTGTAATGCCAGCACTTTGGGAGGCTGAGGCGGCTGGATCACTTGAGGTCAGGAGTTCAAGACCAGCTTGACCAACATGGCAAAACCCTGTCTCTACTAAAAATACAAAAATCAGCCGTGGGCGGTGGCGGGTGACTGTAATCTTGGCTACTTCGGAGGCTGAGACAGGAGAATCGCTTGAACCTGGGAGGCAGGGGTTGCAGTGAGCAGAGATTGCACCACTGCTCTCCAGCCTGGGTGACACAGCGAGACTCTCTCAACAAACAAACAAAAAACCAACTCAGATGTTCTAAGCAAGTGTAGAAACCCACCATTCATCTCAGAACTTGGCTCAAAGTCAGCCTTGCTTTGAGGCTCACACCACCTAGGTGCTTTCTCCTTCTTCAACCCTGGACAGAATTTACCCAGTCAGTTTGGCCTCCCCTTACTCTTTTCTGTTTATTTTCTATGACTCTATTAGGCGCGCAGGTGTGGAAATGAGGTGAAAGAAAATTAGCCCAATCCCATAGTTCAGATCCATGGGTTGTGTATTGGCATGACTGTAAACTGGGAGCAATTGGTTTGCCTAGGGCTTTTGAATTGGGAGTTCTGGTTTCTAGCAACATTGGATTAGGTATCAAATTTTACAACTTCTTAGCTTCCACAGAAGTAAATTAAGGTCAAGAAACCCCATCTCTACAAAAAGTACAAAAATTAGCCGGGCTTGGTAGCATGTGCCTGTAGTAGTCCCAGCTACTAGAGAATCTGAGGTGGGAGGATCACCTCAGGAGGGTGAAGCTGTGGAACTGTGATCATGCCTCTGCACTCCAGCCTGGGTGACAGAGTGACAGACTGAGACCCTTCCTCAAAAAAAAAAAAAAAAATCTTAAATTTCACATGGAAGTTTTAACAGTTGTTAGCAGTTGTTAAACTATTGACTCTCAACTCCAAACCCACTACTATGGACTGAATTGTGTTTCCTTAAAATTCTGTGTTGAATCCCTAATCCTTAAAGTGACTTAGTTGGAGTAAGGAAGTAGTTAAGGTTAAATAAGGTCATAGGGATGCACCTTGATCCCTAAGATTAGTTTCCTTATGAGAGGAGACAGAGTACTCAAACCATGTGAAGACACAGCAATAAGGTGTCCATCTGCAAGCCAGGAAGTGAGCCCTTACCAAGAACCAAATCAGTTGGCAACTTAATCTTGGACTTCCCAGCCTCCAGAACTGTGAGAAAATAAATTTTTGTTGTTTTAAGCCATCCAGTCTGTGGTATTTTTGTCATAGCAGCCTGCTATAGTTTGAATGTCTGTGTCCTTCCAAAATTCATTATACTGAAATCTAAGACCTAATATGATAGTATTAAGAGGTGGGGACTTTAGGAAGTCATTTGGCCATCAGAGCTCGGCCATTTTTTTTTGTGGGGGGCCTTCTCTTTCTTCTGCCATATGAGAACACAGTGTTTCTTCCTTTTGCCCTCCATTTCTTTTGCCATGTGAGGACACAAACATAAGTGCTATCTTGGAAGGAGAAAGCAGGTCTCACCAGACACTGAATCTATGAAACTGAATCTGCTGGTACCTTGATCTTGGACTTCCCAGTCTCCAGAACTGTGAGCAATAAATTTCTACTTTTTTTTTTGAGATGGAGTCTTGCTCTGTCACCCAGGCTGGAGTGCAGTGGTGCAATCTCGGCTCACTGCAGCCTCTGCCGCCCAGTGTCTCCTGCCTTAGCCTGCCCAGTAGCTGGGACTATAGACGTGAGCCACCATGCCCAGCTAATTTTTGTATTTTTAGTAGAGATGGGTTTTCACCATGTTGGCCAGACTGGTTTTGAACTTCTGACCTCAAGTTATCCACCCACCTTGGCCTCCTAAAGTGCTAGGCCACAGCACCTGGCCTCTACTCTTTATAAATTACCCTGTCTCAGGTATTTTGATACACAGCACAAATGGATTCATTATACAGAGTACGTCCAGTGTCTGAAAAAACTGCTTTAAAGCCGATTGTAGTTTTAAAAATGAGTATCAATGTAATTAAAACTGAGTCTCCTTAATGCAACAAGACTTGAAAACCCAGAAACTTTCAGGACACATTATTTTAGGAATTCTAGAAGATGAAGGGCTAGGGGTCCTTTCGATAGCTCAGTTGGTAGAGCGGAGGACTGTAGGTTCATTAAACTAAGGCATCCTTAGGTCGCTGGTTCGAATCCGGCTCGAAGGACGAAAGTTTTGAACTACGGGCTAATAATTCCAGAAATAACGGAACTTTACGAAAATCAGGATCTAGACAGGAAGATGTATTAGACTGCTGTTTAATCCTTTCTTTAATCCCCTTTGTGATACAGGAAGTAGGACTCTGTTAATCACATTGCAGTTCCACCACTTGACCCTATGGGTAAGCCTTGCCAAAAGGGTGGTTAGAGACTCCAAGGCTGAAGGTGGGAAAGTGAACTTGTTTTCTTTCTGGGGCCTTCCTGTTTCTCTAGGTGTCACCCCAGTAATCCTAACAGAGACAACAATTTTGTAGCAGCCCCGTCTTGAAATTTCACTTCTTATTGGCATCCCTGTAGCTTTTCCGCCTGGTGTCTAAGGCACAGATAGGACACACAATAATGTCAGGAGAGACTGTCCACATCCTGGGATCCCTCCTCTCTAGCTGCTAGCTCTCTATTAGGTTAGAAACATTGAAAGTTAGCATATACTATTTTCTTAGTTACTCATGCAAGGGACTTAATTACAGAGTTCAATATCAACTGTATGCTATTAATATTTCTGACAAGAGGCACTAGCAGTTGCCATTTGAAGAAAAATTTGGGATTTTTCCTTTTAAAGCCTTTTCTTGCGAGATAGTTTTAACATATTCCCCATTTCTGCCTTAGGTATAAGGAAGCTGAGCAGACAACAATCTACACAGAACCTCCCTTTATGTTGGACAATTTGCTTTGAAAAACGAATATTTATATTTCCACGTAAAGTTTTCAAAAATTTTTGCTTCATTTTAACTGCTCCACCATGATTATGTAATATACACTCAAATTTACACAAACACGCACAGATGACACTTCCACGTTTCATCACTACAGTTGTGAATACACACAATTTATCATTCGACTTTCAAAAAGGAGAACTGCAATGATACCAGAATGCTTTGTTCACAGCCCTGGGATCCTCATCAACCCGGTTGTCTGTATTTATCAAGCAAATACATTTTATCAAGCAAATAGAAAAGCCATAGCATTTATCAAGCAAATCCAGTCACTTTTAAGACAGAAAGGAGGAGTTAATCAGACAAAACAGCAGGACAGAGGGCGTAATCTGGGAGATTGTGTATATCTAGGGGAGGAGGACGGGGGATTCCAGTAAGGTTTTTGGTTTGAGCTATACATAAATATCCTAATGTTTTCAATATAAAACCCAATGCCTTTTACATATTTATAAACCCATGAAGCCAATTACCTAGAACATTACACAGAATACTTCCGGTGTATGAGAATACTGCTTTAAAGCCGATCGTAGTTTAAAAAATGAGCATTAATATAATTAATTAAAACCAAATCTCCTAAATGGAACAAGACTTAAAAACCCAGAAACTTCCAGGACGCACATTATTTTGGGGATTCTAGAGAACGCAGAACTACGTGTCTAAAAAGGACAGCGTTCCGTGTCCTTCGATAGCTCAGTTGGTAGAGCGGAGGACTGTAGGCTCATTAAGCAAGGTATCCTTAGGTCGCTGGTTCGAATCCGGCTCGGAGGACGGTAGTTTTGACCTACCAAGCTAATAATTCCAGACAATACGGTCTTTACAAAAAATAAGGATCCAGGCAAAAAAAATGTATTAGATAGCTCTTTATGCTCAAACATGCACAAGTAAACCATTTTTGGTTACATGAGTAAAAAATTTTAGGAATAAACTAGAAATGTGGTAGCTTCACCGAAGGGCACCTGCGTAGATGAAAAGCAGCGTTTCCAGGAAGTCTGAGGCTTCACTTTTTCCTTGTGAAATTTGTACCTCGCAACACTCTTCACCTCCACTCCCTCCCTGAGTCTCCTGCTGGCTGGCTCTTGGTTTCTCGATGCCATTCTTATTTCCGGCTACTGATCGTCAAATGCAGTTTTTATTCCCACTTCCCCTCTCCATCCCCGACCCGAGCTGACGTTCGACCAGCAAACCACAGCCAACGCCCGCAACACAGTTCAGTTAAGAAGGCGCGTGGGAGGTGTGGGGAATGACAGGAGCACTCTGGCCCCAAGGTTTTCGTTTCAGTTTTTACTGGAGGTTAGGATATACGATGACTTTTGGGGTCCTCTGTTATCCTGTTACTTTTCTTCTCTCTCTCTGTTTCTCTGTGTGGTTGTTGTTGTTGTTGTTGTTGTTTTAGACAATCTCGCTCTGTCGCCCAGACTGGAGTGCAGCGGTGCAATCTCGGCTCACTGGACTTCCCGGGCTCAAGCGATCCTCCCACCTCAGACTCCCGAGTAGCTGGCACTACAAGCGCAAGTCAGAACCCCTAGCTATTTTTGGAGAGACGAGGGGTGGGTGGGAGGGTCTCGCTATGTCGGCCAAACTAGTCTCGAACTCCTGGATTCAAGTATTCGTCCGCCTCGGCCTCCCGCAGTGCTGGGATTACAGGAGTGAGCCACCGCGCCTGGCCAATACTTGTTTATTCTTTAGGCACAGAAAATGAAGAATAAAAATTGAGAACTTTTTTATTTTTAAATTTTCGGTTCAGGGGCTACATAGGCAGATTTGTTACGTGACTAAATTGCGTGTCGCTGGGTTTTAGTGTATGAATGTTCCCATCACCAAGGTAGTAATCGTAGTACCCGATAATTTTTCAACCCTCATCCTCCTCCCATCATCCTGCCTCTAGTAGTTCCCAGGGTCTATTGTTCTCACCTTTGTGTCTGTGTGTACTCAATGTTTAGCTCCCTACTTATAAGTGAGAGAACATGAGGTATTTGGTTTTCTGTTCCGGAGTTAATCCACTTACAATAGTGGCCTCCAGCTGCACCCATGATGCTGCAAAGGACGCGACTTTGTACTTTTTCATGGCTGTGTGGTATTCCATGATGTATATGTACCACGTTTTCTTTATTCCACCCTTAGTGGTATGTAGCTTGATTCCATGTCTTTGCTATTGTGAATAGTGCTGCAACGAAGATACTGATGCATGTGTCTTTTTGGTAGAACGATTTATTTTCCTTTGGGTTTATACTCAGTAGTGGGATTGATGAGTCAAATGGTAGTTCCAAGTTATTTGGGAAATTTCCAAACTGTTTTGCACAGTAGCTGAATTAATTTACATTCCCACCGACAGTGGGAATGTAAGCATTCCCTTTTCTCTGCAACCTTGCCATATATCCATTATTTTTGATGTTTTAATAACAGCCATTCTGACTGATGTGAAATGGTATCTCATTGAGGTTTGATTTGTGTTTCTCTAATTAGTGATGTTGAACATTTTTCATATATTTGTTGGCTGCATGTTTGTCTTCTTTTGAAAAGTGTCTGTTCATGTCTCTTGCCCATTTTCTTTATTGGAGTTATTTGTTTTTTGCTCATGCAATTATTTAAGTTCCTTATGAATCCTTGGCATTAGAGCTATGTTGGATGCATAATTTGTGAATATTTTCTCCATTCTGTAGGCTGCCTATTTACTCTGTTGATGGTTTTGTTGTTTGTTTGTTTTGTTTTGTTTGTTTCAAGACAGAGTCTCACTCTGTTGCCCAGGCTGGAGTGCAGTGGTGTGATCTCGGCACACTGCAATTTTGGCCTTCCAGGTTCAAGTGATTCTCATGCCTCGGCCTCCTGAGTAGCTGGGACTACAGGTGTGTGCCACCATGCCTGGCTGATTTTTGTATTTTTAGTAGAGATGGGATTTCGCCATATTGGCCAGGCTGGTTTCGAACTCCTAACCTCAAGTAATCCACACACTTCCACCCCCCAAAGTATTGGGATTACACGTGTGAGCCAGTGAACCGGGCCCCTTGATGGTTTCTTTTATTGGGCAGAAGCTCCTTAGTTTAATTACATTCCCCTTAACAATTTTGGTTTTTGTTGCAAATGCTTTTGGAGACTTAGTCATAAATTACTTGCCAAGGCTGATGTCCAGAATGGTATTTCATAGGTTTTCTTTTAGGATTTTTATAGTTTGAGGTCTTACATTTAAATCTTGAATCCATCTTGAGTTAATTTTTGTATATGGTGAAAGGTATGGGTCCAATTTCAATCTTCTGCACATGGCTAGCCAGTTATTCCAGCACCATTTATTGAACACAGTCCATTCTTCATTGCTTGTTATTTTGTCAACTTTGTCAAAGATTGGATGGTTATAGTTGTGTGGCTTTATTTCTGGGTTCTCTATTTTGTTCCATAGGTTTGTATGTCTGTTTTTGTACCAGTACCATGCTGTTTTGGTTACTTGTAGCTTTGCAGTATAGTTTGAAGGTGAGTAGGGTGATGCCTCTGGCTTTGTTCTTTTTGCTTAGTATTTCTTTGGCTATTTGGGCTCTTTTTTATTTCATATGATTTTATTTTATTTATTTATTTAGAGATGGAGTCTTGCTCTGTCACCCAGGCTGGAGTGCAGTGGCACGATCTTGGCTCACTGCAACCTCTGCCTCCCAGGCTCAAGCGATTCTCCTGCCTCAGCCTCCCGAGTAGCTGAGATTACAGGAGTGAACCACCACACCCTTCTGTTTTTTGTGTTTTTAGTAGAGATAGGATTTCACCATGTTGGCCAGGCTGGTCTCAAACTCCTGACCTTAGGTGATCCGCCCACCTCAGCCTCCCAAAGTGCTGGGATTACAGGTGTGAGCCACCATGCCCAGCTTGATTTAATATAAATTTTAAAATAGTTTTCTCTAATTTCTAATTGGGGAAAACGATGTTGGTAATTTGATAGAAATAGCAGTGAACCTGTAAAGTGCTTTGAGTAGTATGGCCATTTTAACAATATTGATTCTTCCTATCCATGAGCATGGAATGTTTTTTCATTTGTTTGTGTCACCTCTGATTTCTTTCAGCAGTGTTTTGTAATTCTTCTTGTAGCGATCTTTCACCTCCTTAGTTAGCTGTATTCCTAGGTATTTTATTCTTTTTGTGGCTATTGTAAATGGGATTGCATTCTTGATTTGGCTCTCAGCTTGACCTTATTGGTGTATAGAAATGCTATTGATTTTTGTACATTGATTTTGTTTCCTGAAACTTTATCAAGGTAGTTTATCAGTTCTAGAAGCCTTTAAGGTTTTCTGAGTATCGTATTATGTCATTTGCAAAGAGAGAAAATTTGCCTTATTCTTTTCCTATTTGGTTGCTTTTTTTTTTTTTTTTTTTCCTGAGACAGAGTTTCACTCTTATTGCCCAGGCTGGAGTGCAATGGTGAGATCTCAGCTCACCGCAACCTCTGCCTTCCGGGTTCAAGAGATTCTCCCGCCTCAGCCTCCGGAGTAGCTGGGATTACAGGCATGCGCCACCACGCCCACCTAATTTTGTATTTTTGGTAGAGACAGAGTCTCTCCATGGGGTCAGGCTGGTCTCAAACTCCTGACTTCCGGTGATCTGCCTGCCTAGGCCTCCCAAAGTGCTGGGATTACAGATGTGAGCCACCACGCCCAGCTTGGATGCTTTTTATTTCTTTCTCTTGCCTGATTGCTCTGGCTAGGACTTCCAGGACTTTTTTCTTTATTCTGAGGGCAATAGATAGGCTTTACAGCTGTTTATCAAATATAGTTACCCTCTTAGATTTGTTTTTTATAAAGCATTTAGTAGCACCATGAGAGTGGGGAATACTGTTGGAAAGGGGGATGGAAAAGGAGTTTGGGGGAAAGGCAGAGAGGTTTTCTAAAAGGTTACATGAGAGATAGTGAAGGGTGATACTGATGTACTATGCTGGCAGCAGAAATGGAAACATTCATTTAGAAACATTCTGGGTTTCTAAAAAGTGATTGTTGCCACTCTCTTGCATCGTGGAAGATGCTAGTCTGAGTCAAGAGACTATTCTAGCCTCCCAAATAGAGGCTGTCAAGGAAGCAAAGGTCTGTCAGAAAGGGAGGTTCAGGATCAAGTGTGAATGGTGGATCCCTATTTGTATGCCAAGCTAATGGACAATTTACTTTGATTAAACAAGTTAGTAGAGGTACTGATTTTACAGATACTCTTACATAATCGTATTGGTCCTCCTGGGCACTAGATCCCATCCCATTCTCAAGGATGACACTCCAGCTGTTGTCCTGATTATCATTCCTACATCATCTCCCCCGCCCCCTCACTTCCTGATATTTTACATTCAAGGCTAGCTTTATGCATATGCAACCTGTGCAGTTGCACAGGGCTTTGTGTTCAGAAAGACTAGCTCTTGGTTTAATACTCTGTTGTTGCCATCTTGAGATTCATTATAATATAATTTTTGAATTTGTGTTTTGAACGTGATGTCCAATGGGACAATGGAACATTCACATAACAGAGGAGACAGGTCAGGTGGCAGCCTCAATTCCTTGCCACCCTTTTCACATACAGCATTGGCAATGCCCCATGAGCACAAAATTTGGGGGAACCATGATGCTAAGACTCAAAGCACATATAAACATGTTACCTCTGTGACTAAAAGAAGTGGAGGTGCTGACAGCCCCCAGAGGCCACAGTTTATGTTCAAACCAAAACTTGCTTAGGGTGCAGAAAGAAGGCAATGGCAGGGTCTAAGAAACAGCCCATCATATCCTTGTTTATTCATGTTACGTCCCTGCATGAACTAATCACTTACACTGAAAATATTGACAGAGGAGGAAATGGAAAGATAGGGCAACCCATAGTTCTTTTTCCTTTTAGTCTTTCCTTATCAGTAAACCAAAGATAGTATTGGTAAAATGTGTGTGAGTTAATTAATGAGTTAGTTTTAGGCAGTGTTTCCACTGTTGGGGTAAGAACAAAATATATAGGCTTGTATTGAGCTATTAAATGTAAATTGTGGAATGTCAGTGATTCCAAGTATGAATTAAATATCCTTGTATTTGCATTTAAAATTGGCACTGAACAACAAAGATTAACAGTAAAATTAATAATGTAAAAGTTTAATTTTTACTTAGAATGACATTAAATAGCAAATAAAAGCACCATGATAAATCAAGAGAGAGACTGTGGAAAGAAGGAAAACGTTTTTATTTTAGTATATTTAATGGGACTTTCTTCCTGATGTTTTGTTTTGTTTTGAGAGAGAGGGATGTGGGGGCAGGGAGGTCTCATTTTGTTGCCCAGGCTGGACTTGAACTCCTGGGCTCCAGCTATCCTGCCTTAGCTTCTTGAGTAGCTGGGACTACAGGCACACACCACAGTGTCTGACATTTTCTGGATTTTTTTTTTTTTTTTATTTTTTTTGTGAGACAGGTTCTGGCTCTGTTACTCAGGTTGCAGTGCAGTGGCATGATAGCGGCTCACTGCAGCCTCAACCTCCTCAGCTTAAGCTACTCTCCCACTTCAGCCTCCTGAGTAGCCAGGACTACAGTTGTGTGCCACCACACCTGTGGCTAATTTTTGTAGAGATGGGGTCTCTCCACGTTGCCGAGGCTGGTCTCCAACTCCTGGTCTCAAGCGAACCTCCTGACTTGGCCTCCCGAAGTGCTGGGATTACAGGCTTGAGCCACTGCATCCAGCCTGTCCTCTGTGTTAAACCTACTCCAATTTGTCTTTCATCTCTACATAAACGGCTCTTTTCAAAGTTCCCATAGACCTCACTGTTGCTAATCTAATAATAAATTATCTGCCTTTTCTTACATGGTTCATCAGTAGCAGCATTAGATTGGGCTGCTCAATTCTTCTTGGTATATTTTCTTCATTTGGCTTCTGGGGCATCACACTCTCTTTGAGTTACTCATTCCTCATTGATAGCTTCTTCCTAGTCTTCTTTACTGGTTCTTCCTCTTCTCCCTGACTCCTTAATATTGTTTTTCTCCCCAGGCTTTAGTTCTTAGTCCTCTTCTGTTATCTATTTACACCCAATTCTTTCAGAGTCTCATCCAGAGTCATGAACTTAAACCTGTTTCTGTGCAGATAATTCACATTATTATATCTCCAGCCCAGACTCTCCCGCAAACTGCAGACTGATCCTACTGCAGTATTCCTACCTACTCATCATCTCCACTTAGAAGCTAATAATCATCAAAACTGGACTCCTTATCTCATTCCCTCCCAAATCTGTCGCACCCACAGTCACCCTCACTCCATTCCATCCTTCACAGTTCTCTGGTCAGATACCTGGGAGTCAGCCTGATTCTTCTTTGTGTCGCATTCCGCATCAATTTATTGGGTGATTCTGTTGCTTCTATCTTCACTACATATCCATGATCTTACAGCATCTCACCACTCTTACTGCCACAACTCCTTTTGGAGACATCGTAATTTTCGCCTGAATCAATCTTGCCTTCCTGCTTCTGCCCCTGACTACTTACCTATTCTTCCACAGCATATTGGATGACCTTTCAAAAACCTACTGTTTTTTTTCTGGGGTGGGGTGGGGTGGGGTGGTTTATTCAAGGATTTAGGGGCAAGTGGTTTAATCCAGAAAACACTGGTGTGGAAAAAACAAAGTGAAAAAGAAAAGAAAAGAAACCAAGGAATACCACTCTGGGCTATTCAAGCTTAATCCTTCTTAACCCCTCTTAATCCTCAGAGGAGGAACTCTGGGAAACAATGTTGAAAATATGCCTAAAAATGATCAAACTTCAAGGGTAAGGGAGCTGGGATAGTCATACACCATTTACCAAAAATTGCTTGGGAGCTATTCTAAACCTCCAATTCAGTGGAACATCTGGCCTGCCATGAATGTGGGCAAAGTGTGATCAGCAGGTGGGGAAAGCTCTCATGCGATAAGATGCAAGTACCGGCAGGTAGAAATCAGCCTGGTGGACATTGACATGGTGAAGGTCAGGGGGATATGGGGGGGGCTTCTTGGTGGGATGCCAGAGGTAATATGGTGAGGCTCCAACATCTTCAATGTGGAGTTGATCCTTGATCCTTGGTCTTCAAAGTTGGTCAGTGGCCAGGTGCCGTGGCTCATGCCTGTAATCTTAGCAGTTTCTGAGGCAGGTGGATCACTTGAGGTCAGGAGTTCAAGACTAGCCTAGCCAACATGCTGAAACCCCGTCTCTACTAAAAATACAAAAATTAGTCGGGCGTGGTAGCACATGCCTGTAATCCCAGCTACTAGGGAGGCTGAGGCAGGAGAATCACTTGAACCCGCGAGGTGGAGGTTGCAGTGAGCCAAGATCACACCACTTCACTCCAGCCTGGGCAAAAGAGCGAAACTCCATCTCACGTACACACACAAAGTAATAATAATAGTAATAATAATAATAAAATAAAAGTTGGTCAGTGGTCAATACATTTTCCAGGTCATTCCTGGGAGAATAAACAGTTTAAAAAAGGCTCAGATATCTTAGAGAGCCTGAGATGTTCCTAGAACTGAAACCAGTGTTGTACAAAAGGAACACTGATGTTGAAGAACTACTGCTGGATTAGAAGGAGTTAGGAGTATTAGGAAGCCCTACCTGCCATTGGGAATAAAAGTAGAAGATAAGACAATGATCAGGTTCCTTGTAGCTATTTTAGCCATGAAAATAGAAACTTTAGACCAGATACAGCATGCATATATAAGATAGTCATGTAACTTTCCATTGAATGTGATGCTCAGTCTATTTACTAATAATAATTAGGCATAAAACTCAACATTAAGAAATGATCTCGCATGGTAATTTTCAGGTGCAGCAAGGATTTAAGAGGCTAAGATTTTATGATTCATGCTACAATTTTCTATTTGTCTTAGGGAAGATCTGTCCCCAAAGAAGCAAATGGTTGGTAGAAGTTATGAGGGAAAAAGGAAAGCAATCTGAATTGTGGGTGCTGTGGCAAGGGAGAAAAGGAGAAAAAGGACAGTCACTATGGCTGCATATGGGGCCAAGAGACAGAGCAGGTGAAATGCCTCTTGTGTCTAATAATTATTTTTGCTGTAATCCTAATGACTGAACTTTCCAGGCTTGAAAAACTGCCATAGTATTTTAAAATCCCAATCTTAGATCTGTGTTCATTCTAATTTTGAGATTTTTACTACTTTTAGCTCAATACATTTAAATGTTCTAGAATTCTACCACAAAGAACCAAAGAAACTTTAGACATTTTCCTAAGCTTATCATAATATAAAGTGATATTAGGCTGTACGTAGACCACTGGCAATACTTCACTAAGCTTTTTCTTGGGATATGTTGATATTAATATATTAAAATATATATGTATATTTAAAAACCTGTTTTCTATGAACACTTTTAGCATACCTCTTAGTGCTCAAGTTCACACAATTTTGTTGGATATTTACCTAGAAAGGAATCTGGTCTTCTTAATGAATTCATACTTCTGAATTTCCTGGATGTATCCATCTGGATACATTAGCTTATGCTGCAATAATAAGTAATTCCTCTCCCCCACGCCAAATCATACTGGCTTATAACCATAAACTCCTATTTCTGTGTCATAAAAATCTATCATGATTTGGTTGGTGGTCTCTATTTCACTAATAAACCCTGATTTGTAGATCCTCTACAATCAAAATAATCAATTATTTTGTCAAGGTAAGGTAAAAAGGGACCCGATAGATTGCTCACTGACTCTCAAACATCTGGAAGGGACACCTCATTTTCCAGAACAAATGTGTCATATGTCCACATCTATTTCTGAGGAAGTAAGAACTACAATCTGCACATGCTACGTTACTAGAAGACTGTGGATCAGAATGACCATATGACCATCACAGAGCACCATAGGGCCACCAATTATTCTGGCTGCTCTCCTTCCTAAAAGCCAAATACATTTAGCTTTTCCCTATGGGAGACAACACAAAGGTCCATTAGAACATGGGCCAGTTGGAAGTCTAGCATCTCTGAACCATGGTGGTCCCTCCATTGATGAAGGATTGCAGTAGTTTCTATGTTGATTTTCATAAAAGCAGCTAGGCAAGTTTCCCAAATCTGAAACTTAGTGCAATAAAAAATATTGTACATAATATGAAAACATCAGAACAAAAGCATTGGAGACAAAATATGGTGAAAACAAACGTATTGTTGTATAATACGTTAGAACATAATTATTATGGGTAAAAGAACAAACAGTTCTTTTAGTTCCCCTAAATCTTAGAGAATACTTTGATTTTGTTTGTTTTTATTTTTTATTTGATTTATTTTTTGTTTTTGTTTTTGTTTTGAGACGGGGTCTCGCTCTGTTGCCCAGGCTGGAGTGCAGTGGCTACATCTCCACTCGCTGCAACCTCTGCCTCCTGGGTTCAAGTGATTCTCCTGCCTCAGCCTCCCAAGAACCTGGGACTACAGGCACCTGCTCCAATGCCCAGTGAAGGTACCTGCCACAATGCCAGCCGGTTTTTGTATTTTTAGTTGAGACAGACTTTCACCACATTGGCCAGGTTGGTCTCGAACTCCTGACCTCAGGTGATCTTCCCACATCTGCCTCGCAAAGTGGTGGGATTGCAGGTGTGAGCCACCATGCCTGGCCTAAGCAGTGTCTTTTATAAAGCAAACATTTAAATTTGATTAAGTCTAATTTATTAATTTATATTTTTATAGCTTTTTTTGTGTGTGTGTTCCTTTAAAGAATTTTTTGCCTAACCAAAGGTCATACAAATTTTCTTCTAGAAGTTTTACAATTTTATGATAAAGTTTTAATTATTAAATATGTTGCTGATGTGGGGCCATAGATTTTTTTAAATACATGAATGTCCAATTGTACCCGTACCAATTACTGAACGCCTATCCTTTTTCCATTGAATTATTTTGACAGCTTTCTCAAAAATCAATTGTCAATATGTATGTGAGTCTGCTTCCTGGCTCTCTAGTTTGTCCCATTGATCTGCAGGCCTATCCTTACACCAACACCATTTTGTCTTGATTACTTAATTTTTAAATAAATCTTGAAAACTTAACAGTGTATGTCCTCCAACTTTGTAATTCTTATTTAAGATGGCTGTTGTTATTCTGAGTTATTTGTGTTCCAAGTTAATTTTGTAAAATAATCTGGACCATTTTTACAAAAAAAAAAACAACCCACTGGGATTTTTATTGGGATTGTGTTGAATCCATAAATTAACCGGAGGGACTTGGCAGCTCCACAGTATCAAATCTTCTGATCCATAAATATGTTATATCTCTCATTTATTTGGTTCTGAGTGATTTATTTATTTATTTATTTATTATATTTTTGAGACAGAGTTTCCCTCTGTCTCCCAGGCTGGAGTGCAGTGGCAACATCTCCGCTCACTGCAACCTCGGCTTCCCGGGTTCAAGCGATTCTCCCGCCTCAGCCTACCGAGTAGCTGGAATTACAGGCGTGCGCCACCACGCCCGGCTAATTTTTGTATTTTTAGTAGAGACAGGGTTTCTTAGTCATACAGTAAGTTGATGCAAAAGTAATTGCCGTTTTGCCAGTAGAAAACGGCAAAAAGTAATTGCGGTTGTTCCCATCTTTTACTGGCAAAACCGCAATTACTTTTGCACCAACCTATAAAGTACAACTTATAAAGTATTTTGTTTACTTTATAAGTCAGGGTTTTGTACAAGTAAAACTTTCAAAGTGTGCATTTAAAATTTTTTTTAAAAAAATTGACAGCAGTCTGTAAGTGTTGAGAAGAAAGTGCACATTTTAGCAAGTTCAGGCAAATGTATGCTGGAAGTAACCAACACAAATACAAAGATAAATACATATCCTTTGCTTCCCAAAACTGTCTCATGCCCTTTTACAGTCGATTGCTGCTATCCATTCTCAGCCCCTGACAACCCAGGCTGGAGTGCAATGGCGCGATCTCGGCTCACTGCAACCTCCATCTCCTGGGTTCAAGCGATTCTCCTGCCTCAGCCTTCCGAGCCTCAGCCTCCCGAGTAGCTGGGATTACAGGTATGTGCCACCACGCCCGGCTAATTTTTTATTTTTAGTAGAGATGGGATTTCACCATGTTGGTCAGGCAGGTCTCGAACTCCTGACCTCAGGTGATCTGCCCGCCTCGGCCTCCCAAAGTGCTGCGATTACAGGCGTGAGCCACCGCGCCCGGCCTGATTTTGGTTTTTATACTTTTGTCTTTTCTCTAACTGTATAAATGAAATAATTTGGGACCAGGCACCGTGGCTCATGCCTGTAATCCCAGCACTTGGGGAGGCCGGGGCGGGTGGATCACTTGAGGTCAGGAGTTGGAGACCAGCCTGGGGAACAAGGCGAAAACCCGCCTCTACAAAAATTAGCGGGGCGTGGTGGCACGTGCCTGTAGCCTCAGCTACTCGGGAGGCTGAGGTTGGAGGATAACTTGAACCCGGGAGGCGGAGGTTGCTATGAGCCGAGATCCCACCACTGCACTCTTTAGAGCCTGGGTGACAGAGTTGAGACCCTGTCTAAATAATAATAATAATAAATTGAATGTATCCCTTTGTAATTCCCTGTTGTTGTTGTTGTTGTTGTTGTTGTTGTTGAGACAAGAGTTTTGCTCTGTCACCCAGGCTAGAGTGCAGTGGCGCGATCTTGGCTCACTGCAGTCTCTGCCTCCCGGGTTCAAGCGATCCTCCTGCCTCAGCCTCCCAAGTAGCTAGGGTTACAGGCTCCCGCTACCGCGTCCGGTTAATTTTTGTATTTTTAATAAAGACGGTGTTTCAC
The DNA here is from genome assembly GCF_000001405.40 of Homo sapiens. Classification (NCBI taxonomy): domain Eukaryota; kingdom Metazoa; phylum Chordata; class Mammalia; order Primates; family Hominidae; genus Homo; species Homo sapiens. Next base: position 26,589,130 of record NC_000006.12, read on the forward strand.
CATGTTGGCCAGGCTGGTATCGAATTCCCGATCTCAGGTGATCCGCTCTCCTTAGCCTTCCGAAGTATTGGGATTACAGGCGTGAGCCACACCGCCCAGTCAATGATTGACTTTCTTTATATAACATAATGCTTTAAGATTTATCAATGTGGTGGCCTTTTTGGAGGCCGAGGCAGGCGGATCACCCGAGGTCAGGAGTTGGAGGCCGGCCTGCCCAACGTGGCGAAACCCCCTCTCTACTAAAAATACAAAAAATTAGCCGGGCGTGGTGGCGGGCACCTGTAATCCCAGCTACTCGGGAGGCTGAGGCAGGAGAATCGCTTGAACCCGGGAGGCAGAGGTTGCAGTGAGCCGAGATTGCGCCACTACACTCCAGCCTGGGTGATAAGAGCGAAATTCTGTCTTAAAAAAAAAAATTATCAATGTGGCATATATTAGTAGTTAATTCCTTTTATTGCTGAGCAGTATTCCATTATGTGGATTTACTACAACTTATCCATTCACCAGCTGATAGATACTTGGATGTTTCTAGTTTTTGGCAGTTATGCATAAAGCTACTATAAATATTCATGTAGTGTTATGGCAAATATATGTATAACTTCATTTTTAAAAACTGACAGTGTTTTTCAAGGTGGACCAGTTTGTATTCCCACCAGCAATATATAAGAATTTCAGTTATTTCACATCATCATCGGCGCTCGGCACTGTTAATTTCTCACCTTTTTTTTTTTTAACTTCAGCTATTCTCTTAGGTGTGTAAAGTATCTCATTGTGGCTTTAATTTGCATCTGCCTAATGAATAGTGATGTTACATATCTTATTATGCTTATTGGCCATCAGTACAGCTTCTTTTGTAAAATATCTGTCCAAATCATTTGTCCATTTAAAAAAGGGTATTGTCTGGTCTTATTATTGAGTTGCAAGAGTATGTTATTGTTCTGGTTATAAGTCCTGCATCAGGGAAGTGTTTTCCAAGTATCTTTTTCTAAACTGTGACTTTTTTTTTTTTTTTTTTTTTGGTAGAGAGGGGATTTCGCTGTGTTACCCAGGCTGATCTTGAACTCCTGGACTCAAGCAATCTGCCGGCCTCAGCCTTCCAAAGTGCTGGGATTACAGGCTTGAGCTACCATGCCTGGCCTGACTTGTCTTTTCTTAACAGTATCTTTTGAAGCGCAGATTTTTTGTTAAACTTTGATGAAATTCAACTTATTTTTTCCTTTATGGTTTATGCTTTTGTGTCCCATTTAAAATCTTTTTGCTTAACCTAAAGTCACAAAGAGTTCCTTCTACGTTTTCTTCTAGAGGTTTTGTTGTTCTAGTCCTTGCATTTAAGTCTTTGATTAATTTTGAATTAATGTTTGTACATTGTGTGATATAAGGGTCTAAGTTCACTTATTAGCACATGGATATTCAGGTTTTTTAGCATCATTTTGCAAAGATTATCGTTTTCCTGTAGAATTACCTTGGCACCTCTGTCAAAAATCAATTAATCATAATCATGTAAGTTTATCTCTAGACTCTATGTAGCTTTGTTGTAAGTCTTGAAATCAGGTAGTGTTCTTCCAACTTTGTTCTTCAAAATTAGTTTGGATATTTTGCATCTTTTGACTGTCTGTATACATTTTATACATTTTATATTTGGCTTGCCAATTTCTAAAAAAAATCATTGAGATTTTGATAGTCATGGCATTAAATGTATCAGTCAATTTGAAAGATGTGGAATTGATATCTGAAAATTGTTTAAATTTTCTGTTCTGGAAACAATGCATTGCTTTCATTGCATCTTGGTAAATTTATCTCTAAATGTTTCATATTTTTTATACTATTTCAAATGGTATTTTGTATTTCAATTTCTAACTATTTATTGTTAACAAATACAATCTATTAATAAATAGAATTACAATTTATTATATTTGTGTCCTGCAGTTTTGGTAAGCTTACTCATTAGTTGTAGTAGCTTTGTAGAAGTTTCCTCAGTATTTTCTCGTAGACAATAATGTTACATGCAAATAAAGATAGTCTCACTTTTTCCTTTTAATCTGTATTTTTTTCTTTCTCTTGTGTTATTGCACTGGCTAGAATCTCTAGGATAATGCTGAATAGAAGTTGTGAGAGTGGACATCCTTGCTCTGGACCTGATGTTAGGGCCAAAACATTTGAGTTTTTCATCACTAAATATATTAGCTGTTGAATTCTTAAATATGTCTTTTATACTTTGCAGAAATTCTAACAAATGTATCTGAATTTTGTCAATTGCTTTTTTCTACACCTACTGGAATAATCATATGGCTTTTCCTGTTTAGTCTGATAATAAAGTAATTACACTGATTACATTGATTTCAAAATTAAATTCTAAGCTACACTTTTCTTTTCTTCTTTAATTCTTTGAAAGTTACTCTTCCCATTTTTTAGATTAAGGTACAATTCACATACAGTAATGTCATCAGTTTTAATGTACATTCTCCTTAGTGTAGCAAATTTTGTCAAATATAGACAGTCGTGTTATCACCATTACAATCAAGATATGGAATAATAATATCACTCTACCCCCAAATTTCTGCATGTTTCTTCTTCTTTTCCTCCTCCTTCTTCTTCTTCTCCTTCTCCTTCTTCTTCTTCTTTTTTTTTTTTTTTTAATAGACAGGGTCATGCTCTGTTACCCAGGCTGGAGTGCAGTTCTTCCATCATAGCTTACTGCAGGCTGGAACTCCTGGGCTCAAGCCATTACAGGCATGACACCAGGCCTAGCCTCCCAGGAGGAAAGAAGAAAGAAGTTGTTTCTTCTTCTTCTTTCTTCCTTCTTTCTTTCTCCTCCTCTTCCTCCTCCTCCTCTCCTTCTCCTTCTTCTTCCTCTTCTTCTTTTTCTATTTTGTTCTTACTGAATCACTATGTTTCTTTTATACTTAATTTCTCCCCTATCTTCTACCCCAGTAGCAACTAAGGATATTTTCTGTCCCTATAGCTTTGCCCTTGCAAGAATTTCATAGGAATAATATAGTATGTAGCATTTTGTATCTGGCTTTGTAAATTCAGCATAATGCAGATGAGTTTCATCCCTGTTGTTACGTTTACCAATAGTTTGTTCCTTTTTATTCCATAGGAATATTATAGTGGTCTGTAAGCTTCAAGAGAAGTTAAAACCATCTAGGTAGGACTCAATTCGCAAGTTGAAAAGGTGCTAAAACAATAGAGAAGCTACAGGGTGAGATTGTAATCAAGTGATGATGATACATTTCCAAGAATTATTTCAGATAGTTAGATTTAGCCATAAACCCATTTTGAACTTGTGTCTGCAACAAGAGGGAATAAATAGAATGGCCGTTCTGACACCAGATTCTGTAAGAAGAGGAAGAAGGAAGTCTTCCCTCAAAGTGATACAGAAATCTAGTGCGGAAAGGTACTAATTACTTGTTCTTGTATTCCCAGGAGGCAAATATTGGGGATTATCAGGGGAAAGAGCATTTCAGGCAAATGAAATTCCAACTTTAACAGCCCTGAGGTGTGATTCTTATGCTAAGATTAGTTTATAGGTAAAGAAAATAATTGATGAGATTAGCTATTGGAGTTCTTCCTGATCAAAATCAACTCTATAGTACCGTGTCACTGAGAGTCAGGAGGCTCTGGGAGCTCCTGAGCATAGCAGTAACTGATGAGAAACATACTGAGCATTTTTTTCTGTATGTTTGCTGCCCCCTGTGAAAATTAGTGAAGCTTTTATTCGAGAAAGCATGTGAACTGAGATCCTGGGGTTTGGTGGTGAAATGGCAGGGTTGGTCAACTGCTTTCACATCTGGTGTCCAAGGCTCAGTTAGTACACTTCATATGGGCAGAGACCATCTCATAAGAATCTGCTCATTTCTCTTCTCTGGCTTCTCGTATTTTCCCCGACTAGGTTACATTATTGGAAAGGAATTTACCAGACCATATATTCTTAGTTTCTCATGGCAATGAATTGAATAACTGAATTAAATATTAGTTATGTTGCTGCAGATATTTCTCATGGGAAACGCTGGAGAGGATCTTTTGAAAAAAAAAACCGTATTTTTGTCAAGATTACAATTATGGAGAACTTTAACTGTAATAAGTGATGATCTTTTATAAATAAATTCACCAACACTCCTTTCCATAAATTTCACAATTTATAATTTCCATATACTTCTAATAATTTTATAAAAAAGAAAAGTCTCTCCAGATGCCTTCCCGTTCTTCCCATTGGTGTTCATTTCTGTTTTAGGCACGAGGAAGCTGAATACCATGATAGGTACTTATTAGCAAAGCATGACAGCATACCTTTGTGAAAACTGTCAGAATCAAAATGGAGTCACTATTGTTAAAACACACAAACACACAAAACAAACTAAAAACGCTAATTAATAGAGCTGGAAAAGGCCATGCTTGATAACAAAAACTATCACAAAAGACTGCAAAAACCACAATCTTGCACAGGCCATCACAATCTTACACAAAAAATACTTCTACAAGGACATCTGCCCCACAACTGCCTGTCCAACCTCGGACTAGCTTCCTCTTTGCTATCCATTTTTGTAGCAGACAATAATTACCTCAACACAGTTATATAATCCTTCTCATTTTTTCCCTTACAAATCTTTGTCGCTGAGCTCGGTGGCTCACGCCTGTAATCCCAGCACTTTATATTCTGGATCATGAGGTCAGGTGGGCGGATCATGAGGTCAGGAGTTCGAGACCAGCCTGGCCAATATGGTGAAACCCCGTCTCTACTAAAAATACAACAATTAGCCGGGCGTGGTGGCGGGCATCTGTAATTCCAGCTACTCCGGGAGGCTGAGGCAGGAGAATTGCTTGAACCCGGAAGGCGGAGGTTGCAGTGAGCCGAGATTGCGCCATTGCACTCCAGCCTGGGCGACAGAGCCAGACTCCAACTCAAAAACAAACAAACAAACACCTTTGTCTTCCTTTACCTCCCTGAATATACATAGTTTCCTATGGCACTCGTATTTTCATTGCAATGCTCTATTCCCAAATAAACATCATTTTCTTTCAGAGAGCTTCTCTTTGTTATTTAGGTTGACACCTGTAAATAGAATGCTATATTTCTTTTTTAAATTGTAGGGGGAGAGAGAAGTGTTGTGTTTCATTTACTTGTCCCATTACAATTGTGCAATATCATATGAGCCGCTCAATTCCTAAACATATGTACACACACAACGCACTTCTGTTTTGTGTCTCGAACACAAATTACAAATTATACAAATTGTGTAATTTTCCTTGCCCTTCAGAAAGGAGAATCTCAATGTTTCCGAAATGAACTGGGCAGTAACTTCGCTTCAAGGCGGTAGGTCCCCCCTCTTCAACCCAGTTGTCTAAAATAACCTTGTCTTTATTATTTACTTCCTATAGAGAGAGGAGGTGCTAAGCGGACAGGACAGCTGGACAACACGCGCAATAAGGGCAATGGTCCTATCTATTCTAAGGGAGGAGGACATGGAATATTGGTGTGGTTTTGTTTATTTTTTATTTTTTTGGACCTATGTGAAACATTTTTACAGTAAAACCCACAAATTTTAAATGTTCAAGAGAATTGTTCATATACTTGTATAGTCAGTATCCCTACTCAGATAAGAACATTTTAGAACATTTTGGAACATTTCTAATATCCTAGAAAATTTCCTCACGTTTCCCTATATTTTCAAAATGAACAAGAATACAGGATAGTCAAAAGCAATAGGTAAATCCTAAAGAATCCAAAACGAGGGTAATGACATCCTTCGATAGCTCAGCTGGTAGAGCGGAGGACTGTAGGGGTTTGAATGTGGTCATCCTTAGGTCGCTGGTTCGAATCCGGCTCGGAGGAGTTCCATTTTTAAAAGTGTCTCTTCTGGGCCTGAAATAAGGAAACTTGGAGAACGCATGTGCAGCTTGCTTATTCAGGAATTTGTAAGACGCTCAGAGAAGGAAAATAATCCACCCTGAAAATTGCTAACAAGGGTTGCTTCACAGACAGTTGAGTGGGACTCGATTTTCACCAAGTTGAGAAGGGATCATGAGGAATGTGGGGAACGGGAAGAACACGCTGCCCCAAGGCTTCATTTTTTTTTTTTTGTCGGTTTCACGGTCCTTTAGCACCCCCTGTTATATTGATACTTGGTGTGAATAAACATTTTATTAATGATAATTTCAAATATATACAAAGTAGAGAAAATAGCTAATAGCTACCATTAGCCACCACACTGGCACAACTTACCGACACTCTTGCATCCATCATGCCCCTCCCCTAGCTCCAGATCTTTTAAAGCCACCCCAACACGTGTTCTCATTTCATTAACTGTACTGTGTTTTGAAGATGTCAGTGTTTATAATTAAATAGCAGTAGACGGAGTTTATCGCTCTCATCGTACCCCGCTCCTCTTCAAAAAAGGAGCAGTGGACACCTACCTGACAGAAAGTTCTCTTCAATAAAGTTAATGAAACAGGCGTGTTTGAATTCGAGAAGTCTATTATTAGACTTTTAGACACTCCATGAAAGAGTGCAGGGCCCTGTTACTTTAGAAATATACTTGGGGACTGGCAAAAACTGTCATCTCTGATTTTAATAGTGGACACATTTACTCCCTGCTTCCATTCTCTGGGCTACTCTGCGCTCTTGGAGCGAGATGGGAAATTTTGTCAGGCCGCAGCAAGGACGGATTTATGTTGATAGTCATCAAACTCGCCCCGGGCTGCTTCCAGAAAGCTAACCGGATTACTTGTACGCGGTTCCCAGCACTGTCCTTTGCAGTCAGCTTGTCGCTGGCGCCGATGGGAAGAACTGAAACGCCTCAAGGGTGGGGACGGCGCCCCCTGCTGGTCGCGCCCTCGGGCGACGATAAGAGACTGAGGACCCGAGCCCGCGCGGGGAAAACTGCCCTGAGCTTGGCTTAGGGATGGTCCGCAGGCCGCCTGGTGGGAGCAGGACCGCCGTGGCCCGGTCCGTTCTGCGGTTGCGTAGGTCATAGAAGGAAAAGTGGTTTGTGATCTGATAGGGAATCTGAGGACAGACCCAGGGAGAGCAGAAATAAGCGCGCCGCCGGGGGGTCGCCAGAATTGGAGGCTTGTGCGCCTCTGACAAGTATTTGCAACATAAGTATGCATATGGATAATGTATCAATACACACGTGTAATAGATGCCAAACAAATTCTTCAAATAATTGTCACACATTTAAATTTTCAGACATTCACAAAATCAAATGTAAAATATTAAACTGAAAGTTCACAACTTAAATTTTCAAAAATTAAATCTAATTAAATTTCCAAAGTTGAACTGTTTTCAAAATTAAATTTTAAAATATTCAAAATTCCGAGGTAAATTTCCAGAAATAGTTAAAACCTCAAAACTCAAAATTTTTAAATGAAATTTATAAACTTTAAAAGGTGAGTCATTCCTCAGCTGGAATCGCACCCGGGGCCCTTGAATAAAATGCTATTTTGATCGCTAGAACACATAGAAACTTCTCTAAAATTGTTCTGCAAAATTCCCTAAAAAGCCGGCATCAACCCGCCTTTTAGCGTCTCGACAAGGCGTTCTATAGGGTAGGTTATATTTGGGGATCTGCCTTTTCTGGTTCTGCCTGTCCTGAGTTGGAGATCTGACCGGGAATCTGAGCCTAACCCAAGTTTCCCATCCCGCTTCCACGCTCTGAATCAGGCTTCCGACCTGACACACCACTTCCTCCCTCTCCCCTCGGCCTTCCCCTGGACCCGACTGTATTGCCCAATCATTTCCTTTCATTTGTCATCACCACCTTGGACCCGCCCCCTCGTCTCAGGCCGTCGCACGCGTTTTGCGTCAGTTGGCAAGGCACTTTACGGCCGTCGTGCCGCTCGTGTCAGTCAACATGGAGGCAGAGGAATCGGAGAAGGCCGCAACGGAGCAAGAGCCGCTGGAAGGGACAGAACAGACACTAGATGCGGAGGAGGAGCAGGAGGAATCCGAAGAAGCGGCCTGTGGCAGCAAGAAACGGGTAGTGCCAGGTATTGTGTACCTGGGCCATATCCCGCCGCGCTTCCGGCCCCTGCACGTCCGCAACCTTCTCAGCGCCTATGGCGAGGTCGGACGCGTCTTCTTTCAGGCTGAGGGTAAGTATGCAGGCCCTGACGGTGACAGGAGGAGGTTGTCGCTCGCTGGCGGGGTGCAAGCATGCATGTCCTGTTGCTTCGCTGCGCGAGGCTGAGGCACGAGTTGCTGGATTTTGGGGGTGGGGAGTGCGGTGCTTGGCTCCTGGCTGGTGAATCAGTCTGTGAGGATGCTGGGGTGGGCGGGCGGAGGGGATATGGGGAGAGTGGGTAGCGCAGTGTGTCTGGTGGTTCTTTAGTTCTCGGATTGTTACTATTTGTGTTCTTATCCCGGCTCTGTTCACCTCTCTTTCCGGACCTGTTTACTGGTTTGTTACATGAATACAACCTGAGTAAAAGTCTCGTCAGCTTTTCTACAAAACTGAACATAACTCTTTAGCATTGCTGCCTAGGTCAAGAAACTATTTGATCAACCGCCCCTCTTCTTTCCACCCTCAATTTTACATTGAGGCTGAGGACTTGTGCCGGTTTTAAGCAGCGTTCAGGGCTGGCCAGATTAAGGAGTGGACAATTAAGGAAAGAATTGAGTTAGCTAGAGGAAAGGGTGCGATTTACAGTTCCCTTCCTCCTGGGCAAAAACTCTTCAGGTGGGACTCCCACTGGCAGATGTGAAGAACGTTGCGGGCAGTGGGAGGTGCTTTTGAGTGAGTGCTGCATAGGCGTCCTGGACGGGTCTTTGTCTTTGGCGCGCAGACCGGTTCGTGAGACGCAAGAAGAAGGCAGCAGCAGCTGCCGGAGGAAAAAAGCGGTCCTACACCAAGGACTACACCGAGGGATGGGTGGAGTTCCGTGACAAGCGCATAGCCAAGCGCGTGGCGGCCAGTCTACACAACACGCCTATGGGTGCCCGCAGGCGCAGCCCCTTCCGTTATGATCTTTGGAACCTCAAGGTGAGAAGATAGATCTTTCTGCCACACCTCTCACCCTCCCTTCTCCCCAACTCTGGCCCAAGTATCCCCATGGCCTCTCATTGGCCTTGTCCCCTTGTCTCATCTTTCTCCCTAATCTGCACTATCCTGATCTTTTCTTCTTTTCTGCCCACAGTACTTGCACCGTTTCACCTGGTCCCACCTCAGCGAGCACCTCGCCTTTGAGCGCCAGGTGCGCAGGCAGCGCTTGAGAGCGGAGGTTGCTCAAGCCAAGCGTGAGACCGACTTCTATCTTCAAAGTGTGGAACGGGGACAACGCTTTCTTGCGGCCGATGGGGACCCTGCTCGCCCAGATGGCTCCTGGACATTTGCCCAGCGTCCTACTGAGCAGGAACTGAGGGCCCGTAAAGCAGCACGGCCAGGGGGACGTGAACGGGCTCGCCTGGCAACTGCCCAGGACAAGGCCCGCTCCAACAAAGGGCTCCTGGCCAGGATCTTTGGAGCCCCGCCACCCTCAGAGAGCATGGAGGGACCTTCCCTTGTCAGGGACTCCTGAGGGCCTGGGTGGCCCCTTCCATTTCCTGGCCCTGCTCTGCTTCCTGTCTACCTCATACTAGAATGATCGTGACTACCCGGGCAGACATTTTACTGTGTTTCTCAGACCAAGTGTCTACTGATGGCCCAAACATGGAGTTTTGTGGGCTTCCACTGTCCCCACTCCGAACTCCTGTATGTGCCTGGCTGAGTCACCTAATTCATACTGTCATACTAGCATAATTATGACTATTGCATATGCTTGTTTTGTTTGACTCTTGGCTGCCTACGTCTGTAGGGTCCCCTGAAAATCCCACTTCCTGCCCCCAGAAAGGGCCTTTATTTCCAACTAGGAGGATAATGCCTAGTCCAGGCAATCTTTCTCTGTTTAGCAGTCACAGGTGAGGGTGGTATTAGCATCTTTTTTATGTAGAAAAAATTGAGTTAATGGGGTGGACTGGGTTGGGAAGAAATACATTTCCTAATGTATTTATAGAAAATAAAAATATTTTTATGTGCCTTTTTATTTTTGTTGGTGGGGAGGTCATTGGACAAGTTCCAACTTTCATCTTGTGTTCCCTTCACCTTCATATCCTGATCTTAGAGCCCCCCTCCCCCTGCCACCCACCTTACTGTTTAACCTGGATTTTTTTTTCTATTTAATTTTTGTCTAATATCTTAGCCCAGTTTATCAATCAGTTATCTTAAGTCAGCATTTTCTAAGCCATTGTTTGAGGAAACAGTGACAATAGGTAATAACACATCTTAGTATTAAGAGTTTTACAGGCCACTAGTATAAGATAGGCATCGTGGTAGATGCATATAAAGGGTGGAATGGGAGCCATGGCAGGTCATAGAGTCCTCTCAATGGGAACCTGATTGATGATCACAGTCTTCAGTGGTGAGTCAGTCCTCACCAAGTTTTCCAGATCATTCCTACAAAGTAAACTGGGAGAATAATAAGTCTGAAAGAGTGTGGAGTGCTCCCACAATTACAAAGAATGCTTCCTGGGTGGAGTGTTGAGTTGGAACCATTGTAAAGGTGGGCAAAGCCTAGTAGAGAACCAGTGCACCTCAGGTGCACTTACATATGGTGGGGCTGAGGCAAAGCAGCCCTGTAGGCTTCAAAGAATCAGTGTAAGCCACTAAAAGGAACTGAAAACCTAGGTGTCACAATAAACAGTCTACACAGTCTCACGTAGACCAAAATTCTGATCATTTTCCAGGCTGTTGCATGAAGTGATAGAGTATGATTATAATTTCTGTTTGCTTGTGCTGTTTGTTTTTGTTTTTCATCTGTCAATGTGATGATCTGTGTTTTATAGGGTAGAGTGGATTTGTCTACTTTGGCTGTAAAATACCCTAATCACATTATGATCTTGACAGGTGCACTTTACTGGGGAGAATAAAAAGGACCATACGGTAAAGCTGGTATAACATTTCTCACAACCCACATACCTCTTATACTTGGCACACAAACTACGTTTCCATTTAGAAACTTTCGTCTTGTTTCTGTTTTTAATTCTTGTGGGTTTGTTTCATGTGAATTGTTTCCTCAGATCATTGATGTCTTAAAGTGAAACAGAAAAATCCAGAATCAGAATTTGACAGGCTGGCATATTCATTTATTCAGAATTCCAAGTGCCCATTGCTACTTCTGCTAGATAAAGAGATACCAAGGTGAAGAAGAAACTTTCCCTCTAGTTGCTAACAGCTTAGAAAGTACAGTAGACATACTGGGGTTTTATTTAAGACTTTCTTGAATGAAGAAATAAATTGCATTCCCACGGTGGACAGCGTTAGATAACAGTATGTTCAAGGGCTGGTATTTCAGGGTCCATCTCCAAAACAGTTCTGTACAAAGAGCTCACACCTGCGGCCAGGCAAGCTAAGTAAGTCACAGGTGGAGTGAGGAATGAGAATAAATGGGTGGAAGAAAATATCCTAGGAACTTTCATCTTGACTTTAAGCCCATTGAGTGTAGGAAAATAATTTTTTACATCCACAATTTTGTTTCTATTTAAACAGCACTTGTTTTTTTATATGAAGTAACTCATTTAATCCACAACTATATAATATTGTTATCCCCCCATTAAAACTGAGCTCAGAGAGATGACTCAATTTGCCTCTTAATATTTTATCCTTTGTTCCTCACCTTTTCCCCAGCTTTTCCCAGTGTGCATATGGTGAATGCTTATTACAGGAAATTCATGAGAAATGCACATGTTATAGACTAGAGAATGAAGTGTACCTGCCAATATGAGTGGATTTATTTTATCTAGCACCAAGAGTAGCAAACTGAGTAATAATTCTCAGTCATGATCCTGTGGTTGTAGTGTATACTCTGATTCAACTTAGTTTCACTCCTGACTGAGAAGCTGGGACTCTGCATTTGATGGCAATGGAGTGGGCTGATTTCTTTCCAAATAAGTTGAGGTGGGACTCCTGGTAGAGTAAGAGGGCTTTAATAGGGTATGTCTGGGTGCCTAAAAGCTTTCTCTCTCTTTTTTTTTTTCAGAGACAGGGTCTCTCTATGTTGCTCAGGCTGGCCTTGAGCTCCTGGGCTCAAGCGATCCTCCCGCCTCAGCCTCCCAAAGTACTGGGATTACAGGCATGAGCCACCACGCCCTGCCCTAAAAATGTTCAAAAGTCGTATTTACAGCTACTCTCAAATTCCTTTTTTTTTGTGATTCCTTATAAAACCTTTCTCCCTGCATTTATCTTGTTATATTACAGTAGAATTATGAGGGGAAAATCCTTTGGTGGAAGTCTAGGGACATGCTCAGTTCCCAGGAGGCTTAATGTGAATTTTAGTGAATTGCTTAAGATCCAGTATTAGATCTGCTGGTCCCTGCCCACCCCCCTTTTATTTTTTGAGACAGGGTCTCACTTTGTCACCCAGGCTGGAGTGTAGTGGCATGATCCTGTCTCACTGTAGCCTCCATCTTCTGGGCTCAAGCAATCCTCCCACCTCAGTTTCCTGAGTAGCTGGGACCGCAGGCATGCACCATCACGCCCAGCTAATTTTTAAAATATTTTTTGTAGAGATGAGGTCTCACTGTGTTGCCCAGGCTGCTCTCGAACTCCCGTTCTCAAGCGATCCACCCACCTTGGCCTCCCAAAGTGCTGAGATTACAGCCACGGTGCTCGGCTCCCATCTTGAAATCAATACCTGACAGAATATTAAAGAAAATGAAAATTGGCCGGGTGTGGTGGCTGACGCCTGTAATCCCAACACTTTGGGAGGCCAAGCCTAGTGGATCACTTGAGGTCAGGAGTTCGAGACCAGCCTGGGCAACACGGTGAAACCCTGTCTCTACTAAAAATACAAAAATTAGCCGGGTGTAATGGCGGGCCCCTGTAATGCCAGCTACGCAAGAGGCTGAGGCAGGAGAATCGCTGCTTGAACCCGGGAGGCGGAGGTTGCAGTGAGCCGAGATTGAAAATGAAAAATTTTCTATCTTCTGTTACCAGGGCCCTTGAAACCACACTTTTTTCGCACCCCTTGTTAACTGGAGACACGAAGGCGGGCGGAGGGGAGAGGCCATCGGAAACCTGGCAATGTCTTTTGCAGCTGCATGGTGTGTGCCCAGCCACCTTCAGCAGTTATTGTGGCCAGTCTGTGGCTGACCTGGGCTATCAGGGTTAGCGCACTCCAGTGAGCTCCCCCAGCACATTGCCTGCAAATGAATTCAGAGAACTTCTTTTTGTTTTTCACCTTTGCCTCCAATTCCATTGTGTCAATTATCATTGATTATTTAATCAGGACTTTATGGTTGGACGTGCAGCTTCTTCTAATCTTTTTTTCTTTTAAGTGTTTAAAAGAATAATGCTGACATGAGTCAATTTTAGTTGTACAAATACAGCTATTGTGTAAAAATTGTCAGAAGCGGAATTGCAGAGTCTAAGAGAGACCATCTTTGGTATTTATTTTGTTAGCAAGAAAAAAATTGAGAGTCTGATAATTTAGGAAAATACCAGTCACAGGAAAATACCAGTCACAGGAATACAGGTGGAAACCTAGCTAGAGGTCTCCACCCCTTTTATTCGTGCTCTATTGTGACGTCCAAAGCCTGACCCAAGGAACTGATTCAGGTAGAGGCGACGCCAGCTCAGTGTAGGGGGCAAGCTCTGCAAGACCTTGGCCGAGTGACTTCTGCTGCTTTTTGCTGTGGGGACTCTACTGGATGGACCAGCACATGAGAGAGATGGAGTTTGGAAACAAAACAAGTGGTTCAGAAACATGGGATTGCTTTCATATCTACTGGCATTTAGAAGGAGCTTGGTAAATTTAATCAAGAAACAAGGAAATGAAAATACCCAAGGAACACCAGGGGAAGAATAATGGTTGGATTTTCATTTAATTTGCCAGACACAATCCCTGAAGTAAGAAAATACCGTTTCTCATGAAATTCCGGCACCCGAGGCTCAAACGGCCAACCCTACGGTTAACAGCCGAACGCGCTAACCAATTGTGCCACAGAAATGAATGTGGTGGAATATCTCCATTCCAACAAGGTTATTTTACTTTTTTTCAGTCTAAACAATACATTAGAAAGGAGGCTACTTCTCCGTGTATTGGAAAAATGTTTTCCCTTTTTTTGACTCTCATTGTTGCTATGTTAATGTGTTTTAAAAACGGAGGTTTATAGGCTTGCCGCCGTGGCTCACACTGTAATCCCAGCACTGTGGGAGGCCGAGGCGGGCGGATCACGAAGTCAGGAGTTCCAGATCAGCCTGGCCAACATGGTGAAACCCATCTCTACTAAAAATACAAAAATTAACCGGGCGTGATGGCGGGCGCCTGTAATCCCAGCTAGTTGGGAGGCTGAGGCAGGAGAATTGCTTGAACCCAGGAAGCAGAGGTTGCAGTAGGCCGAGATCGCGCCACTGCACTCCAGCGTGGGTGGCAGAGCAAGACTCCGTTTCAAACAACAACAACAACAACAACAACAACAAAACACAGAGGTTTGTAATAATACAGATATTATTCTTAGGAACATAAGAGTGTTAATTGGGTGGAGAGCAGGACGCGGGACTGGTGCGTTTTGCAAAATAAGTATGAGTAGAATCAAAGGAAAGAATTTATTTTCGGTTCAATAAGGAAGTTTTCACTGATAGTTCAGTTGAGAGAGAAACCACTGGAAGGCTGTTGCATAGAAGGAAATATATTAAATGAGAAAGACACCAGCAAGAGCAGAGGGGAAAACCATTTAATGGAAAATCTGATACAAATATTAAGGGAAAGTAAGGGGCCAAACACCAGGACATGAAACCAGAAACTCCTATACATTAGTGCTTGTCCACCAAACTGCGAGCCTGAAATTGCGATCATACTTTATATTTGTGTTTTAAAGAGTAAGTTGGTGACAGATTTTATTTCTTTTCTGCCTGTCTTCCTGCTTCCTCTTTTTCTTTCTGCCTTCCTCTCATTCTCCAGTATGTATACCTTCTAATCATTTTCTTCTGGGTTTTATTCTGAATATTAGGATTTTCTAAATTTGTTCCTGTTTTTCTCATTTTCTTAAGCATATGTGGGTTGACCTTTGAAGTACGATGATGGGTAGGGGGTGGGTGGATGTTGTGATATTCACTACCCTATTTGTCTTTCTAGTCCTTTCAGTGACATTTAAGCCCAAGAGTCAGGTTACATTAGGATGATGTCCTCAACTTGAACTGTTGACTCTTGGATGTCCTCTATTCGTTTAGTCTCCCAACTAACAGTTATTGAGTGTCTGCTAAAAGCTAGGCACAGTTCTAGGCATTCGGATACATCAACAGTACACAGCAGAGACTAGGGTGGATTTTTCAAGCTGGGGAGAAACACATAATAAACACAAATAAGTAATTGTATCTATTTGAAGGTAATAAGTTCTATGGAGCAAAGAAAAAGTCAAGCAGGGTAAGGGGACCAGGGAGTGGGAGGTATGTGGTTTGCAATATTAAACAGGCAAGTTAGGGTGGCCTCTTTGTTTATGATATTTTGGAATGGCTTATTGGAGTTTTGATATATCCATCTTTGTCTTTAAAAGATGTCTCTCTGAGAACCTAGGCTGAAACAGACAAAAGAAACTGGATAGATCTTTCAACAGCAATTATGGGGAGTTTTGAGAGGAGGTGCTCCCTGGGATTGGATGAAGATACCAGTTAGGAAGGATGTAAATGTCTATTATTTAGGAATAGACAAACCTCATAATCTATTTTACGACCAAGAATTCTGTATTTGCCATTTTCAGAGATTTGGGTTGGTGGCTCAATGTAGAATGCCCTTTTCTACGGATCACTATATTCCATGTTGGACTTCTGGTTGGCTTGTTTAGTTTTTTCTTTGGAATTCAGTGCTACCACACAGACGTGTGCAAACACACCCACACACACACCATTAAACAAACAAAGGCCAGTGGGTCTCTTGGCTAAGGATTCTATGGTGCATATGCAAGAAATGCTACTGATAAGGAATGTTATATCAAGTTTCTCAAGAGTGGATAAAGCTGACCAATCTAGCTGCTATACTTGGAGAGGATAATATGGATGGTGTAAATTAGAATTGTATATAAGCAATAAGTTAGAATATGGACAGTCTTTTTTTTCCCCCTTTTTTTTTTTTTTAAAGAAAATGGACATTCTTTCATGATTCATCAAAAGAATCATTGGAGAAACTGATTTATCATGTGACCTCAAGTGTTTCTTGGAAACCTTTTGGAGGAAAAAGAAATTAAACATGCTGAACTGGCTGAAAAAAATATAGAAGAAGCACTTTCAGATCATATTAAATATATACAAACTGGAAAGAATCTATGCACACAGAAAACACCCAATTTGAAGTGACTTTTAAAGTCTTCAGCAGAGTTAGCGGCATGACAACAGAAAGAAATGAAAGTCTGGACAATGTTTGCTCCACTTAATATGGAGAAAAAAAATGTCCCAAAATAGATGATGATCTGAGCCATGCACATGAAAGTTGCATTTCTACAGAAAATGGGCCAAACGTCTTACAGAAAATCCTGAAAGTGCTATTTGTTCTTCACAATGCCAGATGAGTTCCCATGAGGAAAAATTATGATAACTGGAGGTCATCGAATCTGCTTGCTGAGAAAAACTTAGTTACATAAGAAAATAAAATGAGCCAGGCATTGTGGCTCATGCCTTTAATCCCAGCACTTGGGGAGGCCAAGGTGGGAGGATTGCTTGAAGCCGGAGTTCAGAACCATCCTGGCCAACATAGTGAGACCTCATCTCTATTTTTTAAAAAATTAAAAATTTGTTGTATGCATTTTATATTTATTTTATATTTTATATATAAAGGAACATAAAATGCATACAACCAACAAAGTATATTGAAGCCAAGATCACATGCAGCTTTTGGGAAGAGGATCCACATGCTCCTGTTCTAACAGGGCCACTTTGGAAAGGCCCAGGACAATATGTTTCCCTGGAATATCAGATCACTAAGGAAGGTTAAGCTAGGTGGGCTCAGAAATCTAGAATCCATAGTTGTCCTGTGAGGACCTGAAGAAACTTAGGATAAAAGACAAATGATTTCCCTAGAACGATTCCATTCTGATCCAGATCTTGCTCCAAAAAGCCTTTTGACTTTGATAGACTTGCTGAATCTGAAGACTTCAGAAGTTTCAGTACACCTTAAATGGAAATAAAGTCCGATAGAAATACTACAAAGATGTACCTGATGAGAACAAGTGACTTGTCTCCCCCACCTGAAAGTGGAATGGCTGGCTCAAGCATAGTTCTGCCATCTCACAGTCAGAGTCCCAAACATTCTCATGAACTCCAGGGGCATTTCATGTTCCAAAGACTTCTGTTTGCTCGCCCTTCTTTGGAGAGTATATATGGATGTTCCCCAAGTGCTTGTTCTCCTAAGTGATTTCCAGGACCTAACACACTCTCCATTTACAATGCCAAGTTATTCTCTCCTAATTGCTGTATTCCTCCCCTCCCATTTGAAAACCCTGAAGGTAGATGTGACCCGCACTTAGGGTTAGCTGAGCTTTCAAATAAAACTCAATCCAAAGATCCAAAACCATAGTGAGGAATTCTTTGGTCCCTTGTGTCAACTAATTCTGAATTATCTCTTATTCAATGCAAATAATGTTAGTTAAGTAGTTATAAAATTGGATCAAATGGAAGCCTGATAGAATTTTAAATCTTAGTGCTTCCATTATATCCTAGAAGAGATAGTATAAGTATAGTAATTGTTATTATCTGGTCTTCTATAACAAAAACTTCAGTGGAAGTCTGACATGAGCAGTTTAGCATTTGGAGAAATTTGGAAGTGCAAAGGTCATATTTCTATGTCATAAATTGTGTTTATTATAATTCTTAGACAAATGTCAAAATAACTTGTTTACTAATACAATTTAATTTTTTTTAAAAAATCATCTGTATATTGCCAAAATTAGCATGATAATTTGGGATATGGGAAGAAACATTGAGGACCATGGGGTAAAGCAATGTGTTGCTGGTTTTAGGGTTGTGTGAGGGAATAAGCAGTATATATTTGCATGAGCACTACATATTCCAGTAACTGAGGCAGATCTAGAGTCCAGGTTTTCTGAAGTTCAGATTTGGATCTTAAGCGCAGGGAAAAAGGAATTTTATAAGAAATTTTTAATCATTTCTTAATTTCTATTCAATTTACTTTGCAACAAACATGTAAAGGTATAAGTTTACCTCTGCAATAAGGTCTGGAAATAACACTTTTAAAACTTCTTGCAGTGGGGTAACTTGTAGTAGGAAAACTCACATAAACACACAAATTCAATATAAAAATGATGCCAGTTGTCATATGTGCCAGTTATCACATGATTGTGTCCCAGCCCTGAATCCACCCTCAAGTACTGGGCTTTGAGATGTGGGGCTTGGGCTCTGCAAAACATATTTCTCTTTTGCTTGCGGTTCCCTGTTAGATTCTGACACTAGAGGGCCCCAGGAGCCTGTTCATTCTCTGTTACTTTATTATAGGGCAACAGCCCTTCACCCTGGCAGTGATAGAACAGTTTGTTTCACTTTCCAGATTTTGAAAAGTGCCTGCAGACCCAGGCTCATTGCACCTTCAGAGGTGCCAGGGTCATCTAGGAAGTGTCTCCTTTTCAGATACTGAGTCTCAGCTCCACAAGACCCCAATCCTAGGAGCTCCTGAGGTACTGACGGCAGCCAGGATGCACTTTCTCTTCAGAGGTCTAAGCCCACATGCCGGGATCTCTCTTCTCACTTTCTAGTTTCTGATACCAACTCCTTTCCTTTATTCCCCACCATAGTGAGTGGGAGCTGTTTGCTGCAGTTTTCAACTCTGTGTTACCTTTTTGTGTTTTAGATTTCTAAAACCTGAGCAAGCATTCCCTATATGAACTTCATGTTGAAATGCCTCACGTGGTTTTTGAGTTGCTGACTAATTTATTTCTCCTTGATGTCTATCCGAATCCTGCCCACCGTTTCAGGCCCAAGTCTTTCCCCACGGGTTTTTCTCTTTGCAGACTGGATGAATCTCCAGGTCCTCCAAATGACTACATTATATCATGTACACCTCAGTTATAGACCTCTGGGTAGTTATTTTAGTATTCATGCTTTATTACAAACTTCTAGGTTTTTACAGTCATATTGAAGACATGGTATTTTGTTACCAACTAGGATATATGCTCTTCAGGGACAGAGAACAAACCTCAATGTTCTTGGGATGTTTTTCTTGTTTTTTTTTTGAAAATCAAAATGGTAAAAGTGAAAATAAATATGCCCCATCCAAACTTAGAATTTTCATTGGTTACAGAGCTGAGATGATCCAGGAAGCTGCCACCTAGCTAACAAGCCTGTCCTATTTGGGAGAGTATGGGCATGGGGGATAATTCTAAGTTAGGAGAAAGGTCTTTAAGTGTTAAAAAGACAATTAGGCCAGTCATGGTGGTGAAGGCCTGTAATCCCCCCACTTTGGGAGGCCAAGGCGGGCAGATCACTTGATGTCAGGAGTTCAAGACCAGCCTGGCCAACATGGTGAAACCCCATCTCTACTAAAAATACAAAAAACAAAAAAAATAGCCAGGCGTGATGGCACATGCCTGTAATCCCAGCTACTCAGGAGACTGAGGCAGGAGAATCACTTGAACCTGGGAGGCAGAGTGAGCCGAGATTGCACCACTGCACTCCGGCCTGGGCAACAGATCAAGACCCTATCTCAAAACAAAAGAAAATTATTCCAAAGTATGTTCATTATTCAGAATTCTTAACATACACTAGGGGTGACATAGGCTGTACTGAGGTCAAAAAGATGGACAAGAACCAAAAGAAGAAAGAAGCAAGGGTCAGCCATGCCCTATTCCTTCCCTGTTTCCTCTGTTTCCTAAACCCTCACTGATGAAAATCAATGCATGGTTTGACAATTCAGAAATTCGTATTTGAAGACATAAAATGGTGCTGCTTTCTTTATCCTGAAAACTTGGCCCCAGAATATGTTAAGAAGTAAAGTTCAGTTCTTACCAACATACCATCTTTGGTAGACAGAATGACTCCCTCAAAGATATCTAAGTCTTAATCCCTGTAACTTGTGAATGTGCAGCATTTCATGGCAAAACAGACATTGCAAACGTAACTAACGTTGTGAATCTTATAATAGGAAGATCATATTGGATTTCTGGGTGGGTCTAATCTAATCACATGAACCCTTATAAGCAGAGAACTTTGAATTCAGAGAGATGCAGAAGGAAGAGAAACCAGATATTTGAAAAAAGAAAAAGACTTGACAAGCCATTGCTGGCCTTAAGATAAAGGAGTCCATGAGTCAAGGACCTTAGTTATAAGAATACTAGAACCTGAAAAATGCAAGCAATCTGAACGATCTTGGAAGGAGAATTTTTTTACAAGCCTCCAAATAAGAGTCCAGCCCAGCTAACACCTTGACTTTGGCCTCGTGAGGTCCTGAGCAGAGCACCCAGTTGGAATACTCTGTGCCCAGACTCCTAGCTCAAAGTGCTGTGAAATAATAAATGGGTGGTGTTTTAAGCTGCCAAGCTTGAGGTGATTTATTATGGAGGCAGTGTAAAACTAATTTATCATCTTTCATGCAAGTCAATTCCTCCTCCAACTCAAAGAGCAAATATACACAAATGTCAGACAAAGTCACAAGAGAAAGGCTTTTCATAAGCAAACCAGGGGAGACAGAGATGAGTCTAGTAAAACAAATGGGGAAGGAAGGGGAGGTGACAGCTGTAAGCAGCAATGGGCATTCGGCCCACTCCAAAATTGTAGGAAAACTGTCTAAGAGGTTCTTTCTCAAGGAGCAAGGAATCTGACTGATGTTTTCCAGGCTAACAGTCTTAAACCTCTAGGTGTTTAAGGCTAAATGGGCAGAGAGAGGATGGGGATGGAACATCATTTTTCTTTTCTTTTCTTGTTTTTTTTTTTGTTTTTTTTTTTCTTTTTTTTTTTTTCGACGGAGTTTCACTCTTGTTGCCCAGGCTGGAGTGCAATGGCATGATCTTGGCTCACCGCAACCTCTGCATCCCAGGTTCAAGTGATTTTCCTGCCTCAGTCTCCTGGGTGGCTGGGATTACAGGCATGTGCCACCACGCCCAGCTAGTTTTGCATTTTTAGTGGAGACAGGGTTTCTCCTTGTTGGTCAGGCTGGTCTCAAACTCCCGACCTCAGGTGATCCACCTGCCTCAGCCTCCCAAAGTGCTGGGATTACAGGCGTGAGCCACCGTGCCCAGTCTGAGTATTATCTTTCTAAGGGACAGTGCAGACTTGGTGGGAGGCAGTCATTCAGCAGGAGTAGCATCCACAGTGTCTCTCAGGGGATGATCAATGTTTCCCAAGGATAAGCTAGATTCAAGATTTTCTTAGAGCTCCTCCAAGGACTGTGTATGAACAACTAGTGAAATGTGGACAAACAGGCTCCCTACGAAGCCAGAGGGGGCCGGGCCTGGTGGCTCACACTTGTAATCCCTGCACTTTGGGAGGCCAAGGTGGGCGGATCACTTGAGACCAGGAGTTTGAGACCAGCCTGGCCAATCTGGCGAAACTCCATCAAAAAAAGCCAGAGGAAGAAAACCACACTTTAAAGCCAGACCAAGGAAGGGAAAGATTAAAGGCAAATGCAATTTCCCACCCCCAAGATGCAAGTGAGGAAAGACTATCTTCCCTTTTCTTCAGGCAAGCATATTCCCAGGGAAAAGCAGGAAGGTAAGACTCCTATCTGAGCTTACATATTGAAAAGAGAAATGCCGGCCGGGCGCGGTGGCTCAAGCCTGTAATCCCAGCACTTTGGGAAGCTGAGCTGGGTGGATCACTTGAGGTCAGGAGTTTGAGACCAGCCTGGCAAACATGGTGAAATTCCTTCTCTACTGAAAATACAAAAATTAGCTGGGTGTGGTGGAGGGCGCTTGTAATCCCAGCTACTTGGGAGGTTGGGGCAGGAGAATCACTTGAACCTGGGAGGCAGAGGCTGCAGTGAGCTGAGATCGCAGCACTGCACTCCAGCCTAGGTGGCAGAGGGATGCTGTCTCAAAAAACAAAAAGTAAATAAAAATAAAAAATAAATAAAATAAAAAGAGAAGTGTCAATAGCATGGGCAGAAAAGTTGTGGAAATTTCCCAAAGGTTGTTGCTTCTGGGCTTGCAGCTGTGGCTGAGCTCTTGTCTTATATCCCAAACTGATGGAAAATGAAGGTGCTGGTGCTCTGACAGGTCCTTCTCCCACTGAACCCTAGTCAGGGGGCATTGGTTCCCTAGGGGCACTTCTGCTGCTTAACAGGCCCACTCTAAGCAGGACACTCTGACTGAGGCAGCAGTGAAGAGGTTTCGAAACCCAGGCTTACTCTGTGGTGCTGTCTCCTTTGAAGGAAAATCATGTGCCCTGAATAAAGGATCCTGGGTGTTCAGGACCAAGTATACCCCAAAAGACTGATGGCACCAGTGGTCCTACTAGGGCCTGCTTCACTGATGAATGCTCCAGAAATGGAACTCCTGACTGAGCTAGACAGACCTATCCTAAAGCACCAGTGCCTTAGGATTGGCATTTCTCCAAAAGGAAGGCTCATGGGGCTGTGCTATCAAACGCTGAGCCAGTGGCCTCATTGTCAGGTGACTGTGTGGGACCCAAGTGGCCTTCTTTCTTTCTTTTAGATTGGGCTTCTATACTAGCCTAAATATAGATGGATCAGAAGATCCAGAAGGATCTGTATATGTAGGAGAATTAAGGGTTGGGATGCTTACAGGAATTGGTTTAGAGCAGGGATGGTTGGGGACTTGGCAGACCTGTCAGCCTGAGGGGTCAGAGGTGGCTTGGTGGGGTCAGTGATGAGTAATGTGGTAGAAGCAGGAGTCAACCAGGAGTAAGTGACTGTTGGCCTCAAGTCTGAAGAGGTGCCTGGAAGTGTCTCTGACTTCGAGGACACCAAAGGGGTCAGCAAGCTGGATGTCTCCTGAGGCAAAGCAGCCACACAGGTTATCCCTCCAGTGGACTATAGGAAGGCCAGTGGGCCTGGGGTATTCTGCATCACTTTCAAGCTCTCCAGCTTGGATTAGTGCTCCCAAATGGAGGGGTAGTTGGAAATGGTGCAGTCCCAGCAGCAGGTAGGGTGACAGAAAGGATGGGCTGAGTGGCAGGCACAATCTCAGGATAGTCATTGGTGGCCTCAGTCTGCTCCTT
The DNA here is from genome assembly GCF_000001405.40 of Homo sapiens. Classification (NCBI taxonomy): domain Eukaryota; kingdom Metazoa; phylum Chordata; class Mammalia; order Primates; family Hominidae; genus Homo; species Homo sapiens. The sequence goes on from NC_000006.12 coordinate 26,612,277, forward strand.
TATGACTTCGTTGACCTACCAGAGTGCAGCTTTCTTGTCCAAGTTTTCTGCAGTGACTGCATAACCAAGTTGGGGAGTTGAAGACAGGATACCCTCCCCCTATGGCTTAGAAGGCTGTAGCAAAGTTTTGCTTTCATGAGGCCCAGAACTAACAGATGTGGGCGATGTATTCCTTGAGTTTTGCTTTGTTTTCTTCTGTGAGGGAGTGTCTGCAGCCTGAACCTCATTGTTTAATCCCTATACAGCAAAGTGTGGACAGATGTTTTTCTGTGCCTTTTTGTTTGTTTTTGAGAGGGAGTCTTGCTCTGACGCCAGGCTGGAGTTCAGTGGCATGATCTAAGCTCACTGCAACCTTAGCCTCCTGGGTTCAAGCTCTTCTGTGCCTTTTTTAGGGGAAGAGGATAATGAGTACTTTAGACATCAGGAGGGATGTGAAATTGCAAACTGGGACCTCCTCTCTTCCCTGTCTTTGAAATGTTTCCAGGAGAGCTGTAGGAGCTGCCAATGTCATTTCTGTTGGAGCTGAGGGGACCACTTGGGAATATGCTGGTCAAGGGGCTCTTGGAGGGATGATGAGACTTATTCTAGTGGTCATCTGAGCTCTGGGAATGGAGGTTTGGCTTCAAGGGACTCGGGCACCAAATAAACAGGGATCCCATTGGCTATCACAGTTGAATGTGAATATCTGGTCTCCTGGAGACTTGTTTTCCTGTCCTGGCTCAGGGAATATTGGGTCTTCCACTTTCATTTTTTTGCATTCTCTGAGGGCCTCGGTTTGATTTTTTGTGCCATAAGGGTCTGGAAGCTTTAAGGGTGCTTAGCTCAAAGTCGGCTTTGGTACTGGAAACTGGCTCACTTGGATGAGGTCAGGGGAAGCAATCTTGATGGTCACCAGGCTCCTGCAGGGTGACCTCCTGGCTAATCTGTGGAAGGGAGTGGGGCGAAACACATCAATGTATTGAACACTGCAGGGTCGTAGAGAGCCAGCGGCTGGCGGGCTTCTCCGAAAGCTCCTGGTCCCCCTAGGAAGGCGGCGGTGAGGGATCAGGCTTCTCCATGTAGAACTACCTTTGGTGAGTGATGTGGCTGGACCTGGGTTTTCGAGCTGGATACTGCCTCCAGGGAGTTTTCATTGGCTGCCGATGAGACCCCGCGCGAAGTGCACAGTGTTCTGGTGACAGGTGACCGTCAGGGATGAATGATGTGCACGGGTCTTCCGCGGCCCTGGAGCCCTTCTAGACAGCCAGCGCCCAGCACATGGGCACTAGGGACCACTGAGGTATAGCGACAACCCCAAAGAGCGTCCCCAGCCCCAGCTCTGCCACCCCCGTCCCCACCAGTTTCTCGTCCAGCCATCTCATTTATCACTTGCCTTAGCGAGGGCTTGGGAGACACCAAAGGAAAACAAACCCTGCGAAAGAGGAGCCCGGGCATCAGGACTGATAGGCCTACCCGGCTGCCTCATCTCCCGCTCCTGCTTAACTGCTGGAAGTCTCAGATTTGGGTTCCCGGGCACACGGGAACTCTCCCTCCGCGCTGTCCGGACCCTAAAGGCAAGTTGCCGGGGAAGGTTCCTTAACAAACAGCGGGCTTCCCGGTAGCCGGGTTCCCAGCCCAAGAACCTTCTCATTCACCTGCGCAGCGCCGCGGGACCTCACCCTTCCGGTGTGGTGCCAAGATCCAGACTGCCTGACTTGTTTTCGTGCCGCCGGACGGTGTGTTTAATCGATGCTGATGTTTTACTCTCTAGTTTGAGGACCCAGCGACAGGGCTTTAGCCCCTCTTCCTGCAGCTGCGGATAACAGACATTGGCTCTTTGGGAATTGCAGCGCGCTAGCCCAGGAGCGCCGCGCTGTCTGGGGACTGTGGGGCAGTGGTCCCTCGGGGCGGACAGAGCTTGGGTACAGGGGGCTCGCGCTCCCTGATCCCGGCTTCAAGGTTCAGCTTGAAGAGAGTCGGTTTACCTTTCCACCCACACCGGGCCCTGGTGCGGGTCGAAGGCCACAGGCTGAGAATTTGCTGGGAGGGGTCGGGAAGAAGCGTAGGAGCGCTGACCGCCTCCCCTTCCTCTTTCTCTGTCTTTGCGGGCGGCGCTACTTCCCTTTCCCGAATTCCGAGCCCCCCTCTCCAGGTCAAATGCTCGGCGCGGCCTTTCCGAGACTACCCGAGAAATTCTGACGGTGAGCGCCAGACAGCGGCGTGGTAGCGGCCTTCCAGGGAACTGCCTCTCGGGAGAGGAGGGGACGGGCGGGGAGAGGCCCTTGGCCCCTCTCATTCCCTGAGTCCCTGCGGCGGCGCCCCTCTTGGAGCTTGAGACCTCAGGGATTGAGGATCGCGGGGAGCCTCGGACACAGCAGGCAGGTGGTGTGGAAGGTGCCACCTTCATTCTTCGGTCTCTGGGGGCTCTGGCTTTTTCTTCTTACTGCCCATCGCTGGCGATCCCGGGGGGAAAGGGTCAAATGGCAAACTCTCTCGCAGGAAAATTCAAGTTTCCAGGGTTTTTGCCCCACAGGTCTTTAGAAATTTTTCGTTGAGTGAAAATTCTTCCTGGGTCCCTCTTCCTTCACGTCTCTCTCACCTATGACAACTTCAGATTGTGCACCAAGGATGGGAGGGAAGTTATCGGGAAAGGACAAGATTATATTTAGAATTCACTGGGGAGGTGGTGATTTCTGAAGACAGACCATGGGATCTTGGTCCTGTGCTTCTCAGGAGTCAGATGTGGAGCTGCTTTTGCCCTTGCTCTCGCACTGATCTCCCATAGGATCTGCATCTCCAGCCTCTCCAAACTCCAACTCATCCTACGCGGGACATCAAACCCACCTTTATACTGCCCAACGATAAAAAAATTGTTATTTCAAGGGCTCCTCAACCTTTGGATACAAAATGAGTTATCAGTAAAGCTAATTGGGATATTCCCAACTCACAGACCCCAGGGAGCAGCAGGGGGTGAGGAAGGATTTAGCAGCAGGACATCAACACCGGGGCGAGCAGTGCAGGCCTGATGGAGATGTGGCAGGGAGACACCTCAGTGCTGGAAGTCTGGATAAGGCACCAAGACCTCAGCACAGATCTGGGGTGTGTTCACAGTGGGCTTCTTTATTAGAGTGGAGAGTGGAAAATGGAAACAATGGAAATATCCAAAAAAAAATTGGAGTGTTTAATTAATATAAAGATAATTTAGATAAAGTCATGTGATGGGAAAACAGACAAGACAGACTGTGTGTGTGAGTGTTCTGTATCTTGTCCCTGATACACAGTATATTATGTAAATCATACTTCTATTTATATTTTAAAATGGCTATTGATATATAGATAGAGATGTGTTTACAAAGGCATAAAAGAACAATTGAAAGGATATAGATTGAACTGTAATAAAGTGATTAACTCTGGTTTGGGACTGGATTGGGAGGAATGGCAATGTTATAGTGGTATATTGTTCCAAATTTTCTACTTGTATTATATCTTTCCAGTAACAAAACAGTGAACATAATTATAATTTTATTTATTTATTTATTTTTGAGACAGAGTTTTGTTTTTGTTGCCCAGGCTGGAGTGCAATGGCGCGATCTCGGCTCACCACAACCTCTGCCTCCTGGGTTCAAGCGATTCTCCTGCCTCAGCCTCCCGAGTAGCTGGGATTACAGGCATGTGCCACCATGCCTAGCTAATTTTGTATTTTTAGTAGAGACAGGGTTTCACCATGTTGGTCAGGCTGGTTTTGAACTCCCAACCTCAGGTGATCCACCCTCCTCGGCCTCCCAAAGTGCTGGGATTACAGGTGTGAGCCACCACGCCCAGCCATAATTTTAATTTTAAAGGCAAAGAAAAAAAGAGTTCATTTTGGCAACTTGGAAGAATGGATTGGAAACCAAGAGTTTGGAGGCTGAGATGTGAAACAGTTCATTGGAAGAGTCAACATTATCCTGATATCAAGATCAAATAAAGACAGTACAGGAAAAGAAAAACTACTACTATCCTTCATAAATATAGACACAAAAATTCCCAGCAAAATAATAGGAATTTGAATCTGGCAATATATATTTAGAAATACAATTAGGAAAAAGGTAAGGATGTCCCTCTCATCACTCCTTTTCAGCATTTTACTGGAAGTTCTAGCTAATGCAATAAGACAAGAAAAGAAAATATAAGGTATACAGATTGGAAAGGAAGAAATAAAAACTGTCTTTGTTCACAGTATTGTCTATGTAGAAAATCTGAAAGAACTGAAAAAAATTCTTGGAACTAATAAGTGATTATAGCAATGTTGCAGGATATAAGGTTAATATACAAAAGTGAAATGTTTTCTATATACCAACAAAAAACAAGTTGAATTTGAAATTAAAAACACAATACCATTTACACCCACCCAAAATGAACATTAAATGCATACCACTAAGTGAAAAAGGCCAATTTGAAAAGGCTACATCCTGTATGATTCCAAATAATGTATATGACATTCTGGAAAAGGCAAAACTATATGAAGACAATGTAAGAACCAGTGGTTTCTAGGAGTTAAGAGTAAGGGAGGGTAGTAGGGAGGGATGAATAGACAAAGTACAGAGGATTTTAGGGAAAAACTGTTCTATATGATACTATTATGGTGGATACATGTCATTATACATTTGTCAAAGTCCATGGAATGTACAATACCAAGAGTGAACTTTAATGTAAACTATAGACTTTGAGTGATAGTGATGTGTCAGTGTAGGCTCACCAATTTTAACAAATGTACCACTCTGGTACAGGATGTTGATAGTGGAGGAGGTTCTGCATAGTGGAGGAGGTAGCAGGTATGTCGGAATTCTCTGTACTTTCTGCTCAATTTTGCTGTAAACCTAAAACTTCTCTAAAAAATAAATCTATTTAAAAACGCACCACTGGTAAATGGGGTTAATCCCTTAAGTGCAAGGCTGTTTGAATATTTGAAAATCAATCAATATTCTCTACTACATTAACAGATTAAAAAAGAAAATCACATTATCATATCAATGAATGTGAAAAAGCATTTGACAAAAATCAACCACCATTCATGATTAAAACTTTCAGCAAACTAGGAGGAGTTTGCTGTTCCTAGCAACTATTTTTGACCTAATAAATGACATCTACAAATTATGTATATTAGACAGCATATTTAATGGCAAAAGACTGAATGCTTTTCCTGAAGTTCAGGTACAAGTTAAAGATGCCCACTATCATCACTCTTATTCAATGTCTTACTGATATTTTTGACAGTGTAATAAGGCAAGAAATTGGCATAAAAAGTGGAAAGGAAGCAATAAAAAATGTTCCCATTCACAGATGACATTTCTGTCTACATAGAAAATCCAAGGAAATCTATAAAAAGTTCTTAGCACTGGCTGGGCATGGTGGCTCATGCCTATAATCCCAGGACTTTGGGAGGCCCAGGCAGGCTGATCACCTGAGGTCAGGAGTTCAAGACCAGCCTGACCAACATAGAGAAACCCTGTCTCTACTAAAAATACAAAATTAGCCGGGCTTGGTGGTGCATGCCTGTAATCCCAGCTACTCGGGATGCTGTGGCAGGAGAATCGCTTGAACCTGGGAGGCAGAGGCTGCAGTGAGCTGAGATTGCACCATTGCACTCCAGCCTGGGCAACATGAGTGAAACTCCATCTCAAAAAAATAAAAAATAAAAGATTCTTAGCACCAATAAGTAATGAGTTTGCAGAATACAAATTCATCATAAAAAAATCAATACTATATATACTATCATTGAATAATTGGAAACTAAAATTTTAAAACATACTGTGTACAGAAGCTCCAAAATATTAAATTACTTAGATATAAATCTAATAAACATGTGCAGAGTCTGTATATTAAAATTTACAAAGTGTTATAGACCTAAATCAAAGAACAGATAAATTAATGGAGGGATATACCATGTTCATAGATTGGAAGACTAAACACAGTTTAGATGTTAGTTCTCACAATCTGATCTATGAATGTAACCCAATTTAAATTAAAACCCATCATTATTTTGTTTGTATATGTATACAAGATGATTCTGAAATTCATATGGAAAGGCAAAGAATCAGAATGGCCAAAACAATTTTGAAAAAGAACACAATTGGAGATCTCAAACTAGCTATTATAAAAATTATTATAAAGAAACAGTCATTAAAAGTTTGGCAGCTGGGCTCGGTGGCTCACGCCTGTAATCCCAGAACTTTGGGAGGCCAAGATGGGCGGATCACGAGGTCAGGAGTTCGAGACCAGCCTGACCAACATGGTGAAACCCGGTATCTACTAAAAATACAAAAATTAGCCTGGTGTGGTGGCACATGCCTGTAATCCCAGCTACTCAGGAGGCTGAGGCAGGAGAATGGCTTCAACCCGGGAGGCAGAAGTTGCAGTGAGCCAAGTTCATGCCACTGCACTCCAGCCTGGTCAAGGGAGCAAGATTCCATTCCCCTCCACCCCCCACCCAAAAAAAAAGTTTGGTATTAGTGAAAAGATAGACTCACAAACCAGTGAAATAGAACAGAGAGTCCAGAAATAGACACATACAAATATACATAGTTGATTTTTTTTCCTTGAAAATTATACTACTTTATTTGGAGTAGAGACAGAGGAAAGAGTTTGGAATGATATTATCAAAAATATGTGTGTGGTATCTAGAGCAAGGCCATTTACTATGTATAATGGAAATGAATAAGAAAACAACTGTGAACTCATACAAAATCAATAATTTTAATCATAACATCATAGCTAAAAATATTAAGAGATTTAAGAATAATTCACTTATTCTTTTAGTGTCAAAAACTCAAGGGACTCCATCATCTCCTCATTTTCTTTAAAAAATCTGTCTGCATATTAATGTTCTAATCATGTCAATATAGAATGAAGAAAATATTTAAAATTGACAGACTGACATTATAGGAAAGGATGCTTTCAGCCGGGCGCAGTGGCTCATGCCTGTAATCCCAGCACTTTGGGAGGCTGAGGTGGGCGGATCACGAGGTCAGGAGTTTGAGACCAGCCTGACCAATATGGTGACACCCCCGTCTCTACTAAAAATACAAAAATTAGCCAGGCGTGGTGGCGTGCGCCTGTAGTCCCAGCTACTCAGGAGACTGAGTCAGAAGGATCGCTTGAACTTGGGAGGCAGAGGTTGCAGTGAGCCAAGATCACGCCATTGCACTCCAGCCTGGGTGACAGAGCAAAACTCGTGTCTCAAAAAAAAAAAAAAAAAAAAAAGGATGCTTTCAAAATTATACACGTTGTGCAGAGATTTAATGCTCAGTTCAAAGATGAACAACAGAGAGCATGTACCTGGCCTTATTTCTCCTGGTTTTCAAGGAATCATGATCTTTGATAGGTTTCTTGAGAAATGCCACAAAAAAGAACAACAAAAACGTTCTGGAATTTTCTATTCTTTAAAAAAGAAAATGGACCAAAAAATAATAAAGTATAACTTTTTGCCATAGAAAAGATAACAAGCAAAGAACTACAAAGTCAAACACAGATTCAGAAGACACTTGCTCATGAGCAGCTTTGTCTTTTTTAGCCGAATCTACAGCCATAATTCCTGATTCAGATATGTATTTTTATTGAAGATTACTTTTTTTTTTTTAACATACTAACTGAATCACAGGCCGTTTACAGTTAAAGAAGTAGCAGTGGGTAAACAGATGTCACTGGAAAACAGTACAGATCACAAACAGTTCAGGGATGAAACTCTGAATGTAGCATCTTCAGTGAAACTTGAAAAGGCCTTTTTGAACACACACTGTTACGTGAGTGTGGGCAATTGATTTTTGATAAAGGTGCAAAGGAATTCAACGGAGAAAAAATAAAGTATTTTGTTGTTGTTGTTGTTTGTTTTTTTGAGACAGGGTCACATTCTGTCATTCAGCCTGGAGTGCAGTGGCATGATCATGGCTCACTGCAGCCTCCATATCCTGGTCTCAAGTGATCCTCCTACCTCAGCCTCCCAAGTAGCTGGGACTTACAGGTGTGCACCACCATGCCGGGCTAATTTTCATTTTTTTGTAAAGATGGGGTCTCATTATGTTGCCCAGGCTAGTTTCAAACTCCTGAGCTCAAAGCAGCCTCCTGCCTTTGTCTCCCAAAGTGTTGGGATCACAGGCATGAACCACTGCACCCCACATAAAGTATTTTTAACAAGCGCTGTTGAAACAATTCAGCATCCGTATGTAAAAATAACAAGCCTTCACCAAAACTTCATGCTGTATATAAAAATTCACTTAATATGAATCATAGACCTAAATGTAAAATCTAAATTAGCTATTAAAACTTTTAGAAGAAAGCATGAGAAGAATTTTGTGAGCTGACATTAGGCAAAGACTTCTTAGATATTAGATACTAGAACTAGCCTAACATTTCTTTGGTGGAATGTTTATTCAAGTCCACTGCCCATTTTAAAATTAGTTGTTTTTGCTACTGAGTTGTAGGAGTTCTTTACACATTTTGGATATTAATCTCTTATCAGAGATATGATTTGCAAATATCTTCTACCATTCTGTAGGTTGTCTTTTACTTTCTATGATAGTGTACTGTGATACACAAGTTATTAATTTTGATGAAGTCCAATTTATTTATTTATTTTGCTGCCTGGACTTTTGGTGTCTGTCATATTTATGAAATCGTTGTCAAATCCAATGTCATAAAGATTTCCCCCAATTCTTTTTCTAAAAGTTTTATAGTTTTAGCTCTTGAGTTTAATTTTTGTGTATGATATAAAGTAAGGGTCTAACTTGAATCTTTCACATTGTGAACAAATGTGAACCTGAAAGAGCCAATCTTTAAGATGGACCTTAAGTGGCTAATTGGGCCTAGATTTAAAATACAGCCAAGTGGCCTTTTATTGATTAGAGGTCACACCGGTACTCTGAGATTCCTTGAAAACGCTATCTCTGTTCAACTTAGGAACTTTCAGAGCTGATCTGAGCCAACCAATCAGAGCTCACCTGTACCACCCAATCAGGGCTCAGCTGTATTGATGAATCAGAACTCAGCTGCATCAACCCATGGGAACTAAAGCAAATTTCAAACTTTAATTTGCATAAAGGGACTAATTGGGAACCTTGGCGGGAACGTTTGCTATAAAACCCTCTCTTTGTCCTCTGGAACACACCTTTGTTTTTAAAGGCTGCTGCATCTCCCCATTTGCAAACTGTTCACTGGACAAAAGTCACTTTCCTGTAAATTTCTTTTCAGAGAACTTTTGTTCACAATATGTGGGTCTCTAGCACCATTTCTTGAAAAGGCTCTCCTTTCCCCATTGAATTCTCTTGCCACCCTATCAAAAATGAGTTAGTCATATATCTGAGGATTTATTTCTGGACACTATTCTATTCCATGGACCTATATCTTCATATGCTACTACTATACAGTTTTGATTACTGGAGTGTCATAGTAAGTTTCAGACAGGTCAGGAAGTTTGAATCCTTTAATTTTATTCTTATTTTTCAAGATTGGTTTGGCTGTTAATGGCTCCTTGCAATTCCATAAGCACTTGAGAATCTGCTTTTCCATTTAGGTGAAAAGGGCTGTTGGATTTTTAATAGAGATTTCTTTAAATCTGTAGATCAGTTTGGGTAGTGTTAGCAGTGGAATATTAAGTATTCCTATCCATGAATGTGGGATGTCTTTCCATTTATTTTTTGTAAATTTTTTTCAGCAATGTTTTGTAGTTTTCAGTATACATGTCCTTCAGCTTCTTGGTTAGATTTATTCCTAAGCAGTTAATTATTTTAGATGTTATTATAAATGGACTTGGTTGTTAATTTCCCCTTTCTGATTATTCACTGTTGGTGTATATTAACACAACTGATTGGTGTGTGTTGATCTTGAAAACTGAAATTTTGCTAAATTAGTTTAGTAGCTCAAGTAGCCTTTTGTAGATTCTTTGAGATTTTCTTCATAGAGGATTCTGTTATCTGTGAATAGAGATGGTTTTACCTTTTCCTTTCCAATCTGGATGCCTTTTATTTCTTCTTCTTGTAATTTCTTCTATTATTAACATATTATAGCAGTATAATTATTTGTTACAATTGATGAACTAATTATTACATTATTATCACATTATTAACTAATAGATGTAGCATTCATATTTCCTTAGTTTTTACCTAATGTCCTTTTTATGTTCCAAGATCCAATCCAAGGTACCACATTTAGTTGTCATATCTCCTTAGGCTCCTCTTGGCTATGCCAGTTTCTCATACATATATTTTTAGTTTTGACGTCTTTCACAGTTTTGAGGAATGAAGATGATCAGGTCCCAGTGGATCCTGGATTCAAAGTCCAGAGTGCTAATCATTACACCAAGAGGTCTGGCAAATTGACCAATTTTTACTTTTATGGATTGTAATTTTGGTGTCAAGTCTAAGAACTCTTAATTTTTAGCACTAGATCTCAAAGATTTTCTTCTGCTTTTTTCACAAGTTTAATAATTTTACTTATAGAATATTACACTTAATGCAAAAGCCCACCAACCAAAGGCCAGCAGGGAGCACACTTACAGATAAACAAAATTAGATTTATTAAGCTTCCTGTGGTAAACCAGAATGCACCCCAGAGGAACCTGCAGAAATCAGTAAGGAAGAGATGGGAAGTTAATTTTTTTAGAAAAATAGGGTTTGGCCTGTACTAGCTGTCTTCACCTCCAGTTGAAGACATTGATTTAGCTGTTTGCTGATTTAGCTTCTAGAAGAGGTTCAAATACCAATGGTGAATATGTCAGTTTTGGCTTAGCTTGATTGATAGTTTTAGTTTTTATTTTCAGGTATGAACCTTGAACAAACAAAATTAAATCAGGGTTATCCAAAGGAGTTTCCAAGAGAACTATAAGGGGTATGGGTAGTTCACAAACAGAAGTTAAAATATTGTGTGGGCCTGGAGCAGTGGCTCATGTCTATAATCCCAGCACTTTGGGAGGCTGAGGCAGGTGGATGGCTTGAGCCTAGGAGTTCGAGACCAGTCTGGGCAACATGGCGAAACCCCATCTCTACAAATAAATTTAAAAAAAAAATGAGCTGCGTGTGGTGGCGCATGCCTGTAGGCCCACCTACTCAGGAGGCTGAGGATCACTTGAACCCAGGAGGCAGAGGCTACAGTGAGCCATGTTCACACCACTGCACTCCAGTCTGGGCAAAAGACAGGGACTTTGTTAAAAAAAAAAAAAAAAAGAAACAAGGAAAGAAAGAGAGAGAGAGAAAGAAAGAAAGAGAAAGAAAGAAAGAAAGAAAAGAAAGAAAGAAAGAAAGAAAGAAAGAAAAAAGAAAGAAAGAAAGAGAAAGAAAAAGAGAAATGAGATAAGGGAAAGTGTTACTAGATTAAGGGTATTATAAAGATGAATAGTGGATATGTAAAGATGAAATAGATAGGAAAGGCATAACATCTTCAGAGCCTTTAATTTTTCTCATAGAGTATAATATGAATACCACTTAATGATGAAGGTATTTAAGGCCAGAGACAAAATCTTTTTTGCAATCAATTTGTTGACGGTTATTGTGTCAGTCTTTATATCTGAAAACCAGTATTTTTATTTTAAGAAGGACACAACTGTTTCAGCAACCATTAAAATATTATATTTTTTGACTTCATCTTTTAATAAAATTTAAAAATGTTAATTAATAGACTTTATTTTTTCCTTTTTTTTTTTTTTTTTTTTTTGAGACCACATTTCGCTCTTGTTGACCAGGCTGGAGTGCAATGGTGCAATCTCAGCTCACCACAAACCTCCGCCTCCCGGGTTCAAGTGATTATCCTGCCTCAGCCTCCCCAGTAGCTGGGATCACAGGCATGTGCCACCATGCCCAGCTAATTTTGTATTTTTAGTAGAGACGGGGTTTCTCCATGTTGGTCAGGTTGGTCTCGAACTCCCAAACTCAGGTGATCTGCCCGCCTCAGCCTCCCAAAGTGCTGGGATTACAGGTGTGAGCCACCACTCCTGGCGAATAGACTTTATTTCTTTGAAGTACTTTTAGGTTTATAGAAAACTTGAGCAGAAAGTACAGAGAGATTCTATATGCCCCCACACCACCCACAGTTTCTTCTATTAATATATTACATTTGTGTGATACATTTATTACAACTGATGAGCCAAGATTGATATATTATTATTTAACTAAAGCCCATAGTTCACATTAGGGTTCAGTCTTTGTGTTGTACATTATAGGGGTTTTAACAAATGTATAATGTAATATATCTACCACTACAGTATCATAAAAATAGTTTCACTGACCTAAAAATTCCCAGTGCTCTATCCATTTGTCCCTCCCCCAACTCACCCCCATTCTGGAGAACATTGATCTTTTTACTGTCTTCTAATAGTTTTATCCTTTTCAGAATGTCATATAGTTGAAAGTATATAGTATGTAGCCCCTTAAGATTGGCTTCATTCACTTAGAAGAATGCTTTTAAGGTTCCTCCATGTCTTTTTTGTGGATTGATAGCTCATTCCTTTTTATTTGTTGAATACTATTCCATTGTATAGATGTACCACAGTTTGTTTATCCATTTGCGTAGTGAAGGACTTCTTGGTTACTTCCAAGTTTTGGCAATTATAAATAAAGCTGCTATAAACATCTGTGTGCAGGTTATTGTGTGGACATATGTTTTTAACTCATTTGGGTAAATATTAAGGAATAGGATGGCTGCATCATATGTTAAGATTATGTTTAGCTTTAAAAGAAACTGCAAAAATGTCTTCCAAAGTGGCTGTATCATATGGCTTTTTCCTATCAGCAATGAATGAGAATTTCTACTGTTGCATATCTTGGCCAGCATTTGGTGGTGTCAGTGTTTTGGATTTTTGACATTCTAATAGTGTGTAATGCAATTTCATTGTTGGTTTAATTTTCAGTTCCCTAATGGCATACAATGTTGGGTATCTTTTCATATGGTAATTTGTCATCTGTATATCTTTTTTGGTGGTGTCTGTTTAGATCTTTTGCCATTTTAAAAATTGGGTTGTTGTCTTAGTGAATTTTTTTTTTTTTTTTTTTTTTTTTTTGAGAGGAGTCTCGCTCTGTTGCCCAGGCCGGACTGCGGACTGCAGTAGCGCAATCTCGGCTCACTGCAAGCTCCGCTTCCCGGGTTCACGCCATTCTCCTGCCTCAGCCTCCCGAGTAGCTGGGACTACAGGCGCCCGCCACCGCGCCCGGCTAATTTTTTGTATTTTTAGTAGAGACGGGGTTTCACCTTGTTAGCCAGGATGGTCTCGATCTCCTGACCTAATGATCCACCCGCCTCGGCCTCCCAAAGTGCTGGGATTACAGGCGTGAGCCACCGCGCCCGGCCCCTCTTAGTGAATTTTTAAAGCCTTCTTTGTATATTTTGAATACAAGTTCTTTATTGATACATGGTTTGCCAGCATTTTCTCTCAATATGTGGCTTGTCTTTTCATTCTTTTAACACGATCTTTCACAGAGAAGTTTTCAATTTTAGTGAAGTTCAGCTTACCAGTTATGTCTTTCATGGATTGTACTTTTGGTGTCGTGTCTAAAAAAAATCACCATTGCCCGGGCGTGGTGGCTCACACCTCTAATCCCAGCACTTTGGGAGGCTGAGGCAGGTGGATCAACCTGAAGTCAGGAGTTCGAGACCAGCCTGACCAACATGGTGAAATCCCATCTCTACTAAAAACACAAAATTAGCTGGGCATGGTGGCGCATGCCTGTAATCCCAGCTACTCAGAAGGCTGAGGCAGGAGAATTGCTTGAACCCAGGAGGCAGAGGGTGCAGTGAGCAGAGGTGGCACCATTGCACTCCAGCCTGGGCAACAAGAGCAAAACTCCTAAAAAAAAAAAAAAATCATCAAATCAAGTGTCCCTAGATTTTCTCCTACATCATCTTGTAGAAGTTTTATAGTTTTGTGTTTTACAGATTAGGCCTATAATCCATTTTGAGTTAAATTTTGTGAAAGTTGTAAGGTCTGTGTCTAGATTTCATTCTCTTCCAGTAACTCTCCTATCATTATTTTGGATATTTATTTTGTGTTTCTGCAGTATTAAATCTCCTTTTCCCTCTATCTCATATCTTCTCGTGGCTTGGTTTCTTCACTCAATTCAATGGATCATATCACTCAATATTTTTCTTGGCCAGGCGCAGTGGCTCACACCTGTAATCTCATCAAATTGGGAGGCCAAGGCGGGTGGATCACCTTAGGTCAGGAGTTCAAGACCAGCCTGGCCAACATGGTGAAACCCTGTCTCTACTAAAAATACAAAAAATTAGCCGGGCATGGTGGCACATGCCTGTAATCCCAGCTACTCGGGAGGCTGAGGCATGGGATTCACTTGAACTCGGGAGGCAGAGGTTGCAGTGAGCCCAGATTGTGCCATTGCACTCCAGCCTGGGCAACAAGAGAGAAACTCTTGTCAAATTTTCTCTGAGAAAATGTGCATTTGGGATAGATTTTTGAGACCTTAAATGTATTTTTGTCACCCTCACTTTTTTTTTTTTTTTTTTTTTTGAGACAGGGTTTCACTCTATTGTCCAGGCTGGAGTGCAGTGGCGCCATCTCAGCTCACTGCAACCTCCGCCTCCCAGGCTCAAGCGATTCTCCTGCCTCAGCCTCCCAAGTAGTTGGGATTACAGGTGCACACCATTACAATCGGCAAATTTTTGTATTTTTAGTAGAGACAGGATTTCACCATGTTGGCCAGGCTGGTCTCAAACTCCTGATGTCAAGTGATCCACCCGCCTTGGCCTCCTAAGGTGCTGGAATTACAGACGTGAGCCACCACGCCAGGCTAACCCTCACGTTTAATTAAAAATCTGATGGGTTAAGGAATTGTAGGCCACAAAACATTTTACTTCTGTATTTTAAAGGCATGACCATTGTTTTATAGCTTTCAATGTTGCCATAAGAAGAAAATTTTCATTCCTAAGTTTTGGTATGTTATCTGTATCTTTCTGTGAGAAAGTGAATAAAATCTACTCTTCATCGTAGTGTTTTGAATTTCAAGATGACATGCCTTAATTGGGTCCATTTTATCCACAGTTCTGAGATACTAGGTCTTTCTTTCCTTTCTTTTTTTTTTTTTTTTTTTTTTTTTTGAGACAGAATCTCACTCTATCACCCAGGCTGGAGTGCATGGCTCACTGCAGCCTTGATCTCCTGGGCTCAGGTAATCCTCTCACCTCAGTCTCCTGAGTAGCTGGGACCACAGGTGTGTGCCACCATGCCCAGCTAACTATTGTATTTTTAATAGAGATGGGATTTCGCCATGTTGCCCAGGCTGGTCTGGAACTCCTGACATCAAGTTATCCACCCATTTCAGCCTCCCAAAGTGCTAGAATTACAGGTGTGAGCTATCGCACCCAGCCTACTGGCAGGTCTTTCAATTTGAAAACCTATATTCTTTAGGGTTAACATTTATTTTCTTTTATCTAATGAACTATTTTATCTGTTTTCTTTGGAATTCCAAATACTTTGGCATTGGAGATTCCTGGGCTGTTCCTCTAACATTTTTTTTCTCTTTCTTATTATCAAAATTCTTTTTGTCTGAAACCTCATCTTTATTTTCCAAACATTTACTGAATTTTTCATTTTTGCTATCATATTTTTAACATCAACATCTTTTCCTTGTTTCATTTACGTGTAACTTTTATTGTGTGTGCATACTGATAACTTTCTCCTTGAATATTCTGTCATCCATGGTTCTCCCTCCCATTCATTTATTTCAGATTTTTTTCAGATGCCTGGTGTTTCTTATTTGATCTATCCATGTTTAAAAATCATAGGCTAAAAACTGGCAGCAGGCCAGGCACGATGGCTCACGCCTGTCCTGTAATCCTAGCACTTTGGGAGGCAGAGGTGGGTGGATCACTTGAAGTCAGGAGTTCAAGACCAGCCTGGCCAATATGGGGAAACTTCATCTCTACTAAGAATACAAAAATTAGCCGGGCATGTCGGCGCATCCCTGAAATCCCTGCTACTCAGGAGGCTAACGCAGGAGAACTGCTTGAGCCCAGTAGGCAGAGGTTGCAGTGAGCAGAGATCGCGCCACTGCACTCCAGCCAGGACGACAGAGCAAGACTCCATCTCAAACAAAACAAAACAAGACAAAAAAAAAACAAAAAAACTGGCAACATTTAAAATGTAGTGGGGCTTGTTGACAGTGATCTTCACTAGAGGGTAATGTGGTAGGGCCATGTTTTCGGCATTGATGATGTTCGTTTCTTTACAGCTCTCCTCTTCACTTGGTCAGATTTACCAAGTAGAACTCTTTCAATGACATGCCTGGAAGCTAAGGACTGCCTAGCCTGAAATCTGGCAGTAGAGTTGGATAAGACTGCCACGATTTTGTAGCTAGCATGAATAAATTTGTGTGATAATTCTATTTCCATCCTCCCACTCCATGCTACCCATCACATCATCTGTGCCTTGTGTCCTTCATTCAAGATACTATCTGTTTCATCCTCTTTCTGCCAGGGTTGGAAAGACAAGAGAGAGAGAGAGCTTTTATACATTCTTCCTTATTTTAGCCCTTCACCAATTATCCCTCAGATCCAGAAGTACCTATGGTCATAAATTTCTGAGTCTTTAGAAAATCCTGTGGTGTAACTTAGGCTGATTTTTAGCTTTTCCCACTGCAAGCTTAGAACTCAGTTTTCTCTTTTCAATATAAAATATTTTTTCAATATAAAATATGATTCATTTTTTCTTGTCTTTTATGGCTATACAGTTGACCTTTGAACCACACTGGTTTGAATTACCAAGGTCCATTGTTACGTGAATTTTTTTCCTACTAAACGCAAATGGAAAATACAGTATTTGTGGGATGTGAAATCTGCCTACAGGGAGGGCTGACTTTTAGTTTCCGTGGTTCTGCAGGGCTGACTGCTGGACTTGAGTAAGTCCAGATTTTGGTATACCACAGGGTCCTGGAAACAATTTGCTGCACCTACTGAGAGATGGCTGTACTTTTTTTTTTCTTCAAAATCAATTTTTGTGTCCCATTTGTTTAGAAGCTCTATATTCTATATCTATTACTTTTTGCATTTGTCATAAAACTTTAAGACCCATAATTAAACAATTAAAATTAATCAACATGTTTACAATTCTCCCAATAGAATGACACTAGAACACTTTTGTCTTACAACTTTCCTCTCAAATTTTGTGATATTATTGTTCAGTAGGCTGTTCACTCTGTGTAAATCACTTACCATTATTGTTTCATATATTGTATATTTGTTAATATACACCTACCTAGTGATATCATCTCTCCTCATCATTTCTGCATTTCTCTTTCTTGGAAACATATATGTAAGTGTAAAGAGATTGTGCAACTGTATTTCTACATCTTACCAAATATTACTTAATATTTTTATGTGCATATGTATCAAATGTCTGTAGAAGGACACATGACAATGTGATAACACTGTCTTTGGAAAGGAATTAAGTGACTAGATTTAAGTAAGGATGATCAAAGGAGACGTTTTAAATGTAATGTTTCAAAATTTTTAACCTTTAAATGTTGAGATAAATGTGGATTCACATGCAGTTGTAAGAAATCATACAGAGAAATCCCAGTTTCTTCCAATGATAACCACTATTTTGCAAAATTAGTACAATCATACAACCTGGATATTGACAATGATACAGCCAAGCTACAGAACATTTCTATCACCCCATGGATACATCATGTATCCTTGGATAACTACACCTACCTCACTCCCCAACCCTTATACATGACAACCACTAAGCTGTTCATTTCTATAATTTATCATTTTAAGAATGTTATAAATGGAATCATACAGTATATAAACTTTAGTATTGGCTTTTTTCACTCAGAACAATTATTTTAATTTTCTTACTAGTAGATATTATTTTCCTGCTTGAGGAATTATGATTTATTTTTCTAAGGACAAGACAATATGGATGATCAGGGTTTTTTTGTTTGTTTTTTTGAGATGGAGTTTTGCTCTTGTTGCCCAGGCTGGAGTGCAATGGAGTGATCTCGGCTCACCGCAACCTCTGCCTCCCGGGTTCAAGCGATTCTCCTGCCTCAGCCTCCCAAGTAGCTGGGATTACAGGCATGCGCCACCATGCCCACCTAATTTTATATTCTTAGTAGGGATGGGGTTTCTCCATGTTGGTCAGGCTGGCCTTGAATTCCTGACCTCAGGTGATCCGCCCACCTCGGCCTCTCAAAGTGCTGGATTATAGGTTTGAGCCACTGTGTCTGGCCTGGATGATCAGGTTTTATTCTTTATTAGTTGAGATAATTATATTTGTAATTGAATTATGATTATTGAACTGCATTCTTTTTGGTTGTTGATTTCTCATTTTCTCAAAGCAGATGCCCAAAATCTGTGGAGGTGGTTGTCATTGCAAAGAAGTACCACAGGGCTTAAAAAGGCAAAGTTCACCCCAATGAACTTCTTAGTATTCAAAAACAGGTTCAGTTTTTGAAAAATAACCTAGACTGAAGGAAACAATCATATCAAGCCCACAGGAAAAAATGAAGCACAGGGTCAAAATGATCGTCTCTTTAGTTGCTTTCATCCCAGGGCTTTTTTTTCTTGGAGATGGAGTTTCACTCCTGTTACCCAGGCTGGAGTGCAATGGTGCGATCTCGGCTCACTGCAACCTTTGCCTCCCGGGTTCAAGTGATTATCCTGCCTCAGCCTCCCGAGTAGCTGGGATACAGGCATGCACCACCACGCCCAGCTAATTTTGTATTTTTAGTAGAGATGGGGTTTCTCCATGTTGGTCAGGTTGGTCTCGAACTCTCAACCTCAGGTGATCCGCCTGCCTCAGCCTCCCAAAGTGCTGGGATTACAGGCCTGAACCACCGCGCCCGGCCCCAGGGTTCATTTTGAATTAGGGGCCCGACCTGTGAAGGTGCTGTATTTGCTCGTGATGTCTGTAGAGGGGATGCATCCTATACCCACTCGTCCAGCACATAAAACCCAGGAGGGGAAACGTCATGAATGTGAAATGCCATGAACGTGAGAAAGAATCACCTAATAAAATTATCCGTTAGCAAAACAGAGCAAGATTTCACAATGTATCTGGATACAGTCTCATTCTTGAGGGCTGTAATTGAGATAAAATTAAGTTGGAAAATATGAGTAAATTAAATTAAGAATTCAAACAAAAAGGAGTAAAGGGCACACAATGGTTTTCTGGTTTTGAGCACTGATCAATAGGGGTTACAAAGGCCAATGATGATGGCATAAAGAATGCTTAAGTGGCTTGTCTAACAGATGGAAAGGCCACGTGACACTGTGTAGCTATTTGTCTTAAAAATAACATAATGTATGAGAGTTCTCAAGACCAAAGCTTAAGAATCCTTGGGGATTCCTATAATACAAGCCACTAACATGTGGACCAATGAGAAGTGGGTTATTAGTAGGCATATGGGCCTCTGCTTGAGACTCACAATGAAAATATGAGCATAGCTCACAAAGAGAATGGCATTCCCCATGACATCAAGTCTAGCTTAGAAAAGAAAAGCGGGCAGGTGCAGTGGCTTAGTTCTGTAATCCCAGCACTTTGGAAGGCTGAGGTGGGCAGATCACTTCAGCTTGGGCTCAGGAGTTCAAGTCCAGCTGGACAACATAGTGAAAACCCCATCTCTACAAAAATTAGCTGGGTGTGGTGACTTGTCCCTGTAGTCCCAGCTACTCAGGAGGCTGAGGTGGGAGAATGGCTGGAGCCTAGGAGGTGAAAGTTGCAGTAAGCAGAGACTGCACCACGGTACTCCAGCCTGGGCAACAGACACACACCTTGTCTCAAAAAATAAATACAATAAATAAAATAAAATAAAACAATTGCCAGGATGCCATGTGTTGAAATCAATCCAACACTTTATAAGCTGCGTAACTGCAGGATCAACTTCTATAACCTGTTTTTTAAAATTCTGCAATTTAGTGATTATTACCTGTGAGGACTAAACTCCAGTTTTTTATCCTGCCTAAATTCCTATCTAAGGGGTTTGGAGAGTCATGCCCTGAAAATCATAAATTCTCATCAGATGGGT
The DNA here is from genome assembly GCF_000001405.40 of Homo sapiens. Lineage (NCBI taxonomy): Eukaryota > Metazoa > Chordata > Mammalia > Primates > Hominidae > Homo > Homo sapiens. Next base: position 26,632,262 of record NC_000006.12, read on the forward strand.
TTTATTTAACCCTATAGATTGTGACTTACTTTCCAAACTGACTCTGCTGTATGGTTAACTTCTAGGTTTTTATTTGGTGGAGAAGATTGCTCTTGTCACTTTGGAGTCTCATGCATTTGAGTTCAATTGGAACTGAGCTAAGTGTGTATGTTACAATGGCATTTGTATTATTTAGCAGCATTTGCAGCCCACCTCCATTTCCTAAATCCATTTGTCACACTCTTAGACTGGTCTGTGTTCTTGCATCTGGGAAAGGAGATAGCAGAAAGTAGCAAAATGGGTACTGGGTTTTTTGTTTGTTTGTTTGTTTGTTTTTTGTAGCTCTTGAGTTTCAGAAGCAGAACCTATTACAGCAATGAAGGGGCCACAAAGTCAGTACTCTAAGGGAAAACAATCATACAACTCAATCTTTATGCCATTTGGCTTGAGTTTTTTTGTTTTTTTTTTTCCAGATAGGGTCTGGCTCTGTCACCCAGGCTGGAGAGCAGTGGCACAATCTCAGCTTTCTGCAGCCTCTACCTCCTGGGCACAAGCGATCCTGCCACCTCAGCCTCCAGAGTAGCTAGGACTACAGGTGGGCACTACCATGCCTGGCTAATTTTTGTAGAGACAGGGTCTTGCCAGTCTGGTCTCTAACTCCTGAGCTCAAGCAATCCGCCTGCCTCCACTTCCCAAAGTACTGGGTTACAGGTATAAGCCACCGTGTTTGGCTTCATTCTGCTTGAGTCTAAGTGTCTAAGTGTTTGCATCAAGTGTCTTAGATACATAAATGCCACCACTTAAAAATCTTAATTATTTTTTCCTGCTTTTCCTAGTAACTGTCCTGTCTAGGGGACTACCTTTTTTATTAGCTTTTTCAAAGAATAATAAGGTGTTGGTTTTACTGATTCTCTGCATTATCTTTTTGTTATTTTCTATTAACTTTCCTGTCTAGGGGACTATCTTTTTTATTAGCTTTTTCAAAGAATAAGGTGTTGGCCAGGATGGTCTCCATCTCTTGACCTCGTGATCCACCCGCCTCAGCCTCCCAAAGTGCTGGGATTACAGGCGTGAGCCACTGCGTCTGGCCTACCCCAACTTTTTAAGTTTCCTTTGCCAGATGGAAGGATTCCCTCTGCAAGTGTTAACTGCTTTCAGCTTCTCTCACTCATTTAAAATCCAAATCCCTGCCTGGGGAAAGTGATGACACAAGCTGATGTTTCAGGGACAAAGAAGCTTCAATTGCACTATGAGTTTCTTTTCTCAATAAACAATGTAAAGACCATTTCAAGAAACACTTGCGGTGTGTGCGCTGGATAGCACTTTTCCCTGTCTACTTCACCAGAGACACTGAAGCACACATCATTTCTCTTTCAGTTACTTCTGGGGGTCACGGTTATTATTTTTCCCAGAAATATTTCTCACAACAGTCCACTTCAATGTTGGGAGTAGTATCACTTTAAGTTAGAAAAATAAGCATGAAGGCTGCAAGTCTTGTTCTACCTACACAACTCTATATGAATCTCAGGAGGAAAAAACAAACTTAAAGCTGTACCTTTTCCCTTCCCTGTTTCATCCACATCATACCTCCTTCTTATCCTCTTCTCACAATGAAAGCCACTTAAAACTCTGGCATCTACTCTGTTGGTAGAGCAGACAGACATAAACTAGGACAAACTTTATAATGGTGGGTAAATTAGAGCAACTATTTTTATACCATCTCCATCCCACTCTAATTCAACAAATAAGACCAAGAGGGAAGAATTGGAACCAAATGTGGATTTCACTAGGAATTATAAATGTAAAATCTTCCCTAATTTTGAGGGGGTCACTCACACAAAAAAACCATAGATGGTTTTGCTGCTAATGAATTTCAGCAGGGCCTCAAACATGGTCAGTTCAAACTATTAGCCCCATTTATGGAATGTGGTGCAGAGGTTCCAAAAGGATGCAATGTCCACAGCGGAGCATAGACAATATTCCTTCTGTTCCTCTCTGCCTCGGCATCCAAAATTGCTGGAATTATAGAGATGGTCCAGTGGTTATCTCTACCTCCATGTCTAAGTATCACATTATTAACCACTTCATTCTAATCCAAGTGTAGAGGAAATGCTGTTTCTCTCAGTACAGTGGAGACGGAAATGGAGTTTTTCAGAACAAATGTTTATTTAATAATTAAGGGCAAACAAAAACATTAAAGCATAGGAATACATCAACTGAATACAAGTTGTCTTGTTTGGTCTGAAATCTTGAAAAAGTTAATCTAACTACTTACCTGAGGTAGATTTAGGTTGGCACTGCTTCAAGGGAACCTCCGTCCATCCCAGAAGTTACCTTCTAGTTTTGGTTACAGGCTCCCAAGTGGTCCTCTCCAACCTCAGGTTATGCTATATGAATAATACCAACACCTTTTTCTCCCATGGTTAAAAGCCTTCAGCCTTGTTTCATACCCCCATAGTTCTCTGTTTGGGGGATGGTCCATCATTAATTTACTTAAAAACTAGAGACAACTACCAGTAAGATCAGTTGAAAGAAGGGTCAAGTCATTGCCCTGTTAATGATACCAACTTTGACCCCTTCTCCATGTTCTCTCTAATGACTAACAAGTAGCCGTAAGGACTACTTTTCATCACCACCATGCCTCACACCCAATACTATTTTAAGTATACTACAAATGTCAAACATATACTAGTGATAGGCATGATTTTCACCAGAGAAAAAAAATACATCTTGTGTGTCTTATACTGGGCAACTTTTTATGATACAAGAGCTATTTCTAAATATTACAAAAACATGTCAGATCAAATAAACTTCCAGGATCTTTTTCTAAAAGAAAAAAAAATACCCTAGAATCCTTATTATCACTATGAGCTATATTCACTGGCCCTAATATTATCATGATCATCAACCAGTCATTAGGATCAAAGCTTAGAGCCATACACAAGGTAGCAGTGTAGCAGTTCGCCAACTCCATGAATCCAAATGGCAATACTCTCTGAAGTTCAGGGATCTGCTAGGACAAATCAAACCAAAATCAGAGGATTTGGACTAGCAACAAAGTATCTATTCACTAGTCTACAAAGTCCCAAATACTATAGGAATCTGAAGTATTGGTATTACACGTCTTTGAATCTCAGGGAAGAAAAAAACTGAGATGTGACCATTGATAGATCTCTAGATTAATTATAGTATTTCTAGAGAACATTAAAGACAATCCTAATTATACTTTTAAATTGGAAACAAGTACTTATCCTTAAGCCTCTGATGAATCTGCCAACTACTTTTCCCTTCTAGTATTTAGAATTCTGCATTCCACGCCATATACCTTATAATGTGGTGATTGCAATCCTTTCCCTGGGATTAAAAGGTATTTTCTCTTTCCTTGGCAGAACTGAAATAAATGAAAGACGTATCATTATGGGTCTTGATTTGCTATAAACAGCAGGATAATGGAGTGAAAAGAACACTAGGTTTGGAGTTAGGATACTCAAAATAAAAAAAGCCTTACTCTTATATTAATAATGCATCATTATGCATTTTTTACTCTATGCCTACTCAGGCTTAAACTTTTCTTTCAGTTTTCCTGTAGCCATTTTACTAGGAGCTGACTGTGGGTAGCTACTGCTGAAAGAGATGATAAGTGAAGCCACAAAAATATGGACACTAAAACCATCATAATCATTATATGAAATTTGCACTTTGAGTTAAAAAGAAATGAATTTCTAAACTTGAAATTTCAAATACCAGTAATAACTTGAAAGATATTTTAGGGGAAAAAACTTTTGAGAGTATGCCTCAACTGACACTAAGTAAAAAGCTGAGTATGCTGTTTCTTTATAAGATTGGTCCTGCAAAGGAAAAACTATTAGGAGAGTTTTGATCTAGGATAGCTACTCCCTAGCTTCTTAAGTTCATTTCACTGCCAGCAAAAGGCTGCCATGTTACTATCAACACTCTAGTCCCATCCTAGACAAGCATAAAAATATCAACCAAGGCAAAGTCAATATACTCCTTTCCCCCAACAGTAACACATGCCACACCTTCTATCATAAGGTTACCGTCCTTTCCTTTATTGGATTTCTGAATTTTTTAAAAAGTAAAAGTAAAGCAATCATTAAGTAGTTCAGATAAAAGAAAAGCATCTTTACCTGAGTTACCCATCAGGTCTACTCTGACCCACCCTAGCTTCTCCCAGAACAAGCTTCTGGGTATCTAAAAAACTATTTTCATACTGATTTCATGTAAAGTCCTCTCTACCATATGAGTCAACTAACTATGAGAACAGTCTTCTCATACATATTATATGTACATAGATTCTCACCCACAATTAAATCTCTCACTGCAGAACAGGTTTTTTGGGGCCTGATAAGACAGGAGCTTCTACCAAAGGTTTTCTCAGACTCAAGGTAAGTATGGGTTTTTTCACCTATGTGAGTTCCCTGATGTACCACAAGAGTTGATCATTGACAAGCACTCTTCATTCAGACACTTGCAGTCTTTCCTCAGATTGGGTTTTTTTTTTTGGGTGCAAACCCAAGTAAGGCTCTCCAACGAATGCTTTTGCCATACTTAAGACAAATATACAATTTTTCACCAGTATGGCTTCTCTGATGGGTAAGTCAGAGTTTTGTTAGAAGCTTTTTTCACACTTGCTGGGGCTTCTCCCCAGGGTGGGTTTTCTGAGGTCCAATGAGATGTTCATACTGTCTGCAGCACAACTGACACTGAAGGCATTTAAAAAGTTGTTCTCCGGTGTGAATTCTCTTACAACGAGAAGGGCTGAGCATTAGTAGAAAGCTCTCTCACACTCAGTGCATTTCTAAGGTTTCCCACTTGTATGAATCCTCTTGTGAGTGATCAAATTTGAGCTCAGACGGTAAGTTTTCAAAACCTCTGGGCATCTGTAGATTTCTCGTTGGAGTGAGGATGAAGTGTTCTGTTAGGGCAGCTCTCTGGGCAAAGAATTTCTCATATTTCCAATTGCAGGCTCTCTGGTCCCCACTGAATTCTGAGCTCTGAGCAAAGTCTGAGATTTGTCCTCATCTTAATGAGTTCTCTGATACATAAATAATTTTTAATATTGGTATTACAGCTTCTCGCCTGGTCAAGACATCTGTGAGGCTTCTGACGCATGGGGAGGGCTAAGCTCAAGACCTTTTTCACTCACATTACAGACAAACGGTTTTTCACCAATGTGTACTGTCTGATGTTGAAGAAGGGCTGAACTCTGGTGGAAGCTTTTATCACATACAGTGTATTTATAGTGTAGCTCCTCTGTTTGAGTTCTCATTTTCTGTTGGGCAACAAAGTCCATTCCTAGGAGGAAGCCACTCTCACACGCAGACCACTGATGTGGTTTCTCTTCCATGTGAATTCTCTGATGTACAATAAGATCTGAGCTACAGTTAAAGCTTTTTTCATATTCAAGGCATTTAAAAGTGTGAGTGTGAGTTGCCTGGTGCCTAATTAGGTTGGCACTCCGAGTAAAACTTCTCATACATTCCAGGCATTTATACGGCTTCTCACCTGTGTGGACTCTCTGGTGCACGATAAGGTCTGATTTCTGGCCAAAGCATTTTTCACAGGCACCACACTTATAGGGCTTCTCCCCAGTATGAACTCTTTTATGTACAATGAAGGCTGAACGGTGTCGGTAACTTTTCTCACACTTATTACATTTGTAGGGCCTTTCCCCAGTGTGAGTTCTCTGGTGGCTAATAAGATCTGATTTCCCACTAAAAGCTTTTTCACACTCGAGACACTTAAATGGTTTCTCACCTGTGTGAGTTCTTCGATGCCTTATGAGGTTTGTACTTCTACTGAAGCATTTGTCACACTCACTACATAGATATGGTTTCTCGCCAGTATGGCTTCGCTGGTGGACAAGCAGATCAGAACTCTGACCAAAATTCTTGCCACAAATGTCACATGTATAGAATTTTTTACCTGCATGTGTTCTCTGATGTCCTGAAAGCGCTAAGTGATGCCAAAAGCTCTTCTCACATTTGCTACATTTATAAGGTTTCTCGTAATTGTGGATCCTCTGGTGTGAAGTAAGATCTGAGCTTTGGACAAAGGTTTTCTCACACATATCACATTTATAAGGTTTCTCCCCAGTATGGGTTCTCTCACACATAATAAGAGCTAAGTTTTCACAGAAGTTTTGCTTGCATTCAAGGCACTGGTATATATGACCATCTATCTGAATAATCTCATGCATATGAATAAAAATCTTTTTACCCTTCCGAGGGCATACATTATATATTTTCCTTTTTTGAGTTCTCTGATTACATTTCTCTTCTGAAGTGTACATTTTCTATGGCTCTCTCCTAGGGAGTTTTCCGCTGGTCTTCTTGACCCATCGTTGCCCTCACAGTCATTTTCTTGATAAGAACTTGGAAGATACATCTGTTTCAGGCCTTTCAATCATGAGCCTCTACAAGTTTCCAGCATCATATATGTTAATTCCTTACTTGGTATTTCCAACCCTGTGAGACAAAGTAGAAATATTATTTATATTCCTATGACTAAGAAAAGAATTCTCAAAATTAAAATCACTGCAGAAAAGACAAACTCTGTATCAGAGTCCCTAAGTCTTCTAGGTTTTATATGGCTTGAAATCAGTTATTTACTTTTACTCTTTGCTAATATAAAACTGATCAGCAATACATATGGGAAACTGCAAGTAAGAACTCTTTTCTCTATGAATCTGGGTAATTTTAAACAAGAGCTCTTCATCTTTCCTTGCTTCAGTTGAGAAATCAAGACAAGACTAATAATTATTATGCCTGCTCATGAAGAAAGCAAATCAAAAGGGACAGTGAATGAGTATCTCTGGAGTCCTTTCTGCAGAAAGCTTGGAAGAAAGTAGTTAATGATCATTAGAATTCCAAGTGACCAGAGAGAAAAGTAAGGTTTCTATGACTCTAATTCGTAGTGGTGATATCAGGCAAGTTTCTTAACCACTGTATGCCTCGTTTCCTCATCTGTAAAGTGGATTAATAATAGAAACTACCTTACACGGTTCTGTGGAATATTAAATCGCTATGAATCTCCTGGTAAGCCCTCTGTTTTGGCTCTTACTATCACTGTTATTATGACAAAGGGGCTTAAGATTCTGCTTTGATATGATTATATAAGCACATAACTTGCTCAAAAAGAAAAATCCTGACTGATTATAGATACAAGTCTAGGCTTGGAACATAGATTTTATAACAGGCTTTTCTTTACATGGTGAAAAGTTGTAAAAAAAAGTTTTTTCCTCCTCATTCTGTGGTTTAGAGGTATGTACACATACAGAAACACCTAAAGGATCAAGTATCTTAAAAAAAAGTTAGGTTGATACAAGAGAGTTCAGAGGGAGTAATAAGTCAATGCATTTATCAATTACCAAAAATAGACTAAAGAACAGAAATAAAAGGAAGAAAAAAAGCCATTTTCCATATCCTTCACACTTAACTCTCTTCAGTGATCTTTTCATGTTTGACCCTCCCTCATACATTCAGACCCCTCGTCTGTCACCTAAAGAGTATAACCTGATAATTTTGCTTCCTATTTTACCAAGAAAATGGAAGCAAGCAAGCAAAACAACAACACATACACAAAAACCAAAATCCTTTCCACATGCCCCCACCACATCAACCAACCTCTTGTAAGTGTGGTCACGTACTGCATCTTTCCTTCAGCTACCAGGGATGACAAACTTCCTTGCTCAATCTAAGGATAGCCTTTCCATCTGTATACCCCCTTTGTTCACAAGGACATCACTCTAGCAATTCCACCCTCCCTCTCCTGCATTATCAATTTATTCCTTCGTATTGGACCATTCCAATATTATTTCTCTTCTCAAAAACAAAAGCACAATCAACAAGAAAAACCTCTCAACTGCCTCACACTCAGGCTGTTGTCCCATTTCTCTGTTCCTCTCCGCAGTAAAACGCTTTGAAATAAATAAACCTGCTCATTGTCTCCAATTCTGTCTTCCAAGGTTTCTGGAACATACTCCAATTAAACAATCAACCCTCACTACTCCACCAAAACTGCTTCTGTTAGAAACCTACAAGCTCTTAAGAAATCTGACTCGTAGTTACTACTCTGATCCATTTCTCTGCTCTTCCTCTACTTACTCATTGCACTCCAGTCACCCTGAGTCTTTGCTGTTGTTCAAACAAGCCAGACTCACTCCCATTTCAGGGTCTTTATCCTTGATATCTCTTCCTGGATGAAGGGCTCTTCCTCCAGGAATCTTCAAGGCTCTCTCTCTCACCTCATTCACATCTTTGCTCAACAGGCATATTCTCAGTGAAGTCATTTCCAACCACCCTATTCTAAACTGTACCACATCTCCGTCCCAGCTGACTCACAAAAACAACACTCCTCTCCTTTCCTATTTTGTTTTTCTCCATAGAATGTAAGCCCCTAAAAGACAGGGATTTTTGGCTCACTTCATTCACTATTGTTTCCCCAGCACTCAGAAAAGTGCCTGGCACAGAGTAGGCACTCAAACCTAGAAGAGGAGTTCTTACTTGGCATCCACAGACTCCCAGGTAATTTATGAAAACTTTGACTGCAAAATGTACAGTATATGTGCACTTTTCTGGGGAGAAGGTACACGGTTTCTTAAATTATCAAAAAGGTCCAGAATCCAAGAAACTAGATATTAGATTGGAGCCTATTTGTAAAGGAAATGATATTAAAGCTCACTGAATACAGCAAATTAGTAAGTGTAATGGACCAGAACACAAAGGAACATGTGCACTCAGAGAAAACAGGAAGTCAAAAGGATCCAAAACACATGGTACTAACATGGTTACCTCTGGGTAATGAGATGATACATAACATTCTGTTTCATCAATTTGTTAACAACAGTTTTCTAATTTCCATTCAGCAATTTGTATGCTTTCCTTGCGAAAGGCACAGAGGCTGCTACTTTTACTCAATTTTATTGTAGTAAGTAAAAGTTATTTATAAATATAAAAAGATATACCAAGATTTCAAATGTCAACTCAGAACTGTTCTAAAACTTAAAGGGATAGGAGAAAGAACTGAATGAGGTGGGAGTAGTGCAATTTCTTCAGAGTCAAAACACAGATCCACAAGAAATGTAGTATTGTGACCACCGCGGGACATAATGGGAGAAAAATGCACTGCAAGGCTAACAAGAATAGGGAAGTCAAAACTGAAGTAGACAAGCTAAACAAAACAGACATGTTTATGCTAAATACAGTGATTAAAATCCTACATTTCAAATATGTGGGGGAAAGAGAGATCAGACTGTTACTGTGTCTATGTAGAAAAAGGAAGACATAAGAAACTCCATTTTGATCTGTACTCAGAAAAATTCTTCTGCCTTGAGGTGCTGTTAATCTGTAACTCTAGCCCCAGCCCTGTGCTCGCAGAAACATGTGCAGTATTGACTCAAGGTTTAATGGATTTAGGGCTGTGCAGGATGTGCCTTGGTAAAAATGTGTTTGCAAGCAGTATGCTTGGTAAAAGTCATTGCTATTCTCCAGTCTCAAGTACCCAGGGACACAATGCACTGTGGAAGGCCGCAGGGACCTCTGCCCAAGAAAGCCTGGGTATTGTCCAAGATTTCCCCTCACTGAGACAGCCTGAGATATGGCCTCGTGGGAAGGGAAAGATCTTACCGTCCCCTAGCCCGACACCCGTAAAGGGTCTGTGCTGAGGAGGATTAGTGAAAGAAGAAGGCCTCTTTGCAGTTGAGATAAGAGGAAGGCATCTGTCTCCTGCTCATCCCTGGGAATGGAATGTCTCGGTGTAAAACCCGATTGTACATTCTATTTACTTGGATAGGAGAAAACCGCCTTATGGCTGGAGGTGAGACATGCTGGAGGCAATACTGCTCTTCACTGCACTGAGATGTTTGTGTAAAGTCAAACATAAATCTGGCCTATGTGCACATCCAGGCACAGCACCTTTCCTTAAACTTATTTATGACACAGAGTCCTTTGCTCACATGTTTTCCTGCTGACCCTCTCCCCACCATTACCTTATAGTCCTGCCACATCCCCCTCACCAAGATAGTGAGAGAGTGATCAATAAATACTGAGGGAACTCAGATACCAGTGCTGGTGCAGGTCCTCACTTGCTGAGCGCCGGTCCCCTGGGCCCACTTTTCTTCCTCTATATTTTGTCTCTGTCTTTGTCTCTCTTTGTCTTCTTTTCTCAGTCTCTCGTCTCCACCTTACCCACAGGACCTTGCAAGAAATACCCACAGGTGTGGAGGGGTAGGCCCCCTTCAGAAATATTTGAGCATATCTCCATGATCTATGAACTGTCCTAGAAATTACTTTTTTTTGGTCCAAATTACATCTTTCAGGTGACTTTCACGGTATCACAGAACTCCTTAGACTACAAGTCCACAGTATACTCTGTCACCGTCATAATCTCAATCCTCAAAGCCTAACGTATCACAAGCATTACTCCTATTTTCTTTTATTAAATTCAGTTTACAGAGCTAAATGGCAAGTATCTGTTTTTGCCTTATAGTCAAAGGAAGTGAGCAAAGGACTTATACTGGGGCTGGATTCCAGATCTACTCCACCTATCACCTGCCTCATCTCAGTTTATGGCAAGTTCATCCTTTATTTCCTCAGGCTAAAACCTTGAAGTCATCCTGCACTCTTCTTTCTCACACCTCACAATCAAGCCATCAGCAAATTTGTTGGCTCCATTTCAAAACACATCCAGAGTCTAACCACTTCTCACCAGCTTCTGTTGTTACATTCCAGTCCAAACCACTCTTATTTCTTACTTTCACAATAGCCCAAGAGGCCCACTTGAGCTGCCCTGCTAGCCTGTCACTGCCTCTCTGACACCCTTTTATATTATTCTTCTCTTTGCATGTTCTAATCCAGCCGCAATGGCTTCCTAGCTGTTCCTCATCCAAACATACTATCCTTAGGGCCTTTGCCCTTTCTTTCTTCTGCCTACAGCTTTCTTCCTCCAGATGTGTGTATGAATTTCTCTTAATTCCTTCAAAGACTATTTTTTCAGATGTCAATTCTGAGGAAGGCCTTTCCTAACCACTCTGTTTAAAGTTGTGAATAGTCTTCATGCCCCAGCATTCACTATTCCCCTTTTCTGCTTTACTTTTCTTCATGGCACTTAAAACCTTCTAACATACTATATAATTCACTTTATTCAGTTTATTGTCTATTGCTAAAATATGACAAGGATGTCTGTTTTATCTTTCCTTACCATATACAGTAATGCCAGGTACAAAGTTGGTGCTTAATAAGCATCTGCTGAGTACATGTATGAATTCTCATTGAAATTCTACTTCTCTCCTTGTCTGATAAAAGGACTGAATGTCACAAAGAATGGGAGGTACTCTGATGAGATGGAGTCTGGGAAAGAGAAGGGATACTTCAAAATACTGAAGTAACTGCAGCTTACCTAGAATCCAGATGGAAGAAAACATACATTCCTGATCCTGACAATTTGACTTCTCAAAGAAGATAGCATTCTGTAAAACACAAAGACAAGGATAAAAAGCCATAAATGAGAGAATTTAGCACTAGATCATTTACACTCAAAGGATTTAACAATGGGTAAACTACAGTTAAAAAGAACAGATGGGTTTTCTTATCTAATCCCTTAAATTCAATTCTGTAGAGTCTTAAATCATCCCATATGACTCTTTAGAGAAAAGGACAATACAGAATCTATAACCCATCTGCACAATCTATAGCTTCCTTTGCAACTATAACAACATTGAAGGAAAGGGCTCCTAACACTAAATCTTGGTGGTATCTTGAAAACACGAAGGCATTATCTTCCCTACAGGAACTCAGGCTGTCCTGATCCAAAGTGTAATAGGGACTACAAAGTATTTTTGGGATTATAACAAAATTACCACCTTACCACCACTGCAACCCACGTAATCATCACAATTTTGGTAATTCAAAATTTATAACACCCTAAGCTGATTTATATTTCAACCACAAACAACCCAGGAGGTGGTCAATTAGGGGCACAAAAAGAAGTTAGAGAGTCCACACTTAACCATTGATGTCTTTCTCTAGAAGTTTTAACCTGCCTTATCCTTAGGTTAATGGGACTTGCAGTTCCCTCAACAACCTTCCTGCTACTGAGGATCAGAAGCAAAAATGGAACTACTTGGACCCAGGCAACATATAGGGCCATACAGCTGAGGCTCTCTATGACACTTAGCTTATAGCTGCTAGTATTAAAATGACATGTTTTATGGCTCTAGTTCCAGGTAAGATGGAGTAAATACATGTCACAGATGTCATCCCATTGAATCCAACTATGAAGTCTGGACAGAATGTATGGCCCAGTTATTTGACAACTCCAAAAAGCACATAGCATGCAAGTCAGGAAAGAGCAGAATTTTAAATGCCATTCAACCAGCAGTGATTTTATTTCTTTTTTTTCCCCCTTTTGGTCCTCTTCAGTATGGGGCCTAAGCTCGGTGTAGCCCTAAATATAGAAGTGAGGGAAGTTGTAAAACGTAATTGTCAACTGAGACTTCTCAGAAAACCTGTAAGTTTTCACACCATTTATTTATTTATCTATTTATTTATTTATTTTTATTTTAAGTTCCAGGGTACCTGTGCGGGATGTGCAGTTTTGTTACATAGGTAAATGTGTGCCTATGTAAACATGTGCTATACCTATCAACCCATCACCTAGTTATTAAGCCCACCATGCATTAGCTATTTTTCCTGATGTTCTCCCTCCCCCCGCACCTTGCTACAGTCCCAGTGTGTGTTGTTCCCCTCCCTGTGTCTAACTGTTCACATTGTTCAGCTCCCACTTATAAGTGAGAACATGCGGTGTTTGCACACCAATTATTTAAAATTGGCCATGGAAGTCAGTGGACAGAAAACTGACTTAAATATGAAAAAAAAAAGGAAAATATCTCTAGAGGAAATATAAAGAATGTGGTAATAAAACACAGTCAGAGGGGATAACAGTGGCTACAGAAATCCAAATCTCTCAACACATCCTTTAAAAGCAGTAAGAATAAGAAGAACAAATGTACTATACAAAGCCCACACTGTCACCAAATCCCATATAGCTGTCTCTCACATTCTAGCCATAAGCTATCAAGGAGAGCAAGGACAATCTGAGAATGAGAGGTAAAGAGAAGAGAGCTAGCAGTGGGCAAGACTGACCTAAAATTCATTGCCAGAAAGAAAAACCCACTCTAAGTACAAAAAACTTTATCACAGTAAGTATGTATAGAAAAAAAAAAGCCATTTAGGGTTCAATACTATCTGCAGTTTCTGGTATACACTGGGAGTCTTGGACCATATCCCCCACAAATAAGGTGGGATTACTATATTGTATTTATGGCAGGTGAGAATTAAAGTACACTATTAAACTAAAAAACCATCTGAAGCTGAAATGGCCTTTTAGAAAAGAAAAATTTTAGAAACCCTTAAAAACCAAATAATTAAAGGTTAAATATAAAAATTTATTTTTTTAATGAACTAAAGGCATTAAAAAAGATCTAAGTATGGTCAGGTGCGGTGGCTCACGCCTGTAATCCCCGCACTTTGGGAGACCGAGGCAGGCGGATCATATGAGGTCGGGAGTTCGAGACCAGCCTGACCAACATGGAGAAACCCTGTCTCTACTAAAAATACAAAATTAGCCGGGTGTGGTGGCACATCCCTGTAATCCCAGCTACTTGGGAGGCTGAGGCAGGAGAATCACTTGAACCCAGGAGGTGGAGGTTGCGGTGAGCCAAGATCAGGCCATTGCACTCCAGCCTGGGCAACAACAGCGAAACTCCGCCTCAAAATAAATAAATAAATAAATAAATAAATAAATAAATAAATAAATCTAAGTACAAAAGTAGCTAATATAACAAAAATCAAACATTCAAAACAGAAAGTCATGAAAGAGCTATGAAAACCTATCGTAGAAAAAAAAGTAACAAAATACAGTTATAACAATATGACATTGTTAAAACCAAACATCAACTATATCAATAAATATAAATGAGCTTAACACACCTATTAAAAGAAAGAGATTTTCATTTTGGCTCACAAGCAAGACCTAACTATATGCTAAATACAAGAGACACCTAAAGCAAAGTGATTCAGGCAGGCTAAAAATAAGGAGGTGGGAAAAGGAACACTAGGCAAACAGAAACAATAAAAGTAGGGCTTTTGATCCTGATATCAGGCAAAGTAGAGTTCAAGCCAAAAGAATTAAACATAATAATACTTTCTAAATTACACTAAAGTCATGGTTATCTATGTATCACATTACACAGCAGGCACATTTACAAAGGAAAAACAGAGAAACAGATACAAAGAAACAGAGATAAAAATATTAATAATAGGAAAGCTTAATATACCACTCTCAATAAAAGACATACAAACTGGACCAAGAAGTAATGATGCAGAAGGCCTAAATAACCTAATTAATAAGTAAATCTTATTTATATTAAACCGTATGTCCTGATAAGTACACATTCTTTTTAAGAACACATGAATCATCCACAAAAATCTGTCATATATTATGTAATAAAGGAAGCATCATTATCGCAAAGAAACATTACAAGAAACAATCTGCAACAAAACTAGAAATTTATTAAAATATCAAGCGACCAAAGGTCCTTTCAAATGGGGGGAAAATAAACTGTTAAAAAACTATTCAGTAAAAGGGGCAATGAAAAAGTTAACAAAATTTTTAAGTATTCATAATTGAAAATATTATATATTACAATCTATGGGATAAATTTAAACCAGTTCATGCCTATATTTCTTTAATCAATAAAAACAGAAGAATTTAAATGAACAAGTTAAATTCTTAGATCAAAAGCTAAGAAAAAAATAAATTTCAATTGAGCCCAGGAGTTCAAGACCAGCCTGGGCAATATTAATGAGACCCAATTTCTATTTTAAATAAATAAGTAGGTATGGTAGCTCATACCTACAATCCCAGTGCTTTGGGAGGCCGAGGCAGTAGGATTGTTTGAACCCAGGAGTTCAAGACCAGCCTGGACAACATAGCAAGATCCTGTCTCTATTTTGTTTTTTAATGGGAAAAAAAATCAAAATAATAACAAAAATAGATAAAAGGAGAAATCAATGAACTAGAGAACAAAAAGACAGTAAATCTAATGATAAATCAAAATCATACTTATTTTGTAAAACTTAAAGAAACAGATAAACCACTAGGTTACTTAATTGAAAAAAAGGAAGAAAGCACACATTTACAAAATAAGAAATGACAAGGAAGAATAACCACCGAAAAGAAAAACACACATACATGAAACCACTTTGCAAATCTCTATATAAATAAATATGATTAACTATAAAATAAGGGTTTCTTTATGAAACACAATTTATTAGAGTTGACTCCATTAAAGATATAAAGTCTTAAAACACCAATTTGCAGAGAATAAATAGAAAAAGTTATAAAGGAACCATTCCATAAAAAGCACTAGGCCCAGATTATTTCACGAAATAATTCTATAAATCTACACAGACCAAATAAATACAATGCTTCATACATATTTTCCAGAGCACCGAAAATGAAGCACAACTTCCTAATTCTTTTTGTGAAATAAGGATAGCACTGGTAACTAAACCTGATGAAGAGAGCATAAAAAAATTTTAATATCCAATATCGCTTTTTTTTTTTTTTTTAAAGAGTCGGGGTCTTGCTCTGATACCCAGGCTGGAGAGCAGTGGCACAATCATAGCCCACTGTAGCCTCAAGCTCCTAGGCTCAAGCAATTCTCCTGGCTCAGCCTCCTGAATAGCTGGGGTATAGGTACACACCACCATGCCTGGCTAACATTTTTTATGAATGTGAGAAATACTAACAAAAATCAATACCACATTAAGAAAATAATATACCATGACCAAGTGGAATTTTTGCAAAATTGGTTCAAAATTAGACTATCTTTCAATATGAGGAAATCCACTAAATATAATACCCCATATGAACAGACCTATGGAGAAAAATAATATATTATCTCCATAGATAGTGAAAGAACCTGCAACAGAAATCAACATCTATTCTGGATAAAAACACTCAAGAAAGTGGAAATTAATAGATATTTCCTTTTAATATGATAAAACATACATTCCTTCATCCAGTACCTTAAGTTAGAAAAACTACAATAATTTTTACTAAGATCAGGAACAAGGCAAGTATGGCCAATACTTCTCTTTTCAATCACTGACCTGGAAGTATTAATCAATGCAATTAGAAAAATCAATTAGAGGTGTGAAAGAAGTAAAACTATCTCTATTTGGAGGTGATTTAATAGTAGAATTAGAAAACCCTACAAAGGACCAATGCTAAAACTAACTCAAATGATAAAGGAATTCAGTATGGTAGCAGGATATAAAATTTGCCACACAGAAACCACCAGTTTTTTACATAAATATAAAGAATAACTAATTGGAACACACAATGATAGAGAACAACCTTTGTATAACAGCAGCAATATAAAACTACTTAGAAATAAATAAAACATAGCCATGCCAAATAAAGCATAGGAAAACTTCTCCCTCCTGAGACCCAAAAATAGACTCGAATAAATGGAAGGACAGCCTTTGTTCTTGCATAGAACAATTCAACATTATGAAGATGTTCCCTCCTAAGATTTATAAACAATGCAATCTCAATAAAAATAACAAGCTTCTTTATGAAACTAGACTAAGGGGTGGCAAACTATGGCCCACAGGCCAATTCTGGCCTGCCACCTGTTTTTTTCAAATAAAATTTTACTGAAATAGGGTCATACTTATTCATTAATGTATTGAAAGGCAGAATTGAGTAGTCACAATAGAGACCAGATAGCCACCAAAGCCTAAATACAATACTTTCTGGCCCTTTAAAGAAAAATCTCCAATGCCTAAGCTGTACAGTTGCTACTCAAGTTCACTTTGAAAAGACCAACAAGGACAGCCATGAAGCAATGAAAAGACAGACTATGAAGGGTAACTAAACCCATGAGACATTAAAATAAACTTTAAAGCTTCTAATATTAAAACAACAGAGTTCCAAAACACAATTAGATAAAGGGACAAATAGAAAAGGAAATCCAGAAATAAACACATATAGAAATTTAGTATACAATAAAGATGACATCTCAAATCACCAGGGCAAAAATGGACTTTTTAATAAATGATGGTAAAACATCAAGGTAGCCACATGAAAATAGGTACAATTTGGTCTACACTTCATACCACACACCAATATAAACTCCCAATTGGTTAGGGTTCTAAATGTATACATGGAAATGATAAGATACTACAAGAAAACTAAAGTAAATTCTACATTAATCTTAGGGTACCAAAAATTTTCTATCTGTAAGACTGATCATTTGACTAAAAATAAAAACTTTTTTTAAAGTTTTCTTTTATATATACATACATATGTGTGTGTGTGTGTGTGTGTGTGTGTGTGTGTGTGTGTATATATATATATATATATATATATATTTTTTTTTTTTTTTTTTTGAGACTGAGTTTCGCTCTTGTTGCCCAGACTGGAGTGCAATGGCGTGATCTTGGCTCACCACAACCTCTGCCTCCTGAGTTCAAGTGATTCTCCTGCCTCAGCCTCCTGAGTAGCTGGGATTGCAGGCATGCACCACCATGCCTGGCTAATTCTGTATTTTTAGTAGAGACGGGGTCTCTCCATGTTGGTCAGGTTGATCTCGAACTCCCGACCTCAGGTGATCTGCCCGCCTCAGCCTCCCAAAGTGCTGGGATTACAGGCGTGCGCCACTGTGCCAGCCAAAAACATTTTATATATATAAAAAATGAACAAAGTCAACGGTCAATGGGCAAACTAAGAGAAAATATTTGTAACAATATTTGAGATACAGGGACAATATACCTAATATATAAAGATCTCTTAAAAATTGAGGGAAAACGACAAACATCTGATAGAAAAATAAGCAAAAGACAATTCTCACACACACAAAATATAAAAATGTCCCTTAAATATATGAGAAGCTGTTCAATCTCATAATTAGAGAAATGCAAATTAAAATAAGTGATATTACTAGGAACAAAGAGAAACTTCTTCAAGTTGATAAAGCACATCTACAAGAAAACCACTGCTAACATCATACTTAATGGTGAAAACTTAGAAGCTTTCAGCTAACATCAGGAACAAGGTAAGAATGTTCTCTCTCACCACTGCTTTTCAACATAATACTGGAATAGAGAGATAATGCTACAAGACAAGAAAAGGAAATAAAAGGTATAGAGATTAGGAAGGAAGAAATAAAACTGTCTTTGTAAGTGACATGACCATATATGTAAAAATCTGAAAAAATCATTGACAAAAAACTCCTGGGACTAGGAAGTGATTACAGTTAAGGTTGTACAATACAGGGTTAACATACAAATCAATTATTTTCCTCTATACCAGCAATGAACAAGTAAAATTTGAAATTAAAAACACAATACCATTTACATTAACACTCTAAAAAATAAAACATCTTAAGTATAAATCTAACCAAATATGTTCATAATTTATGCAAAGAAAATTTGAAAACTCTAAGAAATAAAAAAGAGAACTAAATAAATGGAGGGATATTCCACATCCATGGATAAGAAGATTCAATATTGTCAAATAGTCAGTTCTTCCCAACTTGTACTACAGATTCAACACAATCCCAGCAAATTATCTTGTGAATATTGACATACTGATACAAAGTTTATATGAAGAGGTAAAAGACCTAGATTAGCGATCATAATGCTGAAGGGCAGGAACAAAGTTGGAGGACTGATGCTACCTAACTTCAACACTTACTATACTATTTGAAGTTACAAGACTAAAGCTATAGTAATCAAGAAAGTGTGGTAATGGTGAAAAAACAGACAAATAGATAAATGGAACAGAATAGAGTCCAAAAATATACCCATATAAATAGAGTCAGCTGATCCATGATAAAGGAACAAAGGCAATAAATACAAGGCAGAAAAAGACAGTCTTTTCAACAAATGGTGCTGAAGTAACTAGACATTCACATGCAAAAAAAAAAAAAAAGAATAAAATTCTCTCATTTGCATCAACATAAATGAACTTGGAGGACATTATGTTAAGTGAAATAAGACAGACACAGAATGATGAATACCACATAACCTCACTTACATATGGAGTATAAAACAGTCTAACTGATAGAAACAGATGGTAAAATGGTGGTTACCAGAGGCTGAGACATAGCAGGGTTGGGAAGAAATTGGTCAAAGGATACAAAATTTCAGTTAAACAGGAGGAATAAGTTCTAGAGTTGTACTGTAGGTAAGTTCTAGAGTTCTACATCATGCCTAATAAAAATACATTGCATATTTGAAAATTGCTGACAGTAGATTTTATGTTCTCACCACAAGAAATGGTATGTGAGGTAATATATGTTAAATAGCTTGATTTAGCCAGTCCACAATGTATACATATATTGAGACATCATGTTCTACATCATAAATACATACATACTTACTTCTCAATTAAAAAAAATTTACAAACCCCAAATGAATCAGATACCTAAGTATAAAACACAAAACTATAAAACTTCTAGAGGATAACATAGGAGAAAATCTAGATAAACTCGGGTATAGCAATGACTTTATATTTTTGGGATGGGTCTCGCTCTGTGTCCCAGGCTGGAGTGCAGTGGTGCGATCTCAACTTACTGCAATCTCCGCCTCCCAGGATCAAGTGGTCCTCCCACCTCAGCCTCCTGAGTAGCTGGGACCACAGGCATGTGTCACTACTCCAGGCTAATTTTTTCTATTTTTGGTAGAGACATGGGTTTTACCATGTTGCCCAGGCTGGTATTGAACTCCTGAGCTCAACTGATCTGCCTACCTTGGCCTCCCATAGTGCTAGGATTATAAGCGTGAGCCACCATGCCTGTGCTGGCAATGACTTTTTAGATACAACAACAAAGGTATGATCCATGGAGGAAAATTGATAAGCTGGACTTTAAAATTAAAAATGTCTGCTCTATGAAATAAACTGTCTAGAGAATGAGAAGACAAGCCACAGACTGGGAGAAAATATTTGCAGAAGACACATCTGATTAAAGACTGTTATTCCAAACATTTAAAAATCTCCAAAATATACAAAAATATACATATACCCTTAAAACTCAACAAGAAAACAAACCAGTTTAAAAAAACTGGCAAGTCAAGCCAGGCATGGTGGCTCATGCCTGCAATCCCAGCACTTTGGGAGGCTGAGGCGGGTGGATCACCTGAAGTGAGGAGTTCGAGATCAGCCTGGCCAACATAGTGAAACCCCTTCTCTACTAAAAATACAAAAAATTAGCTGAGCCTGGTAGCAGGAGCCTGTAATTCCAGCTACTAGGGAGGCTGAAGAAGGAGAATCACTTGAACCTGGGAGGCAGAGGTTGCAGTGAGCTGAGATCGCACCATTGCACTCCAGCCTGGGCAACAAGAGTGAAACTCCGTCTCAAAAAAAAAAAAAAAATTGTAGATACCCCATAGAATGTACAACATAAAGAGTGAACCCTAATGTAACCTATGGAGTTTGGGTGGCAATGATGTATCAACTTAAGTTCACTGATTGTAAGAAATGTATCACTCTGTTGAAGAGATTAACAGCGGGGGATGCTGTGTGTGCTATGTGTGTGGTATGTGCATGTGTCAGGGTAAAGAGAGTGGTAGGGGACATATGGGTACTCTCTGTATTTTTTGCTCAGTTTTGCTATGAACCTAACAGTTCTCTAAAAAATAAAGTCTATAAAAAATGAAATAATTTTTTAAATGTACATGAAATACCAGTTCTCACCAATTAAATCTGCATATATTAAAAGGTATGACAATGCATTTTGTTGTCGACACTGTAAGGAAACAGACACACTCATATGTTGCTGGAGGGAATGCAAACTGGTAAGTCTATAAAAAAAGAAATAATTTTTTAAAAGTACATGAAATACCAGTATCACCAATTAAATCAGTATACATTAAAAGGCATGACAATGCATTTTGCGGTCAACACTGTAAGGAAACAAACAAACTCATACGTTGCTGGAGGGAATGCATATGGGTACAATCTCGTCCGGAGGGGAATGTGGCAATATGTAACAAAACTAGATATACATTTACTTTTGACTCAGCAATCCCATTTCTAGAAATGGACTCTGAAGATTCACCTCCAATAACATGAAAATATAAAGCATAAAATTACTCATAGTAATGTTTGTAACGGGAAAATATTTAAAATAAATATCTGTATGTAAGAAAATGGTGAATAAACTATGGTACATACATCCACACATAATGGAGTACTATGCAACTGTAAAAGAGAATGAGGAAAATCTTTATCAACTGATGTGGAGTGATTTCCAGGATAAATTATAAATTTAAAAAAGCAAAGTGTAAAAAAGTATGTTGTATTTTATGTAAGAAAGTAAAAATAAAAAATTATATATGTAGTTCTCCACTTGCCCCAAAAAACAAGAAACTAATGAGATTGGTTATCATTACAAGGCAGATAAAAATGGAATTGATGGCACAGGAAAACAGAATTGGGTGGAGGAGAAGAGTCACATTTCTCTGAGAATATGAATACACAGCACACATATTTTTACTTTTAGAATTATGTTACATTTTACATATTCAATACATGAATGAACTAATGAACTAAATAGTCAAGATGGAAGAGAAAAGCATAAAAACAAATGCGCCTGTGTTTCAAATAAATAACAACTACACAGAAGAGAAAAAAAAATAACTCTAACACAATATTGGGACTATGTATATTCAATCTAAAGATAAAAATAACTCGAATCAGTACAGATTTTCTCCCCTGTTGGGATAAGGGTACACTACTTAATGTGTATCCTAGGACCGAATAAATAAGTAAATATACTATGGATAATGTCACCTAGATTCCCCATTGTCAATGAAGAAGGCTACAAACAGAAAAGAGAAAGGCTAGAATGAACTCTGTAGTGTTTAACTGGAATTAGAAGTACCAGTATAAGTCAAGATTTTAAGGTTTATATAGAGAATAAAGAAACGTATATATGTGTGAAATTACGTATGTTTATTTTTTTTTCCTAGTAATGTTTGCTGAGAAGTCATGGAAACAATAAAATCCTAGTAGTAATGAGTATACCAAGCATTCAGACATGGGTTTCTAAATACCATTCTACATTGAAAAGAATCAAGACTCTTTGGAGAAATGGCTGTTTCCACGGTTTGGAAAGTATAAGATAAGCCTGGACCATCCTGATGTGTCAGAAAGTAAGGAAGTGCTCAAAAAGTGGTGCAATATGCCAGAAGGACCCACAATTCAGGATGGAAGGACTGCCACTGTACAAATCTGGAACAAGCAGAACATTGAAATAAGTAATAACAGTAATAAATTAGTCACACAATAAGAATCCATGAATTTGTACTCATTAAAAAAAAGTGTATAGAAGGGAAAGTTTTTTTGCATTAGAAAAGCAAACAAATATAGAAGAAATGATGGAATTAAAAATTTCACGATGTTCAATCAAAAGAAGAGTACTGTGCAAAAATCTACTGGATGAAAAATTTTATGAGAATCAAGATATTTACATAATCTGAAAATATCTCCCCACTAGATATTTAATAATTATAAATATAAAAAGAGTAACTTCACAGTATAGAAACCTGGAAGACACCACCTTAACCTAATGGTATCCTCAACTAAAGTGAACATGACCAGTAATGAGATAAAACATCATGAGCCTCCTAATATGATGCAAAGAGAAAAACATAACATCACTTCTGCGGTATCTTGCCAAAAATGTCTAAACTGAATCTGATCACGAGGGAACATCAGAAAAACCCAAACTGAGGGAAACTACCAAATAAATGGCCTAAATATTCAAAAAATGTCAAAGGTATGAAAGACAAAGTCTGAAGATATGTTCACAATAGGGACAACATTATAATTAAATTAAATGACTGATGCTGAATTAGATCTTGGTCCACAGAAAACATTTTTTTCTTTTTGTCTTAAACAACATGAGTGGAGCAATTGGCTAAGTTTGAATAAGGTCTGGAGATTAGATAATAGTACTTATTGTATGAATGTTAATTTCCTGACTCCGATAATGGTAATGATAATTTCTAGAGAATATCCTTGTTTTTAGTAAATATACAACTGAATATTTAGGACAGGCTTTCTCAATTAGGGTTCTAGAAAAGAAGTCCCCAAAGAAAATGTATTCGAATGACTGTTTTCTCAGTTCTCCTAGGGATGGCATGTAGCTAGCAGTACTGTACATGCATAGGAGAGCAGGATTCCATGGCTTGATTCTCTGTTTGAGAAGAGACATGTCTACAATTTATTCTCAAATGGCTCAGGGAAAAATCTATACATATGTATATGTGTATTGCTATGCTTTGAATGTGTCCTCCAAAGTTAATGCATTGGAAACTTCATCCCCAATTCAATGATGTCGGGAAACAGATCCTAATGGGAGGTATGTAGGTAACAGGGGCACCACCCTCATAGACTAATGCCATTATTTCAGGAGTCGGTTCCTCACAAAAAGATGAGTTTGGTCCCTTTCTGAGCACTCTTGCTTGCTCTCACCCTCTCTTTGCCCTTTTGCCATGAAATGACACAGCAAGAAGGCTCTCACTAGATGCCAGCCCCCGTCTTGGACTTTCGAATCTCCAGAATCATGAGCCAATAAATTTCTGTTCATTATAAATTACTCAGTCTATGGTATTCTGTTATAGCAGCCCAAAACAGACTAAAACGTTTGTTTAATAGACAGAGGCAAAATCATAAAGCAAACATGGTAAAATGTTAACATTTAGAGCATATGAGTGAAGGGTATATGGGAGTTCTTTGTACCATTTTGCAATTTTTTGTATATCTGTACTTATTCAAAATTAAAAGGTATTTTATTTTGGTTTTCAAAAAACATGGTGGCTAAAGATTGGTTTATTTTGGTGGTTAATACTGACAGTTTAAGCTCTGGATGCAGATTTTGGTTCAAATTCCCACTCTCCTCCTTTGTAGCTGTGAGAACTTGGGTTAGTAACTTAATTTCCTTCAACTTCAATATTCTCTTTTTTCCTCACAGAGTTGCTATGAGAACAAAGACACTGCCGGTACTAAGCTCAATGCCTAGGTCTCAGTAGATGCTTAATAAATGGTAGATTCTATTATTTTCTTAATTCTACCTTCACATGCACAAAACCACTAACATGTATTAAGCCCATTTTCTATGCCTGATTCTTGTGCAAAGCCTTGTTCAAAACCCACTTGCAATAACTAATAAAACAATTTGGCCAGTTAATGATTAATATGAAGATTATGCAAAAACTAGAAAAAAATTATGGAGAAATATTAGAAGGAAAAGGAAGAATTCCAACTCAGAATCACAACTAAGTAAAGATATGCCGGGATACAGACAAATAGCTGTTATAAGATGGGGGGTTCATAAAAGGTTTTGTCTTTTAAAATTTGTATTAGTGTTAAGCTCAAAAGGAGAATAGAGTGAAAATAAAGGATTCTTAGTTTTGTCACAGCCAGGCAAATCATTTACATTATTCCCTAAAGTTATCAGTCCAAGATGTCTTATTTGCCCTAAACAACCAATGAAGTGTGGGGCATTAAGAAGAAGAAAAAAAAAACTGAATAAATAAGGAAATAATTTTCCTATTCATATCCAAGCTTTTTTTAGATGTCAACACCTAAAAAATAAGTCTGGGTGTCAAACCTCAAAACAGATCATAAGGCCGGGCGTGGTGGCTCATGCCTGTAATCCGAGCACTTCGGGAAGCCGAGGCTGGCGGATCACAAGGTCAGGAGATTGAGACCATCCTGGCTAACACGGTGAAACCCCGTCTCTGCTAAAAAGTACAAAAAAATTAGCCAGGTGTGGTGGCGGGCGCCTGTAGTCCCAGCTACTTGGAAGGCTGAGGCAGAAGAATGGTGTGAACCTGGGAGGCAGAGCTTGCAGTGAGCTGAGATTGTGCCACTGCACTCCAGCCTGGATGACAGAGCGAAGACTCCATCTCAAAAAAAAAAAAAAATCACGACACTTCCCTAATTTAAAATACTGTTTTCTAGCACACTCAGAATAAAATCCAAAGTTTTTACTGCTCTACATAATGTGGCACCTCTGCGTTATCTTCAGCCTCACAGGCCATCTCCGAGCTTTTGCACTTGTTCCTTCTGCCTAGAATGCTCTTCCCCATGCAGCTTACTCCTTTATTGGACTCAAGTCTCTGCCTGAAGATCACTTCCTCAAAAAGCAGCATACCCTGACTACCTTATCTAAAATAGCCTGTGTTGCTTTATCACATTTTATTTCTCTCCACAGCACTTATCACCATTCAACTTTATGGTATACATTTTATATTTATTCGTTTGTCTTTTTACTAAAATATAACTTCTATTAGGGTTAGGACTTAGTCTTTTGCTTACTGTAATATCCCTACTACCTAGAGTACATTTGTTGAATAAATGAAAAGTGTGAACAAATACCAGAACAAAAAGGCAATCATTATCCTTGGACCCCCAGTAGCTGTATAACAGACTAGACCAGTAGCCCTGGCTGGTTCATCTAGCAAGCCCAAATACATCTTTCAAGTCTTAGCTCCAGGGTACCCTCCTTCAGGATGCTTCTCTTGCCCCATCCTAGGAAGAGACTAGTACTCTTTCCTGCCTAGGGTCGAAGTGAAAGGAATAAACTGGAACACGACAAAAGTCCAAGCAGACAGGCTAATTCATACAACTTGAGAGTTCATGGTTATCCTTAAAGGGTATATGGGACCAAGAGACAAAGTTAGTAAAGCATTATTTAAAAATTAGATGGTGTTTATAGGCCTTAGACT
Organism: Homo sapiens; assembly: GCF_000001405.40. Taxonomy (NCBI): domain Eukaryota; kingdom Metazoa; phylum Chordata; class Mammalia; order Primates; family Hominidae; genus Homo; species Homo sapiens. The sequence goes on from NC_000006.12 coordinate 26,658,070, forward strand.
TGGAAATTTCTCATTTATTTTTCATTGATTACATGGATTATCTCATTTAGTCCTCCCAAGGACCCTATGAAATAGGTATTAATACCAGTGTTTGGATCTTATAGATGGAAAACCTGATGCTTAGGGCAGTTAGATAATCACCCAACAACTTACAAATAGTAAGCAGCAGAGCCAGGATTTCAATACCTATCTTCTGACTCCAGAGCCTGCCTAAGCATTAGGCATACTACCCTCTTTGTGCTACAAATCAATCAAAAAGCAATTACTGCAAGCCTAATGTGAATATGCATGCATGTTGAAAAGGAGTAGAAAATAGCCTTAAGTTGGTAGGATAGGGCTCAGTTTTATCACTCTGCTATCTTAGGAGCTAAGAAAGGGGCATTCTCTTTTTCCATATATCTTCTCCCATACTTTCCTGTCTTTCACCCTGCCCCACCCCACACCCCCATCCACATTTATACAGAAACAGAGCCTGGTATACCACTTACCGTAACAAGAAAGACTCAAGACCATCTTCCTTTTGGTTTCAAAAGGTCTCTAGTTCAGAACTATTCACAACACTCAATTCTTGCCTCTCCTAGAGGAAAAATCAATAATGTAGACGATGACCTTGTGAAATTTATAATTCATAATTTTTCTAGAGCTGGCCTAGAAAACTGGTCCCATTTCCTCTCCATTCTAGTGAGCATCCTTCAACCATAGCTTACCTCTTCCCATCTTTGCTTACACTGTTTCTCCTGCAGGAAGTACCTGCCACTGGTAGCCATCAGTTCCGACCAGCTCTAGACAAAATGTCAAGAATCTTTCTATTACTAACTGTAACTTCATAACAAAGCCCTAAGCCTCGTTTTTCGTTTGTTTTTTCTCCTTCTGCTAATTGTTTTTGTTTGTATTATCTCAACTCCTAAGATCAAAGACCCATTCGTCTACCACTACAAACCCCAAAGTGCATGTGATAAGTGTATATAATATAAAGTTATCTGTAATTCCATTTTCCAAAAAGAAATGGTTATAGGAAGATTAAACAAACCAGATTTTTCTGCAGATAGATTCAACTGCAACATAACTAATTTCTGCACTGAAGATGAAGCGAAAAATCCATTCAAGGTCCTTTTTTTCCTCGATATATATGAAAGATTATATTGCTTTGAAAAGTGCCTTGCAGTGTTTACTATCTCTAGGAACTACCGTACTAAGGTTCTCTTCTTTCAACTTTTCATTGACCATCTTTCAGTCCTCCGTCCGCCGTCAGCGGAGACCAGACCATGCTCAGTGTCCAGGAACAGGGGCTGCTCCCACTCGACTGTGGCCGTGGGTCTTGGGTCCCACCGCGCACCCATCCCACCCCTGGGCCCCGCAGGCCGCGCTTACCCTGGCAGCCGCCGGCGCCGCCCCTAGGCCTGGGGACAGCACTTCCGGTTACTCTCCGGACACTCGAATCTGGGCTTCCTGGCGGCCGCAGACTCTGCGATAGTAGATCTAAGGGCCAGGCTTCGGGAAGGAAAGAAAAGCGAACCCGGCACGGACAAGACCTAGGAGCAACTCCCTTCGTGCGCCTAGACTAGAGGAGTTGGGGCCAGGCCGCCCACAGAGCGCTTTAACAGAGCGCTTCAAGGGCCCACAAGGCCGGCTACGCAAACCCTTTCAAGCTGGCTGGGAAGAGGCCGGCGCAGCCCCACCCCCGCAAGTCACATGATCACCCCTCTCCGGCCACTAGGGCGTTCCAACCCCGGCCCCTGGGCCAATAGGAGCCGAGTCTTCGGAAAGGGGCGGGGCCCGGGGCGCCTGCGCTCTGGGAGCCCTCGGCGTTTTGGTGGGAGGGGGTCTTGCTGGCGCAGTGGAAGGCCGGCTGCGGGGGGAGGCGATCGCTGCCACCCTGTCTAAGAAGAAACGGCACCAACAGCGTTGCAGTTTATGTTACAGTTTCCCCAAGGCTGTTAACCGAGGACTCAAACCAGGAGTAGAGTCACAAAGATTAGATGCCACTGACCCTGAGAGAAACACCAGGAAAGATCTGGGAGAGATAGAGGATTCTGAAGCACAGTGGCAGCGCTGTCATCCACGAAGATGTGGCCAGCGAGATGGAAGAAATGCTTTTAAAAGTGGTGGACTTGTGTGGGTGGAGAAAACAGCAGCGAGAGAAAGTACTGTGGGAGGTTCCCCAGTCCTTGCTGATTATGTTTCTGATTTGGAATCAGCTAAGAGTAAATCACCTAGTGGTGGGGCTGGAACAGAACTCAGTTCTTTAGGTTGAACACTGGGTATTCTCCCAGCTCAATTGTTAAATTAAAAAAAACAAACCAACAAAAAACAGTTTTTAAATGTCCTCAGCTATCAAAGGGAAAAGATGAGTAGTAGGAATATGGAAAACTAAACCCTGGGCAGCCTGGCCAAGGACTTGGATTGTGAGCCAGTTGCTGAGGTTTAGTAATTGGGGAGCGCAGTCTCTGAGACACGTATTCAGTATTAACTAATCATGTTCCTACTAGTGGAATTCTTCCGCAGAGGGTCTACAGCTTATTCTACTTTCATGTTTATTTTTAATGAAACTTTCAAGGTCAAAATATTCCACTCAGGGTTGTCTTAATATTTTGAATAATAACATTTTGAGTGTGTAGCATGTATCAAACACTGTTCTAATAACTTTACACTATTGTCTCATTCAGTTGTAACAAAAATCGTGTGAGATATGTATTCTTTTAGGAGGAAACTGGTGCACAGAGAGATTAAGTAGCTTGCCCAGGATCACATATTACTGATGAAGCTGTAATGTGAACAGTCTGATGCCAGATTCTGTGCTTGCAGTCACTATACTTATGGCTACCTCAATAGTGGTGAGTGTATTGTGTAAAATTATTGGAATAAAAATTAAGCAAGTTGGATTCTGATCTCTGCACTGCATATAACAAGGTCTGAATATGTGTAGAATTGAACTGTTCAACCTTTTCTTTCAGGATACATTGGCCCAAAGTACTCTTTATTAATTGTTTTATTCAGTTAAACATTTATTGAGCACCTCCAATTAACAGGACACCATAGGCCGGGCACGGTGGCTCACGCCTGTAATGCCAGCACTTTGGAAGGCTGAGGCGGGTGGATCACCTGAGGTCGCGAGTTTGAGACCAGCCTGACCAACATGGTGAAACCCTGTCTCTACTAAAAATACAAAATTAGCCAGGCGTGGTGGCGCATGCCTGTAATCCCAGCTACTTGGGAGGCTGAGACAGGAGAATCGCTTGAACCTGGGAGGTGAAGGTTGCAGTGAGCCAAGGGCACTCCAGCCCGGGCAACAAAAGTGAAACTCCATGTCAAAAAGAAACAAAAACCAAAAAAACAGGACACTATGCTGTGTGTTAGGAATTAAAGGCCAGTGAGACTCAATACCACTCCTTTAATGGCTCACAGTCTGGTATGGAGACGGCAGGGGTTTTAGGTGGTGTGGTAGAGGTAGAAGTTGTATAAGGTCATCTGGGGGCATAGAGGTGAAGCACTTTGTAAGAACTTTGAGAAAGAGTCAGAAAAGACTCTGTAGGAGATGAGACATAAGGTGAGACTCGAAGGAATAGAAGTAAGGAGTTGGCTGAAGATGAGCCTGAAATGGAAGATGGAAAATAAGTACAGAGACATTTGAATGTGATTTCAGTTAGTGGAATTTATCTTATATGAAATGGGAAGCAATTCTTGGAATTTCAAGCTGTGGAAATAGGGCAATTATCCCCACATTTAAAATCTTTAGAAAGATTATTTTTAGTTTTAAGTATGAGGATAAAGAGTAAGAAGGAGCAGCCAGGAAATTATGAGGAAAACAAAAGTGGACTACGACAACCAAGGGAGGAGAGTTTCAGTTAAGAGGTTTTTGACCAGACACTGTGGCACATGCCTGTAGCCCCAGCTGCTTGGTAGGCATAGGTGGGGGGATCACTTGAGCCCAGGAGTTCCAGACCAAGCTTGGGCAACATACTTCTTGTGGTTCTGAAGAGGATCTGGCTTTGAGGATAGAGATGAAGGGTATGGAAAGACTATTGTGACTAGAGTTGAGCAAGTGGGAAATTGTGAACTGCAGCCCCTGGAAAGGTGCATTTCAGTATCTTGTTTCCTAGAAGCCAGTAGGTCTGAAACTTCTTTCTGAGATTATCCACTGGAAAGTAGATTGGTCCTATGGAGAGTGTATGTATCTAGGGTTGCCAAATTTAGAAAGAAAAAAGTACAGGAAACCCAGTTACATTTGAATTTTAGATAAACAATAGATTTTAAAAAAGTTTTTAGGGAATATATTTTTCCCATGGGACATACACTAAAAAAATGGTTCATTGTTTATCCGATATTTAAATGTAACTGGGCATCCTGTATTGCATCTGACAATCATATAAGTAGCCTTTGTATGGAAACATATTCTGTGGAAGCAGTTCGTTTATAAGGGGCAGCATTTGTGATAAGATGAGGCAGGGAATTGCAGTTTCCTAGGATTTCTCCTTCTGAGAGAATAAAGAGACATCACCTAAGAGGGTTAGATCATGTGAGTGACTGAACTAATGTGATAAGATCTGATTATGGGAGAGAAAGATTGAGTTATATCTTTAGTTCGGCCAAATATTTGGTAAGAATAAGGACATGGCGATTTGGGAAATAAGAAATATAAGTTTGGACTAATGTCAAGTAGAAGGATAAGAGATTGGAGATCAGGGAAAAGGAGCAGGATCAGGGGACAACATAGGTTTAGTGTATGAATCATATTGAGGTGGAAAGGTAAATTTGAGTAGAAAGTGACGTCAAATAGGTTACTTATATGATCAATTAATGTTGGTTGGATGAACATGATTAGGCAAGCAAGTCAGAGGCATGCAGGGTATGAGTTGGGGTTGGATAAAGTATGGATAGTTGATGAGTTGTAGAGGAAAGTGATCAATGGATTTGAGACTGAGGAGAGAGTTTTTTTTGGAAGGTGTAGATACATTGGAATTCCATTTGAAAACCCTTTAAATTCTTCTTAGACACCATGCAGTCTTTTTATTTTTCTAAATCATTTTCCAAAGTGATTTACACACTAAAAAGGAATACCTTAGACCATGCAATAAAGGACAGACAGATGATCTAAAGAACAGGACATAATCAAGATTTCAGTGGAAATTCCCAAGGTACTTAAGGAAACAACTGGGGTCAGAGGAAGGCTAAAGAATACTATGGCAGGTTTTGGCTATGTTAGAATTTTTCCTGCCGAAATCTAAGCTGAAAGTTTCCACGAAGGAACTCTGAAAAAGAGAAAGTCCTCTTCTGTGTCTCTACGGCAGGCATATTTGCGATTTTTGGGATCCTGATGCATGCACTGTTAATGGAGATTTACAGGAGTCAGACCCAAAATCAACGTTAGTGGCCTCAATTTTTCTTCATCTGCTGCAGCTTGTTACTGAGAGTTCTGGTGATTGTTCCGTACCTGTTACTCCAACTAGATTTTAACTTAGTACAGAAAAGGTCTTTCATCCATGTCATCTCTTCTTTTTTTCTTTGTTTTTTTTTCTTTTTGAGACGGAGTCTCGCTCTGTCGCTCAGGCTGGAGTGCAGTAGCATGATCTCGGCTCACTGCAACCTCCACCTCCCTCATTCAAGCAGTTCTCCTGCCTCAGCCTCCTAAGCAGCTGGGATTACAGGCATGCGCTACCAAGCCCAGCTAATTTTTATATTTTAGTTGAGTTGGGGTTTCACCATGTTGGCCAGGCTGGTCTGGAACTCTTGACCTCAAGAGATCCACCTGCCTTGACCTCCCAAAGTGCTGGGATTACAGGCGTGAGCCACTGTGCCTGGCTTTTTTTTTGAGATGGACTCTTGCTGTGTCGCCCAGGCTGGAGTGCAGTGGCACAACCTCAGCTCACTGCAACCTCCACCTCCCGAGTTTGAGCGGTTCTCCTGCCTCAGCCTCCCAAGTAGCTGGGACCACAGGCATGCGCCATCACACCTGGCTAATTTTTGTATTTTTAGTAGCGACAGGGTTTCACCACGTTGACCAGGCTGGTCTCGAACACCCGACCTCAGGTGATCTGCCCGCCTCGGCCTCTCAAAGTGCTGGGATTACAGGCGTGAGCCACTGCATCCAGCCCATCTCTTCTTAATTTACCTTTTCTCTCATACATTGAATCTATCTGGCTATTCACCATTATTCCTTTTCCTGAATGATGCGTGGCTGCCTTTTCTGTGTTTTCCGTCCAGCTCTCCAGCTTATCTGTTTTACAGTGCTCTACTTTGTCTTTCCATCTTGACTGTTACAAGTTCATAAGACAATACCTCCCTCCCTGAGCTGAGGTAAGAATGAAATGTAGTAATTAATGCAAAGGTATCATCATAGTGACTCGGCATGTAATAGATACCCATTAAAATGTTAGTTCTAGGGCTGGCATGGTGGTTCACACCTGTAATCCCAGCACTTTGGGAAGCCAAGGTGGTGGATTGCTTGAGCTCAGGAGTTCGAGATCAACTCAAGAGCAGCCTAGGTAATGTGGTGAAACCCCATCTTCACCTAAAATACAAAAATTAGTCGAATGTAGTGGTGCACACTTGTGGTCCCACCAACTCAGGAGGTTGAGATGGGAGGATCCCTGGAGTCCTCTGGGAAGTTGAGGCTGCAGTGAGCTGAGATTGTGCCACTACACTTCAGCCTGGGTGACAGAGTGAGACCCTGTCTCAAAAAAAGAAAAAAATTCTTTAAAGCAGGGGTCCCCAACCCCTGGGCCACATACAAGTTAGTTGCTTCTTCAGAACTGGGCTGTACAGTAGGAGGTGAGTGATGGGCAAGTGAGTGAAGCTTCCATCTGTATTTACAGCTGCTCCCCATCACCCGCCTTACTGCTTGAGGTCCACCTCCTGTCAGATCAGCAGTGGCATTAGATTCTCATAGGACCGCGAACCTTATTGTGAATTGCAGATGAGAGACATCTAGATTGCATGCTCCTCATGGGAAGCTAATGTCTGATGATCTGTCACTGTCTCCCATTACTCCCAGATGAGTATTTGAATTACATTTGTAAGCCTCACTGTGCTGTACCTTTTATACTCATAGACTCTGTATCTAAGTTAATGAGACATTTTATGTAAATCCTGCCCAGTGAGTCTAGTCTAGTTGCACAAAGACAAGCTTAGAGCTCCCACTGATCCTACATTATGGGGAGTTCTATAATTATTTAATTATATACTACAATGTAATAATAATAGAAGTAAAGTGCACAATAAATGTAATATGCTTTAATTATCCTAAAACCATCCCCCTCCACCATCTGTGGAAAATTTGTCTTCCACGAAACTAGTCCCTGGTGCCAAAATGGTTGGGAACTGCTGCTCTAAGGGGAACCATGCTCTCTGTTTCTTTTTGGATCCAAAGTTTTCTGAGCCCGTAGATGCCAAACAAGTGCAAAAAAATTTGAAACTTTTTTCTTTTTGAGTCTTTTTTTTTGTCTTTGTCTCTGTCTCTTGATTTTATTATATCTTTGTTTTTCATTTACATTCAGATTTCTCTTTTGCTATTTCTGTTTCCCAAGATTCCTTTCATTCAGCCCATCCTCAAGCAGATATACTTGGAGGACTAGCCTCAAGGGTACTAACACAACCTGAGGAAGGTAAACTGTAAGGAAGTTTAGGTGAACCTAAAGCATATTCCCTGAATAGAGTGAATCTTTCTGAGATTGCCCACAGTAGAGGTGACAGCACCTGAGTGTTTGAGTTACATTTGTAAGTCTCATTGTGCTGTACCTTTTATATTCATTGGCTCTGTATCCTAGTTAATACATTTTCTGTAAATCCTGCCTAGTGAGTCATGCAGACTCAGGTTTCAATTTAGAAAAGAAGGTAGTTTAAAAAGGATTCATTATCAGCTCAGATGAGCAAGTAAAACCTTGTATAGACCCTTGTAGTCCCTCCTCTTCTGCAGCTGAAGAACAATATCTTTAAGTTAACAGAAAGCATATTAATTGTCAGTTTATCAATCAGCAACTGTTTGCTGATGTGTGTAAGATAATAGAAGCCCTCAAAACAAATGGGAGAAACTTTTGCAAGTGAAGGAAAAAAGTAGAAAATAAAAATAAGAAGCAAGTAAAACATAGTCAAGAAATAACTTCTGGTTCAATGGAATTGTTTTGTAAGATACCAGTGATTCTTCTTTTTGGAGAACAATCATAAAGTACCTCAACCTCAAGCTAACCAAAAATCTAGGTAGACATTCTTGAACACAATTGGGGCAGTTTTAATTTATTCATTTGGTGAGTAGCAGACTCTCACCAAAGGGCTTTATGTGTGTGGGAAATCATGCCCCCAAATCGCTTTGGAAGAGGGAAGCAGCAGTTCTCAAGACAGATATGACCCTGTATACCCTAAAACAGCAGTCCCCAATCTTGTGGGGGCCAGGGACTGGTTTCATGCAAGACAATTATTCCACAGACTGGTGGGGCAAGGTGGTTTTGGGATGAAACTGTTCCACCTCAGATCATCAGGCATTAGGTTTTCATAAGAAGCACACCACCTAGATCCCTTGCATGAGCAGTTCATAATAGGGTTCGTGTTGCTATGAAAATCTGATCTGACAGGAGGCGGAGCTCCGGTGGTAATGCTCGGTTGCCTGCCACTCATCACCTGCTATGGCAGGTCACACATTGTTGCTAGTCTGCGCCCTGGGGTTTGGGGACCCCTGCCCTAAGAGGAATGTGAATTAGTTTTTTGTTGTTGCTGTAACAAGTTACCACAACTTAGTGTATTAAAAATATATTAATAAATGTATTATCTTAAAGTTCTGTAGATCAGAAGTTTAAACTGGGTTTCACTATGTTGGCAGTGTGTGTCCCTTTCTGGAGAATCTGTTTCCTTGCTCTTTCTGGCTTCTAGGCTTCCTACATTCCTTGGCTTATGACCCTCTTCTTTCATCTTCAAAACAAGCAATGAAAGATCAGTTCCTTCTCATGTCACTTCGTTCTAATCCTCTGTCATTTAATTGCTCTCTGAAACAGCAGAGAGAGGTTGTTTACTTTTAAGGATTCATGTAATTAAATTAGGCTCACCTGGATAATCCAGGCTAATCTCTCTAGCTCAAACTCCTAACTTTAATCACATTTGCAAAGTCATTGTTCCCATGCAAAGTAATAGATTCACAGGTTCTGAGGATTAAAATACGAATATCTTGGAGGGGGGCATTATTCTGCCTATGCAGAATTTTAATTATACTTTCCCCATTTTCCTTCTTTCTTGACTGATTTTTGTCACGATTTGGAAAATTATAAATTTCCCAAGAAATGCCAGGAAGGAATTTCCATATGGAAACATGGCAATACAGCCTGGAAAGCACTATGGACAGTTGCATGGACCTCACAGTAAGGAAATCTAACATAGGCTTCAGGCTGGGGAGAGCTTTATAGACAATGGATGTCATAAATAGGTTTTTGAAGAATATGTAGTAGTTATCTTTGTGAAAGTTAAGGGAAGAGAGGATTGGAGCCATTAATTCACAGGACTGTGATTAAACTGAGACATACACATTTCATTTTTAGGGGGAAGTTAAAAATAGTTTAGTATGAGTTCAAATGTAGGAGGAGAGGGATATAAAATTTGAGAGTTAAGCATTGGACCTGTGTAAGTCTATTCTCATGCTGTTAATAAAGACATATCTGAGACTGGGTAACTTATAAAGGAAAGAGGTTTAATTGACTCACAGTTCAGGATGGCTAGGGAGGCCTCAGGAAAGTTAGAATCATGGCAGAAGGGGAAGCAACCATGCCCTTCTTCACATGGTGGCAGCAAGGAGAAGTGCCAAGCAAAAGGAGAAAAAGCCCCTTATAAAACCATCAGATTTAGTGAGAACTCATTATCATGAGAACAGCATGAGGGTAACTGACCCCCATGATTAAATTACCTCCCACAGGGTCCCTCCTGAGACATGTGGGGGTTGTCGGAACTACAGTTCAAGATGAGATTTGGGTGGGGACAGAGCCAAACCATATCAGACCAAACATAAAAGTCTAAGAAGCTTTGACTTTTAAGACAACATTAGGAAGTGCTTGAAGGTTTGTAAACAGTGGCACCACAAAAAAAAAAAAAAAAAAAAAGCTGTGTTTTTGAGATAGCTTCAGAGGCTACAATACAGAGTGTACATTTAAATACAATCAATAGATTAAAATGAAATAAACAGGGAAATGGTTTGAGAACATGCATAGTAATCACAATGAGAAACATTACAGTGACTTCAACTAAGTAGAGCAAGAAAAACACTAATATACAGCTACTGCGAGTGCAAGTGAATGCAGTAAATTTGGAAAAGAGTGTGGCAGTATCTAGTTGAAGATACACTTTTCTTACCAGCAATTCTGTAATCACTTGACAGGTTCTTCTTGTCTGCTGCGCAGAAAAGCCAATGCAGTGAGAACAGCAGGTTTTGCAGCAAAGAAAGAGTTTAATAATTGCAGGGCCAGCCAAGTGGAAGGATGAAAGATAATGCTCAAATCCACCTCCCTGAGCATTTGGAGGCCAGAGTTTTTCAAGGATAGTTTGGTGGACAGGGGGTAGGGACTGGGGAATGCTAATTTGTTGGGTAAGGGATGAAATCATAAAGGGTCAAAGCTGTCTTCTTGCACTGAGTCAGTTCCTGGATCAGGGGTTCATGAGACCAGCTGAGCCAGTTTTTTTTGTTGTTTGCTTTTTGTTTTTTTGTTTTTTTGAGACGGAGTCTCACTCTGCCACCCAGGCAATGGTGCGATCTCGGCTCACTGCAACCTCCACCTCCTGGGTTCAAGCGATTCTCCTGCCTCAGCCTCCTGAGTAGCTGGGATTACAGACGCGCACCACCATGCCTGGCTAATTTTTATGTTTTTAGTAGAGATGGGGTTTCCCCATGTTGGTCAGGCTAGCGGCTTTTTGTTTGTTTGTTTGTTTTTTAATGGGTTACCTGTCCAGGTGACATCAGCTGGTCCATCAAAATACAGGGTCTAAAAAATACATCAAGCACCAATCTTAGGCTTTACAGTAGTGATGTTATCTATAGGAGCAACTGAGGAGGCTACAATCTTGTGACTTCCAGCTACATTATTCCTGAACCATAATTTTAACCTTATGCCTAATTTGTTAGTTTTACAAAGGTAGTTTCAGTCCCTTAGCAGGGAGGGGTTACTTTTGGGAAGCAGCTATTATCATCTTTGTTTTAAAATTAAACTATGAATTCCTCCATAGTTAGCTTGGCCTATGCCCAGGAATGAACAAGGACAGTTTGTGAAGTTAGAAGCAAGATAGTCAGCTATGTTAGATTTTTCTCACTGTCATAATTTTTGCAAAGATGGTTTCAATTCCACTCATTTTTGCATAGAAAATGCATGCTTATGTGTACCAGGATACACATTCAGGAATGTTTAGAGTGGCATCATTTGTAATAACTGAAGGATAGATATAATGTAATAGCTATCAATGGCAATATGGTTATACAAACTGTGATGTGTTCATACGTGGAAGTCTGTATTGCAATGAACAGTATCAGGCAAGTGGTCATCCAACAACATAGATGGAATTTAAAAACATAATGAAAAGTTGATATCAAAGAAGCCAGATCTAATAATATCCTAAATGATTCCATGTGTATAAATATTGAAAACATACATGTATACATGCATGCATGTATACATACATACACTCAGAAGAGTTTGGAAAAGGAAGACTTGCTGAGTCTTCTGGCCTCCATCTTTCTCCCATGCTGGATGCTCCCTGCCCTCAAATATTGGACTCCAAGTTCTTCGGCTTTTGGACTCTTGGATTTACACCAGTGGTTCGCCAGGGGCTCTTGAGCCTTTGGCCACAGACTAAAGGCTGCACTGTCAGCTTCCCTACTTTTGAGGTTTTGGGACTCGGACTGGCTTCCCTGCTCTTCAGCTTGCAGACAGCCAATTGTGGGACTTCAGCTTCCGATTGTGTCAGTCAGTACTTCTTAATGAACTCCGCTTCATATACACATCTATCCTGTTAGTTCTGTCCTTCTAGAGAACCCTGACTAATACAGATCTAGGTGTACATACAAACAGATTTTGTGTACATACATACATGTATACACACATACACGTATACAACATACATCCCTACACATGCCTGTGTGCACACATACATGTACACGTGCATGCAAGAATACGTGTCCATACATACGTGTGCACATCCACACACATGCCTACACACATGCATGTGTGCACACATGTGCACACACAAACATGTATGCAAATGCATGCACACACAAATAACATATGTGTGCATACATGCATGTACACACATGCACACACGTGCACATACATATGTGCATACACACATAATGCATGTACAATATATACATACATGTAGGCACACATGAGCACAATGTATACATGTACACATGCATATATGTGCATACACATGTACACATGTGTAAACAAATGCATGCAAACATGCATGTGCACATTTATGCGTACACGAATACCTACACACAAACATACAAACATTCTGTGTACACACATACATGGATACACATGCATGCATGCACACACACACACATGCATCCATGCCTGCAGGCATGCATGTGCAGACATATGTGTACACAAATGCATACCCGCAGATGCATGTACACATGAGTACACACACATACAGTTATACACATATGTAGATGCATGTGCACACAGGTGCACATACATATATACATACACGTGTGTATTCACGTGTACATGCATGTATGTACGTATGCATGTGCAGATACACGTGTAGAAACATACACACACGTAATGTACACATATGTATAGTGCACATATGCACGCACTTGTACACACATTTAGGCATACACATGCATATGTAGATGCATGTGTACATGCATGTATACATCTACACATGCACAGACACACATACATGTACACATGCATACTGTGTACATAATACATGTATACAGATACATGTGCGCATGCACGTGTACACACATGCATGCATACACACATGCATTTGTAGATATATGTGTAGGTGTGTACACACAACATACACATATGCATCCACACATACACATATACATATGAGGTGGCACGTTCAGCTTTCAAGAGGACCATCAGGGACTTTGTCACCTTGACAACTTTAGCCTTGCCTTCTAGTCACCTTGCCGGAACACTTGTGCCCGTGTTTTTCTAGCACTGTCATAAGAATACTTTTACCTATCAAGGCAACTGGGGGTTAGGAGAGCTTTTTGCACAGGAGGCTACTTGGCTTTGTTTGAAAACTGATGATACATGAGGATTGGGGTGGTGAATCACTCACATGTTTCTTCATATGAAAAATGAGGACTGTGGGATTCTCTGGCTGGATCTCAGCACCTAGAAATGGATCTGGGCAATAGGAACTGCTCAGTATTAGCTACCGCTTTGGTTGCCTTCTCCTTGCGGAAAGCTGGCCTCTCACACTGAATTTGTATCATAGGCACTCATGAGGGTCTTGACTGTATCAATATCTGATGAGAGATTTTAGTGCAGTTCTGTTATCGTGGCTGATTTGCTCATTTGGTAGCTAGCATCCAGCTTCTTGTGAACATTAAAATAAAATAAAATAGATTATGGAGGAATAGAATACAGATACGTAGTAAGGTATTATTTTCCAGACAAAATGGATTTGGATAAAAGAATCTAATTAAGAACTTGTGCATGATTCTTTTAAAATTCTTTTGAATCCATTTTTTTTTTTTTGGCCTGTTTTCAAGTCTCCGATTTTTGTCACCCTTCTCACACCAGGTCAGAGAGATAGCTAATGGTCAGAAGGAATCTTCCAGCAATGACCATAGCGCTTTCTCCTGCCTGCAGATGCCTCTTTTTATTCAGCCTTTATGGGAAGTAGCAGCACCATCCAGTTCTCAGAGAGCAAGCTCTGGAGTAACTGAGCTAACCCCAGTTACCCCAGTGGATTTACAGATTGAGGTTACAACCCAGCAGGGTTCTCTTCCTGGAAAGAATAGCCTTCCCTCTAAGGTTTCAAATAGACCCTGGGTGAGGAAGGAGCCCTAAACAGCTTGAAAAATTGAATGCTCTTTGGGCAAAGCAGGAAGCCGTCCTATGGAAGAGCATCATTTGAGCATAAATCAGGTTATCAGGACAAACAGAGTGTTCAGGAGGTCAAGATGGTTAAGCAGAGACCCTGACCAGAATGTCCGTGGCGGAGAGAAACAATCTTGTTGGGAAAAGGATGACAATAATTGGGGACTTAGAATAAAGGCTAAAAATGATTCAAAGAGAATGCAAAAAGAATCAGGCACAAATCGTTTACTATACTCTGTTATGCAAATCTCACCTTACTATGTGTTTGTATTCTATTCCTCCACAATCTTTATTTTATTTTAATGTTCAAAGAGACTTGTAGGTGCCAATTAAATGAACAAAACAGCCAGAGACAACAGAACTGCCCTAAAAAAAGTCCCGCATCAGCTCTTGAGAGCAGGTTCCTTAAAGGTGAACAATATTCCACATACAAGGACTTTTTCAGCACCATGCATTAGAAATGGAAGTGAATGTTTATTATTTTTTGTATAAGTTGGTTGATATGGCTTTTCAGCTTCCCTCAGTATCATTATCCAAATTTTGTAGATGACACTAAAGCTCAGAGGAGTTAAACCATTTTCCTTAAATCACATAGCTTTAAATAGGAAAACCAGATATGAAAAGCAGATTTTTTTTCTAAATTAAAAAACCAAAAACAAAAACACGTGAGCTCTTGCTTTACCCTAGCACATAGTCTTGCCATCTGTTTTCTCCACACCAGGTGATTCCTGTAACATTCATTCACATAACAAATACAAATAAATGAGTGGATTCATTCATCAGATATTAATTCAGAATCCCTTTTGTGCCTTCCAGAAATCTGGACCATCTCACAACCCCCAGAGAGTCTCAGCTACAAGGAACAAGTGATAATGCCATCCCACTTTTATAAACACACACACACACACATGCAATACACACACAATCATTTAATCATTTTTAATTATTTAATTATTTTTTAAAAATCAGTGACACTTTAGCTGGGCAGGTCTAGATAGGTCTTCTTTGCTGGGACGTGTCTTTTTCTGTCCTGGAATACCCTAAACTTCACATTTTGGCAGCGTGAGTTTTCCCTTTGTGACTTTCTCCTTCTTCCCTTTTTTCCTCCTTCTTTGCAGAGAATGAGTAGCCACTGCACCTTGCCCTGCGCCATCAATGAGAAGATCTGCTCTTAGTAGAGCCCTGCTTTCCCGCTGAAGGCCCTGAAATCACCTGTGTTCCAGGCCACCCACTAAGGATAAACAAAGCTTCCCTGATATGGGGAATTAGCTCAAGTGGTAGAGCGCTTGCTTAGCATGCAAGAGGTAGTGGGATCAATGCCCACATTCTCCAAGCTTTATTATTTAGGTACCCAAACCCGAGTCAGTGTCTGAGAGCAAGACACTGCTCTCGGTGTCTTTGGTTCAAGACATAGGAGCAGCAACAATACAGGACTGGTGACAGCTTCCTGCTGGCATTCAGTATAGTGTAGATCTACTGTGTAATTAATTTTCTGTTTCTTCGAGGAGCTGTGAAACCAAAGGACATATAAAACTGCTCTTTTCTCCCTGTTTCTGCCTGCAGCTTGGTCCTAAATGTGAGACAATTGTGAAAAGTGGAGGACAGAGCCACCTGGTTAAATACAGCCCCAGCTTTCTGGTGAGAGGACTGAAACCAAGATGTGTCAAGTAACTAGAATGTGCCTGGACAGATACTGTAGAAAGCAAAACCATAAAGTTGTTCATGAGCTTGTGGACGCACCTGCCAGCTGTGAATAAGTGGCTCTAATCCCGAACAACTTACCTAAAAAGAGCCTGAGAGCTGAACTGTGCAATGGCCCACTTTCCAGTCCTCACTGACCACTGGGTTGCACACACTTTGGAGATCTCTGAACAGCAGTGTCAAGGCTTTCAAATAGAGTTATCTTTGAAACGACAACACATGAAAGTCTGGTTGGTACTTGGAGCTTAAATACAAGGCAATTGTGTGCCTGCAAAAACAAAAATAGCAATATTATCCTTAAGATTTCAACAAGACACAGTGTCTCATCACATAATCCAAAGAAGTCCAGGTTACAAGCCCCACAATATTCAGCATTATGAAAAAACAGGGAGATCTTAATTCACATGGCAAAGAGAATCCTCGAATAACAATATTGAGAGGACACAGATGTCAAAATCATCTGACACATACATTAAAGCAGATATTATAACAATGCTCCTAGAATCGGGGATAACATTCGTGAAGTGAATGGAAAGTTGGAAAGTCTCACCAAATATTTCGAATACATAAACACCAATTTAAACTTAAGAATTAAAAAAATGTATTAACCAAAACTCTTAGGGGAAATAAAAAGCTTAATTGGAGGATCTCCATAATCGAATGCAGAAGACTAAGGAAAAAGTCAATGAACTTGAAAACAGAACACGAATACCTACATAATCTGAACTATAGAGAGAAAGGAGGATTTTATTGTCTCTGAACAGAGGCTCAGGCACAAATAAAAAATAACAAATCCAACATTCACATTATTGTAATCTGGAAAGAAGAGGACAAAGTGGTCTTTGTGGGATAAAACTTTGAACAATTAATAGCTGAAAATGGTTCAAATTTGTCAAAAGATATAAACCAGATTTTTAAAGTTCAGTAAATGTCAATCAGGATAAACCCAAAGAAACCCATAGCAAGGCATATCATAATCAAACTGCTGAAAACTAAGAAAATACAAAACAATTTTGAAAGCAGCCAAAGGGAAATGAAAGAGAAACTACCAAATGAATGATTGTAGATTTCGCATCAGGAACCATAGGGGCCAGAAAAAATGTCATAACATTCGGTAAGTAACAAAAGAAAAAGACATATCGACCCAGAATGCTATGTGGAGCAAAAGTATCTTCCAGACATAAAGGCAAATAAATGCATTCTCAGTGGAAGGTAAGTAAATACATTCTCATTCTTAGGAAGACTGCTGGAAAAGAATTAGCAAAGATTTGAGATAAGAAAAATGATACCAGAAGGAAACTTAGAACATCATCAGTGAAGGAACAAAAGCAGAAATAGAACATGTCTGGGTAGACATAACAGACTATTATTCTTCCCTTGAGTTCCTTAAGGTATGTTTGATGATTGAAAGCAAAAATTGTAACTTTATCAGAAGCAGTTGTCATTGTATCTAGATGTACTACATACAGAAGATAAAAGGGTAAGTGTAATGGGACTAACTCTTGATGAAGTTTCTTTATTCAACTTGAATGGTAAAATATTGATTCTAAGTATACTGTGAAAGGTTATATATGTATATGGTAAACCCTAGACCACCTACTAACAAGATTTAAATAAACCAAAACAAGATAGAAAGAGGAACATAGATGAATTAAAACAAAGGGAAACAAGGTTAATACATTATTAAATAATAGACCTATCTAAAAACTTATCTATAATGACATTACATGTAAATAATCTAAACGCATTAATTAAAAACTAGAGATCATCAGAATGTGTTAAAAATAAATATGCTGACTAAAGAAAGCCACCTGCTATACACTTATATATAAGAATAAAAGTTATAGAGCAGATTGAAAGAAAAGAGTGGGAAAAGATACCTCATGCAAGCACTAATCAAAGACAGCTGTGATGTATATATAAAAAAATCAGACAAAGTACATTTGAAAGCAGAGAAACTTTTCAGGAATAATGAGGCCTGCTAAATAATTATGATTGTCAATTTTCCAGGGGAATATTGTCCCAAGTGTATATGAGAACATAGAGCTTCAAAACTCATAAACAAAATTGGATACGCAAGGTAAAAACAGAAAAATCCAATTAGAGTTGCCGACACTAACACTCCTCTCTCGGTAATTGGTAGACTTAGTAGAAAACAAATCAGCAAACATATTGGAGAATTAAACCATACCATCCAGTAATGGACCTATTAACTTCATAATGCAAAATAAAAATTTAGGTAGAAGGCAAAGACAAAAGTTAAAAGAAAAGTAAAGATCATGTTATAACCAGGAAATTAAGAGTAGTCCAGCATATAGAAGAGTGCTATTATTGGAAGAGTTATTTAGTTATTTTGAGACATTTTTTGAAAGAGTTATTTAGCTGGAAATGACAGAAAGACTGAAAATGGTGAATCTGGAGGTGGATCTCCCCTTGTCCATATTTATTTTGTCTTTTTTTGAGGTCTAGGGTGTCTATACTTCCTCTGAATTACCTACAGTGTCTGGCACAGAGCATCTCCCCAGTGAATATGTATTAAATGAGTAGAAAGTAATTTATAGATTCAAAAGAACTGGGCAAGAATAATGTTCATTATTTGACAAATCCTTGAATGTAGTGTTTGAAGGAAGACAATAAGTCAAAGTTGACTTGAAAGGTAAGCCCAAGTCCAGACTCTTTTCTGTAATCCCAGCACTTTGAGAGGCCGAGATGGGCAGATCCCGTGACACCAGGAGTTTGAGACCAGCCTGGACAACACAGTGAAACCCTGTCTCTACAAAAAATACAAAAATTAGCCAGGTGTGGTGGTATGCATCTGTAGTTCCAGCTACTCAGGAGGCTGAGGTGGGAGGATCGCTTGAATCTGGGAGGCGGAGGTTGCAGTGAACAGAGATTGCACCGGTGCCTGGACAACAAAGTGAGACCCTGTCATAAAATAAAATAAAATAAAATAAAATAAAATAAAATAAAATAAAATAAAATAAAATAAAATAAAATAGTTAAACCCAGGCCGGGAGGGGTAGCTCACACATGTAATCACAGCACTTTGGGAGGCTGAGGTGGGCGGATCACCTGAGGTCAGGAGTTTGAGACCAGCCTGGCCAACATGGTGAAACCCCATCTCTACTAAAAATACAAAAATTAGCTGGGCGTGGTTGCAAGCACCTGTAGTCCCAGCTACTCAGGAGGCTGAGACAGGAGAATTACTTGAACCTGGGAGACAGAGGTTGCCGTGAGCCAAGATCTCACCAGTGCAGTACAGCGTGGGTGACAGAGCAAGTAAGTAAAGAGGAGGTTTGGAATTAGATATTTGGTGTATGAATGAATGGGCTAAAGTGCAAAAGAACAGGCAGAATAACTGAGCTGGTACAGAGGAAAAAAATCACACTTAAAATCTAAAAGTATCTGCTTCTCAATTTGGGCTTTCCCACTTAGCAGCTTTGACACCTTAGAAAGAACACTTAACTTACCTGAGCTTCTATTACTTCTAAAAAGTGCATAAAGTGCAGGCTAAGACATAGTTTTTTTGGCAAAATTCAGTCAGACTACATCAAGTAAACTCCCTAAGTCTCCTAGTATAATTCATGGCACAAAAACTGGGGAAAAAACAGGGAGGATATGTTTATAAGTTCAGTTTGGGTTTTTTGTTGAGTGAATGTCTCCAGTCATAGAGATGCAAGTGTAGATACACCGTAAGAGTAGTATGAACAGGAGACACCTTGGAAGGCTATTTCTTCCTTCATTCATTCAGTTGGTCACTCAATGAACTATCATGAATTGAGCACTACCTCTGTTTCTTATCAACAAAGGAGACTACGGAAAAGAAGAGTGACTA
This sequence comes from Homo sapiens, assembly GCF_000001405.40. NCBI lineage: Eukaryota > Metazoa > Chordata > Mammalia > Primates > Hominidae > Homo > Homo sapiens. The sequence goes on from NC_000006.12 coordinate 26,677,639, forward strand.
AGATCTCTGAAGAAGGGAAAAGCTAGATGACTGGGCCACAAGAGGAAAAAAAGCAGCAAGACAGGTACAATTGTTTCTGGTCCCTCAAGCCAGAAGGTCCTATCATTATGTGAATACTGGAAACGGGTGGACTCCACCTGTCCTGAGTGGGGAATTCTTCCAGTGCAGCACTGGCTGATAAGCAGTGATTTCCAAGTAGCATTGATTGTGTTCTTTAAAAGCTAGGAATTGATAAAGCAGCAGTGTGTGGGAAATGAGATTTAATAATCTGGATCTCAGCTCTTAGGAACAGTTGCTCTCTTAGAGCAGCAGGCCACCTGTCAATCTCGTATTCTGAAGGTCCTGAGTTTGAACATCAGACAAGGTACAGCTTTTGCCGCTCTTTCCGTTAAGGGAAATGAAATAGGTGTGATAAATAATGTAACACAAATGCTATGAGATAATGATTTCAAGACAGTCCAAATATTAGCTTAAAATTTAAAAATGAGCTTTTCTTTTTTCTTTCTTTCTTTCTTTCTTTCTTTCTTTCTTTCTTTCTTTCTTTCTTCCTTTCTTCTTTCTTTCTTTCTTTCTTTCTTTCTTTCTTTCTTTCTTTCTTTTTCTCTTTTTCCTTCTTTTGGCTTCTTAGTGGTTTGAATACAAGGCGTGGTGAAGAGATATAAATTACACAAGAAACTACAAGCTATGTCATATGTCTACCTCTCTAGCTGACAAGGGAAGCAGGGGAAATTTCTCTTCCAATTGTCTGCTCTGAAGGTCATCCAAACATAATTATCAGGTGGGGTGGGTGAACTCTTTTATTCTTTTAATCATCCAACAAATATTTCTCAAGCGCATACCTTGTTAAGAGACTGTTTTGGGTACAGTAATTCACAGTGAATAAAACACAGATATTCTCACCTTTGTGATACTACGTCATAGTTGCAAGGAGTGGGGAGAAACAGACAGGAAGCAAAGAAGAAAAATAAACAAGAAGTCATGTGATAATATCTACTGGGAGGGACTCATTAGGCAGTAAAGGACTCGGCAGTGTGGAGGTGACACATTCAGTTTTCAGTAGAAGAATCAGGGAAGTTGTCACTTTGAAGCTATCATTTAGCTTCCCTTTCTTTCAATCTTCTTTCTTTACATGGGAAATAAGGATTGTGGGATATTTTTGGGTGGATCACAGCACCTAGAGATGGACCTGATCAATAAGAACTGCTCAGTAAGCATTAGCTACTGCTTCGGTTGCCTTCCCCCTGTGGAGTGCTGGCCTCTTGGATTGAGCTTGCATCATAGGTGTTCAGTAGGAGCTTGCTTAGTGGATTTATAGGTTGAGGTTAGAACCCACTGGAATTCTCTTCCTGGAAAGAACAGGCTTCTCTTTAAGGTTTCATACAGACCCTGGTTGAGGAAAGAGCCCTAAATTGCTTGAAAAATTGAATGCTCTATGGGCAAAGCAGGAAGCCCTCCTATGGAAGGGCATCATTTGGGCATATATCAGGGTCTCAGTAAAAACATGAGTGCTCAGGAAGTCAAGATGGTTAAGCAGAGAATCTGACCAGAATGTTCATGGTGCGAAGAAATAATCTTGTTGGGTGTAGGATTACAACAACTGGGAAATTAGAATACAGGCTAAATGAGATTCAAAAATAATACAACAAGAATCAGGCACAAATCCTTTACTACTACATTCTTTTGTACAAATCCATTTTGCCTAGAAAATCGTACCTTACTATACATCCCTATTGTGTTTCTCCACCATCTATTTTACTTTTTAAACTTTATTTCATTTTTGTCATCACAGAAGCTTGTTGCTACAAAATAAATGAGCAAATCAGCCAATGGCAACAAAGCTGCACTGATCTCTCTCCTTAGACCTTCAGAACATTTTCCTTAAAGGTGAACAATACTCCACGTTCAAGGACTTTTTCAGCACTATGTGCTAGAAACTATGCTGACTGTTTATTAATTTTTATGTAAGTTGGTCGATATAGTTTCTCAGCTTCCCCAAGTATTATTACCACAGTACTATAGATGACACTGAAGCTCAGAGCAGTTAAACCATTTTCCTCAGATCACATAACTTTAAAGAGGGAAACCAGATATGGGAAGCAGATTTCTTTCTAAATGAAAAAATCATGAGCTCTTGCTTTCACTTAGCACATAGTCTCATCATCTGTTTTCTTCACACCAGCTCACTCATGTAACATTCATTCATTTACCAAATACAGATAAATGAGTGGATTTATTCTTGCTTTCATCAGATACTAATTCAAAATCGCTTCTGTGTCTGCTACACTGTGCTCAAGACTTGCCAGTGCCTTTGTCTCCTCTCCCTCAAATCTCTCCACCCAATGTCTTGACAAATACTGTAGATTCTTCCTGCATAACCTCTCCAGAATCTTTTCCTTCTGTTATCCATGCTACAGTGTTTATGGAGGATGTTTTCTTCACCTATGAAGTGTGATGGGGGCTGAAGCTGCAGCAAGACTCATGCTGTTCACCTCAGGAGCTGACACAGTAAATGTGGATAAACCTCAATCCTTTAATATCTTTATGACTTCTTTCCCAGTTACCCCAGCGAATTTACAGATTGAGGTTAAAACCACAACAGGATTATCTTCCTGGAAAGAATAGGCTTCCCTTTAAGGTTTCACATAGATACTGGGTGAGGAAGGAGCCCTAAATTGCTTGAAAAATTGAATGCTCTTTGGGCAAAGCAGGAAGCCTTGCTATGGAAGAGCATCATTTGAACATAAATCAGAGTCTCAGTACAAACAGAGTGCTCAGGACATCAAGATGGTTAACCAGAGAGCCTGGCCAGAATATCTGCGGTGGAGAGAAACGATCTTGTTGGGAGAAGGATGACAATAATTGGGGACTTAGAATAAAGGCTAAAAATGATTCAAAGAGAATGCAAAAAGAATCAGGCACACATCCTTTACTCTGTTGTGCAAATCTCACCTTACTGTGTGTTTGTATTCTATTCCTCCACAATCTTTATTTTATTTTATTTTTATGTTCACAGAGATTTGTTGGTGCCAACTAAATGAGCCCAACAGCCAGTGACAACAGAACTGCACTAAAAAAAGTCCCTCATCAGCTCTTGAGAGCAGGTTCCTTAAAGGTGAACAATATTCCACATACAAGGACTTTTTCAGCACCATGCATTAGAAATGGAAGTGAATGTTTATTATTTTTTGTATAAGTTGGTTGATACGGCTTTTCAGCTTCCCTCAGTATCATTATCCAAATTTTGTAGATGACACTAAAGCTCAGAGGAGTTAAACCATTTTCCTCAAATCACATAGTTTTAAATAGGAAAACCAGATATGAAAAGCAGATTTTTTTCTAAATTAAAAAAAAAAAAAAAACTTGAGCTCTTGCTTTACCCTAGCACATAGTCTCACCATCTGTTTTCTCCATGCCAGGTCATTCATGTAACATTCATTCACATAACAAATACAAATAAATGAGTGGATTCATTCATCAGCTATTAATTCAGAATCTCTTTTGTGTCTACCACACTAGGCTCAAGACTTCCCAGTGTCTTTGTCTCCTCTCCCTCAAATCTCTCCACCCAATGTCTTGACAAATACTGTAGATCCTTCCTGCACAGCATCACCAGAATGTTTTTCTTTCTTTTCATTCACCTCTGTCATCATCCATGCTATGGTGTTTATGGAGGATGTATTCTGCAGCAGGAAGTGTGATGGGCACTGACGCTGCAGAAAGACTCCTGTTGTCCACCTCGGGAGCTGACACGATAAATGCGGGTAAATCTCAATCCTTTAATATCTTTATGACTTCTTTCTCTTTCTCTTCAATTTCTATTTTCTCATGTTCAAGCTCTGACATTCAAAACTAAACACCTTTCTCTAACATGTTGCTTTAATTATTTAAGCATTCTGCCTGGGATTTTTTCAATTACTCTTGGGAGTTTTCATAAAACTCTACCAACATATCTCCAAGTGGCCAGGCTTTTCAATCACTGCTTCCCTCCGTGTGTATTTCACACACACACACACACACACACACACACACAGCACTTAAATTGAACAGGTTTATTTCTTCACACAGGAATTCCTACGAACAGCCCGGTTTTCTCCACCATATGTCCACTCCTTCTCTGCATAGCTGAATTTTGATTCTTACACTCTAATATTTTACATATTCTTACACTCTGATATGATCTTGTCTCTTATTCTTTATGGCTCTGCTCTGTAATTTTGTTGTTGTTGTTCTGAGATATAGTTGGACATGTAACTTGTACATGACACACCTTAGCAAGGAGGCAACCTATATCTCAGATGCAAGTGAAAGAAGCACTCCCCAGGGGTTTCCTAAGGTAGTGGTCAGCACGCTGGCTTCATTCCTGAAAGGGCCTAGTTATGAAAACAACAGGAGCTTTTTGCCTTCCAGAAATCTGTACCATCTCAAAATCCCCAGAGAGTCTCAGCTACAAGGAACAAGTGATAATACTATCTCACTTTTATAAACACACACACACAACACACACACACAAAATCATTTAATCATTTTTAATTATTTAATCATTTTTTAAAAATCAGTGACACTTTAGATGGGCAGGTCTAGGCAGGGCCTCCTTTCCTGGAATGTGCCTTTTTCTGTCCCGGAATACCCTAAACTTGACATTTTGGCAGTGTGAGTTTTCCCTTTTTGACTTTCTCCTTGTTCCCTTTCCTCTTCCTTCTTTGCAGAGAATGAGTAGCCACTGCACCTTGCCCTGGGCCATCAGTGAGAAGATCTGCTCTTAGTAGAGCCCTGCTTTCCCGCTGAAGGCCCTGAAATCCCCTGTGTTCCAGGCCACCCACTAAGGATCAATAAAGCTCCCCTGATGTGGGGGAATTAGCTCAAGTGGTAGAGCGCTTGCTTAGCATGCAAGAGGTAGTGGGATCGATGCCCACATTCTCCAAACTTTATTATTTAGACCCTGGGTCTCCAAACACTCAGGTCTCCAAACCCAAGTCAGAGAACAGGATGCTGCTTTGGTTCAAGATGTAGGAGCAGCAACAATACAGGGCTGGTGACGGCTCCCTCCTGGCATTCAGTATAGTGTAGATCTACCGTGTAATTAATTTTCTGCTTCTTTGAGGAGCTGTGAAACCAAGGGACATAAACAATTGCTCTTTTCTCCCTGTTTCTGCCTGTAGCTTGAATGTGAGGCAACTGTGAAAAGTGCAGGGCAGAGCCACCTGGGTAAATACAGCCCTGGCTTTCTGGTGAGAGGACTGAAACCAGGATGTGTCAAGTAACTAGAATGTGCCTGGACAGATACTGTAGAAAGCAAACCCATAAAGTTGTTCATGAGCTTGTGGACGCACCTGCCAGCTGTGAATAAGTGGGTCTAATCCCAAACAACTTACCTAAAAAGAGCCTGAGGACTGAACTAAACAATGGTCCACTTTCCAGTCCTCACTGACCACTGGTTGCACACACTCCAGAGATCTCTCATCCGCAGTGTCAAGGCTTTCAAATAGAGTTATCTGTGAAACAACAACACATGGAAGTCTGGTTGGTACTTGGAGCTTAAATACAAGGCAATTGTGTGCCTGCAAAAACAAAAAGAGCAATATTATCCTTAAGATTTCAACAAGACACAGTGTCTCATCACATAATCCAAAGAAGTCCAGGTTACAAGCCCCAAAATATTCAGCATTATGAAAAACCAGGGAGATCTTAATTCACATGGCAAAGAGAATCCTTGCATAACAATATTGAGAGGACACATATGTCAAAATCATCTGACACATACATTAAAGCAGTTATTATAACAATGCTCCTAGAATTACGGGATAGCATTCATGAAGTGAATGGAAAGTTGGAAAGTCTCACCAAATATTTGGAATATGTAAACACCAATTTAAACTTAAGAATTAAAAAAAGTATTAACCAAAACTATTAGGGGAAATAAAAAGCTTAATTGGATGATCTCAATAGCAGTATGCAGAAGACTAAGGAAAAAGTCAATGAACTTGAAAACGGAACAAGAATACCTACAGAATCTGACCTATAGAAAGAAAGGAGGATTTTATTGTCCCTGAACAGAGGCTCAGGGACAAATAAAAAATAACAAATCTAACATTCACATTATTGTAATCTGGAAACATTCACATTATTGTAAGAGGACAAAGAGGTCTTTGTGGGATAAAACTGTGAAGAATTAATGGCTGAAAATGTATCAAATTTCTCAAAAGATATAAACCAGATTTTTAAAGTTCAGTAAATGTCAAGCAGGATAAACCAAAAGAAACCCATTGCAAGACATATCATAATCAAACTGCGGAAAATTAAGAAAACACAAAACAATTTTGAAAGCAGCCAAAGGGAAATGAAAGATAAAATACCAAATGAATGATTGTAGATTTCTCATCGGGAACCCAGGAGCCAGAAAAAAATGTCATAACATTCAGTAAATACCAAAGGAAAAATACATTATCAACCCAGAATGGTATGTGGAGCAAAAGTATCTTCCAGACATAAAGGCAAATAAATGCATTCTCATTGGAAGGTAAATAAATACATTCTCAGTCCTAGCAAAACTGCTGGAAAAGAATTAGCAAAGGTTTGAGATAAGAAAAGTGATACCAGAAGGAAACTTAGAACATCATCAATGAAGGAACAAAAGCAGAAATAGAAAATGTCTGGGTAGACATAACAGACTATTATTCTTCTCTTGAGTTCCTTAAGGTATGTTTGATGGTTGAAAGCAAAAATTGTAACTTTATCTGATGCAGTTGTCATTGTATCTAGATGTACTACATACATAAGATAAAAGGGTAAATGTAATGGGACTAACTCTTGATGAAGTTTCTATATTCAACTTGAATGGTAAAATATTGATTCTTAGTATACTGTGAAAAGTTATATATGTATATGGTAATCCCTAGACCACTTAACAACCAGATTGAAATAAACCAAAACAAGATAGACAGAGGAACATAGAAGAATTAAAACAAAGGGAAAAAAGGTTAATAAATTATTAAATAGTAGATCTATCTAAAAACTTATCTATAATAACATTATATGTAAATTATCTAAATGCATTAAGTAAAAACTAGAGATCATCAGAATGTGTTAAAAATAAATATGCTGACTAAAGAAAGCCACCTGCAATACACTTATAAATAAGAATAAAAGTTATAGAGCAGATTGAAAGAAAAGAGTGGGAAAAGATACCTCATGCAAGCATTAATCAAAGACAGCTGTGGTGTATATATATAAAATCAGACAAAGTAGATTTGAAAGCAGAGAAACTTTTCAGGAATAATGAGGCCTCCTAAATAATTATGATTGTCAATTTTTCAGGAGAATATTGTCCCAAATGTATATGAGGACACAGAGCTTCAAAACTCATAAACAAAATTGGATACGCCAAGTAAAAATAGAAAAATCCAGTTATAGTTGCAGTCATTAACACTCCTCTCTGAGTAATTGGAAGATTTAGTGGAACACAAATCAACAGACATACTGGAGAATTGAACCATGCCATCCAGTAATGGACCTATCAATTTCATAATGCAAAATAAAAATTCAGGTAGAAAGCAAAGACAAAAATTAAAAGAAAAGCAAGATCATGTTATAATGAGAAAATTAAGAGTAGTCCAGTGTATAGAAGGGTGCTATTATTGAAAGAGTTTGAAATAGTGACTTAGTTATTTTGAAACATTTTTGAAGACGTTATTTAGCTGGAAATGACAGAAAGACTGAAAATGGTGAATGTGGAGGTGGATCTTCCCTTGTCCATATTTATCTTGTCTTCGTTTGAGGTCTGGGGTGTCTATACTTCCTCTGAATTACCTGATCTTACTACAGTGTCTGGCACAGAGCATCTCCCCAGTGAATATGTACTAAATGAGTAGAAAGTAATTGATAGATTCAAAAGAGTTGTGCAAGAATAATGTTCATTATTTGACTAATCACTGAATGTGGTGTTTCAAGGAAGACAATGAATCAAAGTTGACTTGAAAGGTAAGCCCAGGGCCAGACGTGGTGGCTCATTTCTGTAATCCCAGCACTTTGGGAGGCCGAGATCAGTGGATCCCTTGACACCAGGAGTTTGAGACCAGCCTAGGCAACACAGTGAAAACCTGTCTCTACAACAAATACAAAAATTAGCCGGGTGTGGTGGTATGCATCTGTAGTTCCAGCTACTCAGGAGGCTGAGGTGGGAGGATCGCTTGAACTCAGGAGGTGGAGGTTGCAGTGAACAGAGAACGCACCGGTACCTGGACAACAAAGTGAGACCCTGTCATAAAATAAAATAGTTAAACCCAGGCCAGGAGGGGTGGCTCATGCCTGTAATCCCAGCACTTTGGAAGGCCAAGGTAGGCTGATCACGTGACGTCAGGAGGTTGAGACCAGCCTGGCCAACATGGTGAAACCCCGTCTCTACTAAAAATACAAAAATTAACCAAGCGTGGTGGCAGGCACCTGTAGTCCCAGCTACTCTGGAGGCTGAGACAGGAGAATTACTAGAACCCGGGAGGCAGAGGTTGCAGTGAGCCAAGATCTTACCATTGCACTGCAGCCTGGGCGACAGAGTGACACTCTGTCGAAAAAAAAAAAAAAAAAAAAGTTAAGCCCAAAAAGTAAGTAAGGAAGAGGTTTGGAATTAGATATTTGTTGTATGAATGAGTGAGCTAAAGTGCAAAAGAACGGGCAGAATAACTGAGCTGGTACAGAGGGAAAAAATCACATTTAAAATCTAAAAATATCTGCTTCTTAGTTCAGGCTTTCCCACTTAGCAGCTTTGGCACCTTAGGAACACTTAACTTATCTGAGCCTCTATTACTTCTAAAAAGTGCATAAAGTGCAGACTAAGACAGTTTTTTTGGCAAAATTCAGTCAGACTACATCAAGTAAACTCCCTAAGTCTCCTAGTATAATTCATGGCACAAAAAATTGGGGAAAAAACAGGGAGGATATGATTATAAGTTCAGTTTATGTTTTTTGTTGAGTGAATGTCTCCAGTCATAGAGATGCAAGTGTAGATACACAGTAAGAGTAGTATGAATGGGAGACACCTTGGAAGGCTATTTCTTCCTTCCTTCATTCAGTTGGTCACTCAGTGAACTATCATGAATTGAGCACCGCCTCTGTTTCTTATCAACAAAGGAGACTGCGGAAAAGAAGAGTGACTAAGATCTCTGAAGAAGGGAAAAGCTAGATGACTGGGCCACAAGAGGAAAAAAAGCAGCAAGACAGTTACAATTGTTTCTGGTCCCACTTTTATAAACACACACACACACACACACACACACACACACACACACAAAATCATTTAATCATTTTTAAGTATTTAATCATTTTTTAAAAATCTGTGATGCTTTACCTGGGCATGTCTAGGCAGGTCCTCCTTTGCTAGGACGTGCCCTTTTCTGTCCCGGAATACTCTAAACTTGGCATTTTGGCAGCGTGAAGTTTTCCCGTTGTGACTTTCTCCTTGTTCCCTTTTCTCCTCCTTCTTTGCAGACAATGAGTAGCCACTGCTGTTTGCCCTGGCCCATCAATGAGAAGATCTGCTCTTAGAGCCCTGCTTTCCTGCTGAAGGCCCTGAAATCACCTGTGTTCCAGGCCACCTGCTAACAATAAATAATGCTGCCCTGATGTGGGGAATTAGCTCAAGTGGTAGAGCGCTTGCTTAGCACGCAAGAGGTAGTGGGATCGATGCCCACATTCTCCAAGCTTTATTATTTAGACATCGTGTCTCCAAACACTCAGGTCTCCAAACCCAAGTTAGTGTCTGAGAACAGGATGCTGCTTTGGTTCAAGACGTAGGAGCAGCAATAATAGAGGGCTGGTGATGGCTCCCTCTTGGCATTCAGTATAGTGTAGATCTACCATGTAATTAATTCTCTGTTTCTTTGAGGAGCTGTGAAACCAAGGGACATATACAACTGCTCTTTTCTCCCTGTTTCTACCTGCAGCTTTGTCCTAAATGTGAGACAATTATGAAAAGTGCAGCGCAGAGCCACTTGGGTAAATACAGCCCCGGCTTTCTGCTCAGGGGACAGAGTTTGAGGCACTGCAGAGGAACCGGCCAAAGTATGAGACCCATATATTGAGAGTAACAGAGTGTAAAGTTCAAAAAAATCAAAATATTTAAAGATTTATCATGGGTCTTGATGACATGATGGAATCTCTCTACTCTCTGGACTTATTATGTGTGGTAATAAATTTACTTTTTAAAAGCCAGTTGAGTGTTTTTAATGTTGTGGAGCTATTGCTAAGAGTTTCCTGAGTTTTTTCCAGTAATGTAGAGATCTTTGTGCTAAATATTTCATAAAGAAGTTTGGTGGGTTATGTGTTCTAAATCCTAATCACTGGCATTAACTCAAACCAGCCATATAAAAGGTATGAAAAATGTCTGTCTGGCGTGCACTTGGTTCACTGAGCTTTTGCTTTCCTGTCAGCAAATTAGACATTCTCCTCACTTAGGAGGCCAACTTCTCAGCCACTGGCTCCAGCCTAGCCCTATGGTCTGTCAGTGGCTTTAGATTTAATTGACACATGCCCAGCCCCAACTCTCTCCTGCCTTAAGGATATAAGAGCCATTGTGAGCCGCAAAGTTATTATATCCGAGAACCCAGAAAACCACTTTTGTATATAGCAGTCCGCTGTTTTCTCATTTAAACATATGGGTTGGAATAGCATAGGATCATACACCTGTGAGCCTACCTGTTTTACAAGTTAAAACTTTTTCCTGATTCTTGCAAGCATTTTTTCTCACTCAACCCTACATGCATGTGTGCAGAATTTTAAGGTAAAATTAGTTTTTGTAGACACTGAATGTGCTGCCCTCAAGGAATATTACAATGGAGTAGGGAAGACAGTTGAGCAAACAGCTGTTTACAATTCTGATAAAAGTCACAATTGAGATGAATACTCTGTACACTAAAAGTACAGAAAGGAACACTACTCTTGAGAATGAGTAGCCTGATAGGATTTGCCAGTGTTTCTGTTATTTCATTTGTTCATACCGGTCCCTGACACCTGGTTTCCTTTTCAAGCAACAAAATCCTAAAATCTCCATCATCTGCTGCTTTCACGTTCCTCACCACTGAGGTCAAGGACCCGAGGCTGGCAGGAAATTGAACTAATGACACTTCAAGAAGACCATGAATCTTTTCATTTTTTTCAGCTGGAAAGCTGAGAGCAGACAAATGGCAGGGAGGCCAAGTGCTATCAACCACATTTAGAAATTTTATTTAATCTGCACATCTTTATTTGGTAGAAAGTTTTACAAATAAAATTTAACACAAAACAATTTTTTTGAAAAACCATGTTGACTTAAGCAGAGCCAATGATGCAAAGCATAATGTATCAGAAGATTCCTGATTCAACTGCTAGCTTGAAGTCGCCCCCTCCTTGTGTTCTGGAAAGATGGGGTGTTGTTTATCATCCACATATCAAAAAGTAAACAGAAAGCAGTATTTCCGAAACCTTTTCTTTATAAGGAGATCTTCATAAAACTTGCATTATTACCCTTGTTGGATCATAACACACCTGAGAAAGATTGGGTGGAGGAAGGTGAAGAAGGCTGGAAAAGATTTACAAGGGAATAAATCAAGAATCTGGTACAAATTGACTAATGGTATCTTCTGCATCAGCCCATTTCGAGTGAAAAGTCCCCCGTTTTAGAACTTTTGGCTCTTTGTTTTAATGCTCCCTCCTGAGAATTAACAAAAATTTTGATTACTCTGGGCACGCTACCTGATTAGCCCTGCTCCGCAAGGAGCAGTTATATATATATAATCACACACTCACACACACACATTTTTCAGGGAATCCTGCCTAATTTCTTCCGAAGTTCAGCTGTCTCAGTTCACACCAAACAAGTTACACGATTTCATAACGGATAGAGGACAGAAGCTTAAGGAGGGAGGGCCGAATGCACCGGGAACCCTAGTCAAGTGTAGGAAATCATCACGAGCGAGGCGAAGCAGGTCGTGGGAGACGAGACCTTCACTCAGGAACGGGGACGATGTGAATCGTGTTTCTATCGAGTGGCTGGGGGACCGGGTTGGGATCAGCCAGGAGGAGGTAGCCGCACAAGGCTTAGCTGGGTCTCCCGCGCAGACATCTCCTGGACAGCGACCCAGCGCCGCGCAGGCGCTCACGGCCCGGCTCCAGGGCTGCGGGTGGCGAGTCCCTGCCTGCCCGGAGCTCGCCCTCGGGGAAGGACGGACGCCTCGCGACGGCCGCGGACGCACCAGCGCAAGTGGTTCCTTGGAATCTCCCCATGTAATTCCACATGAGATTAAATTTTTAAAGCGCCTCATACTCGTGACCCATGGGTCAATGCCATCTAGCAACCATTCAGTGGCTGAATCCTCAGACAGGCACTCAGCATCCCCAGAGCCTAGGGGCATGCCATATGCCCCCACATAAAGATTTGTTGAATGAATGAAGGTGTCTAACTCCATTGTCTTGCCCTATTAAAGATGTATACTTTCTCTGCCTAGACCATTATGGTAATACCCTGACCTTCCTCATGATCTTTGCACTCAATTCTCAACTCTGTGCCCTATTGGAATGGTACTGAAATGCAAATTCAGTTACAGTCTCTCCTAAATTCATTTACCAGCAAACTTTGCTTACAGTGCTTAAACATTTTATCCTGACATTCAAAGCCCTTCCTAAAAAGCTGGCCTCTCTCGCAGCTTTACTCCTGGAATTCAATCCTATGCACACTCTCAGAAAACAAAATCATTGTTAATTCACCTTCAAAACCTGTTGTTTTATTCTTCTGAGACTTTGCAAATACCTTTGAGCAAGGCATCTTGATAGCTCCTCATTTTTAAATGTAACTGTGGATACCACCTTGAGTGGAGATGGAAAGAAAAGGGAAGCTGAAGGATAATGGATTGTAAAAATTCATGCTTTCTCATTCTTGTCTGGTTTGATAATCAGTGCCTAGAAAGGAGTCAAAGAAGGTTTTCTTTATATATGTTCTAAATAACACAAAACCTAGCTCCGCATTAAAGCCTTAGAATTAGTTTCTGGGATTAATTAAAAAAGCAGTCGACTTCAGACTGTCATATTCAGATTCCCACAGATGTTGCAGCCACAAGGCAGAATACTAACCACTATAGGATCATGACAGGCCACTGGGAAAAGCTGATGACTTCTACTTATTACAAATTTGTCATGCCAATTGCCTTTTCATCAAACCAGTAAGAGCTCAAAAGGGCATACTTTATGATTACAAAGTGGAAATAACTTTGCAAAATCTTCATGGGTAGACGAATCTTGCTTATTTTCACCTGTGGCTAATTATCTTGCTCATTCCAGAAAACCAGAAAGGCTCACAGCTTGCCATCTTATCTTGGTTTAAGAATTCTTTTTGAACTTACCCTGTGAAAGAAAACACACAGAAGAAAGCTTTCCCTCTGCATGTCACTGATTTCTGAACAGGAAAATACAAGAAAAGTATTATCATAACTGTAGACACTGGGTATAAACTGGGGGATCTAGATTGTCAGCTTTTCAAGAAGCTTATATTCTAGGGGAGAGATAGAAAATAAAACAATAATTTAATATGTTTTCCAATTTATTAAAAATTTTATTTAAAAGATGGAGAGAGAGACAGGACATTGATTCAGCTGGAGAGGTCAAAGAAGGGCTCTCTGAGACAGTGACATTTGAGTTGTGGCCTCAGTGTTGAAAATGAGTCCACTCTTCTGGGTCTGGAGCAAAAGTGGCGGAGTTCAGAGGCTGACAGCTGGGGTCTGGGCCTCTGTGGGCAGCCAGAAGATGAGCCAATAGAGTACCCCACTTACCAGACTGACGGCAGAGCCAAATATGAAAATGTTCTTTTTTCTCAAGCCTCGAGACTGCACACCAAAGTCCCAAGCAATCAAGGAAACTCCATTTCCAGTTCCTTGGTGTCTCTAAGGCATAGGCTCAAAGTGAAGCAGACTTTTCCCTGAGGTGAAATGCAGAGACAGTCCCACTGCTCAGCTCAGTGTGGATCATGACCTTCCTGCCCTTCCCTTCTAGCTCACCCTCACCAGATTCTGAGGACTGATGAGGAAGGAATTGCTTTACAGCATTTTCTGCTGAGCATTTATTGCATGATTAGGTCAATCTCCAGCTCACTGTGCACTTACAGAAAAAAAATCTACCAGGTTTCATGTGTGACCTTGAAAAATGTCCTCATTTCTTCTGTTTGTAATTTAGTAGGTTATCCAGAGGAATTTTCCCTGGATGTTATCACATTACACAGTAGACAGAGTACTGCAAAGGTGAGGCCCAAGGCAGATGGAAATAACCACAGTTAACTGCCTGCTGCCACATACACCGTATTCCTGATCTGCCTGTGAGACTTTTTTCTAAGGATTTAGTTTATGCCAAATGTTTCATTCCCTGACTCTGGCTTTCTCTCTGTCTGTCATCTCCAGTGTCAGATACCAGCCTTTCTTATTTTTGAGGCTAAATCTCCACATAAATCTCAGTCTCAATTAGCAAAAAGCTCTTCCCATCACCACTAAAATAACCTTATTTTGGGCCCAGAGTATGGGGAATGGATGTCTGCTCCAACCCTCTGTAATGCAGCCTGCGTTCTCTTGGTTTTCTTTACCTTTTACAGTCCTTTACTTGGAGTGTTAGTGAAATAATTGCCAAGCCCAACCTGTACATGCCCAATGAAGAAAGAACCAAAAACCCCAACATCCATTACTATCTACATTTGAACCTCTGAATAAGTGGAATAGTTCTTCTATTTATCAGACATTAATTCAGAATCTCTTTTGTGTCTGCCACCCAGGTTCAAAACTCCCAATTGCCCTTGACTTCTCCTCCCTCAAATCTTTATACTTAGGGTTTTTATAGATACTGTAGAGCCTTCTTATACAACCTCTCCAGAATATTCTTTTCTCATTTGTCTGTTCTTTCATCCATTCTACAACATTTATTTAGAGTGTATTTTGAATTAGGCGCTGATGATGAAGAAAGACTCATGCTGTTGACCTCAGGACCTGACAGAATAAATGAGGATGAACCTGGATCCTTAATTTTTTTAATAATTTATTTCGCTTTCTCTCCAATTCCAACCTCTTTAAACTTCACAACTAAAATCCTCTTCCTAAAATGTTGCTTCGATTACATAAGCCACCCGCCTGGAGTTAATCCTCTCCTCAATATATCTGCAAATGTCTAGGCTTTCCCAACACTATTTCCATCAATACGCATTTTACAAACATACACACACACACCCACCAATTAAATAGGTATGTCCCACAATACACACTGAAAGATTTCTATACCATCACTGTTCTTTCTGTCCTGTGTGCCATCTTCATCTTCATTTCTCAGCTATATCTATTTTTATTTCTTCTCTTTAATATGGCCTTGCCCCTTGCCACCTTTCTGTAATACATTTCTGGTTTTTTGCTATTCACTTATATGGTATGGTTATGTGACTACATATGAAATACATAAACAGGGATTGAAATTTAAGTTGTTATAAGTTTAAAATAGCCGGTTATAATTATATAATTATAAAATGTTTTAGGTAAACCTCACGATAACCACGAGACAAAAACCTATAGTAAATCCACAAAAGATAAAGAGAAACAAATAACAGCATACTACCACAGAAAATAATTGAATCACCAATCAAAACAGCAAGAGAGGAAGAAAGGAACAAAAAACCCTAAAAAACAACCAGAAAATACTTAACAAAATGTCAATACTATGTCCTTAACTGCCAATAATTGCCGTCATGTAAATGGATTAAATTCTTCAATACAAAGATATAGAATGGCTAACTGGATTATTAAAAATATATCCCAAAAAAGACCCAACTGTATGCTGCCTACAAGAAATTCACCTCACCTTTAAGGACACACAGATTGAAAGTGAAGAGATGGGAAAAGACATTCTGTGCAAATGGAAATGAAAAGAGAGCAGATATACTTATATCAGATAAAGTAGACTTAAAGTCAAAAATTGTGAAAAGAGAGAAAGGGGTCTTTATATTATGATAAAAAGGTCAATTCATCAACAGGATATAACAATTATCAATTTATATGCACCCAACATTAGAGCACCTAAATATAGAAAGCAAATATTCATAGATCTAAAGAAAGAGATAGACTGCAATAGAATAATATGAGGGGACTTCAGTCCCCCACTTTCAACTATGAACAGATCATCCAGAGAGAAAATCAATAGAAAATATTGGACTTGATATATACGTTAGACTAAATGGACCTAACAGACATATACAGAATATTCCACCCAACAACAGTAGAATGTCACTTCTATTTAACATGGTGCTGGAAGTCCTAGCCAGAATACACATTCTGGTCAGGTGCACATGAAACACTCTCCAGGACAGGCCATAGATAAGGCCACAACATGAGTCTTAACAAATTTGAGAAGACTGAAATCATATCAAGTATCCTTTCTGGCCACAATGGCATGAAACAAGAAATCAACAACAGGAGGAATTTTTGAAAATTCACAACTATGTGGAAATTAAACAACATGCTCCTGAACAACCAATGGGTCAAAGAAGAAATCATAAGGGAAATTGAAAAATTACTTTGGGACAAATGAAAATGGAAATACAATATACCAAAACTTACAGGATACAAGAGCAGTTCTAAGAGAGTTTTCATCAAAAAAGATGAAAGATCACAAATAGACTACCTAGCATCCATTACACCTCAAGGACTGGAAAAACAATCAACTAAGCTAGTTACAAAGTTAGTAGGAAGACGGAAATGATAAAGATCAGAAGAAGTAAACAGAAGATAGAAAAAATAAAGAGACCAACCAAACTAAGAATTTTTTTTAAAGGTAAATAAAATTTACAAACCTTTAGCTAGACTGATTAAGAAAAAAAATGCAAAGACTCAAATAAAATCAGAAATGTAATCAGAAATGAATTGAAGAGGTAACGACTGTTACCACAGAAATACAAAGGATTATTTAAAAACTACTATGAACAATTATATGCCAACAAATTGGATAACCTAAAAACTGGATAAATTCCTAGACACATGCAACTTGCAAGACAGAATCAGAAACTCTGAACAGAGCAAAAACAAGTAAGGAGATTAAATCAGTGATAAATCTACCATCAGAGAAAAGCCTAGGACCTGACAACTTCACTGCTGAATTTGATGAAACATTTAAAGAGGAAATACCAGTTCTTCTCGATCTCTTTCAAAAAACTGAAGTAGAGGAAATACTCCCAAACACATTTCACAAGGCCAGCATTACCGTGAACCCATTGCCTGAGGAGAGCACTACAAAGAAAAAAAAATTACAAACCAATATCCCTGATGAACATGTATGCAAATATACTCAACAAAATACTAGCGAATTGAATTCAACAGCACATTTAAACAATTATTTACCATGATCAAGCAGGATTTATCACAGGGATACAAAGATGGTTCAACTTATACAAATCTGTAAATGTGTGATCCACCGTATTAACAGAATGAAAGACAAAAACCATCTCATCATCTCAATAGATGCAGAGAAAGCATTTGACAAAATTTAACATTCCTTCATGATTAAAAACTCTCAAAAATTAGGTATAGAAGGAATGTACCTTAACACAATAGAGGCCTTTATAGGACAAACCCACATCTAACATCATACTCAGTGGGGAAAAAAATTGAAAGCTTTCCTTTTAAGATCAGGAATAAGACAAGGATATCCACTCTTGCCACTTCTATTTAACATAGTACTGGAAGTCCTAGCCAGAGCAATTAGGCAAGAGAAAGAAATAAAAGACATCCAAATTAGAAAGGAAGAAGTTAAATTGTCCCTGTTTGTAGATGACATAATCCTATATATAGAAAACCCTAAAAAACTCACCAAAAATCAAAACTGTTAGAAATAAAAAACAATTTCAGTACAGTTGCAGAATACAAAACAACATACAAAAATCAACATACAAAAGCTAGCATTTCTATACACTAATGGCAACCTAACCAAAATAAAAAATTTTAAAGATCCCATTTACAGTAGCTACAAAAAATACTTAGAAATAAATTTAACCAAGGAGGTGAAAGGTCTGTATACTGAAAACTATTAAACACTGATGAAAGAAATTGAGGAAGACACAAATGGAAAGATATCCTGTGTTTATAGATTGGAAGAATTAATATTATTAAAACATCCATACCCCCCCAAAGTGATCTACAGATTCAGCGCAATCTCTATCAAAATCCCAATGACATTTTTCACAGAAATAGAAAAAAAAAACCCTTAAAATTCATATGGAAGCACAAAAGGCCCCAAATAGCCAAAGCAATCTTGAGCAAAAACAAAACTGGAGGCATCATACTACCTGACTTTAAAAATATACTACAAATATATAGCAATCAAAACAGCATAGTACTGGTGGAAAAACAGACATATAAACCAGTGGAACAGAATAGAGAGGGCAGAAATAAATCCACACATTTATAGTCAATTAATTTTTGACAGATGTGCCTAGACACATAATGAGGAAAGGATAGTCTCTTCAATAAATGGTGTTGGGACAACTGGATATCTACATGCAGAAAAATGATAGGAGGCCCTTATCTCATACCACATACAAAAATCAACTAAAAATTGATTGAAGACAAACATAAGATGTGAGACTCTAAAACTTCTAGAAGAAAACATATGGGGAATGCTCCATAACATTGGTCTGTGCAATGATTTTTTGGATATGAACCCCCCCAAAAGCAAAAAGACAAAAATAGATAAATAAGATTACATGAAACTAAAGAACTTCTGCACAGCCCCCCCCAAAAAAAATCAACAGTGAAGAGACAACCGATAGATTGGGAGAAAATATTTGCAAACCATACTTCTGTAAGTGGTTGATATAAAAAATACATCAGGAACTCAACTCAATAGCAAGAAAACAAATAACCCAATTAAAACATGGAGAAAGGACCTTAATAGACATTTCTCAAAGGAAGACACATTGCCAACAGGCATATGAAAACTTGCTTAATGTCATTTATCATCAGGCACATGCAAATCAAAACCACACCTGTTAAAATGGCTGCTATCAAAAAGGCAAAAGATAACAGGTGTTGGCAAGAATGTGGAGAAAAGAGAATCCTTGTACGTTGTTGGTAGGAATGTAAATTAGTGCAGCTGTTTTGTACAGCAGTTCCTCAAAAAACTAAAAAGAGCACTATCATATGATCCAGCAATCCCACTTCTGGGTATATGTTCAAAAATCGGGCTATTGAAGAGATACCTGCACTCTCATGTTCATTGCAGAATTACTACTAAAGTAGCTGAATCAACCTAAGCGTCTATCAGCAGATGAATGGATAAAGAAAATATTACAACTGCACAATGAAATACTATTCAGTCTTTTAAAAAACAGAAATCCTGTCATTTTCGATGTCGATGAACCTGGAGGGCATTGTGTTAAGTGAAATAAGCCAGGCGCAGAAAGACAAATACTGCACGATCTCACTTAAATGTGAACTCTAAAAACGTCAAACTCATCAAAGCAGAGAGTAGAATGGTAGTTACCAGGGGCTAGGGGAGGAGATGGGAGGTAGGAATGGAATTAGAGAGATGTTTGTCAAAGGACACAAAATTTCAGTTAAACAGGAGGAATAAGGTCAGATCTACTGTGCCGTATGGTGACTACAGTTAATAATAAGTGTATTCTGTACTTTATAGTTGCTAAAAGAGTAGACTTAAGTGTTCCCATCACACACACACACTAAGTAATAGATACGTTAATTAGCTCGAGTTAACCATTCCACAATGTATGCATATATGAAAACATCATGTTGTACATCATAAATATATACATTTTGTACTTGTCAACTAAAAAAATTGTAAAAACCAGTATTTAATGCTCATCTCAAAATATAAAAAGCCTGTGATGCAAAGGGTTTCTATGGTGTAGTCGTTACCACGCTGGCCTAACACATGGAAGGTCCTCTATTTGAAACTCAACGGAAACAACAGGTTTCTCTGGTCTCCCAGAATCTGACCGGGAGTGGCCGCTTCTTCCCGGGAGTCCAGAGCTGCAAGGAACAAGTGATAATCCCGCCTCTTTTAAAAGAAAGATCGTCATCCTGGGATAGCTGTGCCAAATTAGCAGGCCGCTCTGGGCGGGCGCTCCCCAGCTGGGACGTGCTCGCTTCTCTCCCTGAAAATCTGGAACGTGAAATCTTACAGCACCAGACTTTTCCAGTGTCCACTTTCTCCTGGTTACGTTTTCCCCTCTCCCTCGCAGAGGAATAGCCATCATGCCCTTGCCCTTGGCCATTTTTGAGTAGACTCGCCTTAGGTCGAGTCCTGGTTCCCCACTAATAATCGAGACATTTCCTTTGTTCCGAGACGCAAGAAATGGTGGGTAGTCGCGCACATCTACTCCTGAATAAAGGAAAGGGCAGAAAGTTTTGCGGTAGGTGACGAGTGAGCGCAAGTGGTAGAGTACTCGCTTAGCATGTGAGAGGTAGTGGGATCGATGTTGTCACTTGGGGCCGCATGTCCATACAGTACAACGTGGAGAACGGCTTCATTAGTCACCTGTCGAAGAAAACGAGGAAGTACCAGCCATCTTGAATGCTTCACTGGTAAAAGACCTATGGGCATAAAGAAACAGTGCTAATAATAGCCCCTAAAACGTTCAGTGGACAGTACCCATTTTCTAAGTTGTTTTCTCTTTATTCAGAGGAAAGAGGAGATCCCAAGAGGGTGGGATATACCCAATTGTTCCTTTTCTCTCCTTCCTGCAGCTTGACCCAAAATGCCAAAATGCAGCACAGCTCTGGAAAATGCAGGGCAGAGCAGGATGAGTAAAACCCCAGCTTTCTTTCTGGTCAGGGCGCTGTAAAGTGGAGTTCCGAGTCACCGGGAAGTCCTGCTGAGAGTGTGGAAAGCAAACCCACAAGTGGTTTGTCAACTCACCGAGTGCACCCCTGAGTTGCGAATATGTAGCTGTAAAGAGCAAAACCAAATACAGAAAGCTTATTTTTTCCCAATTTAAAAACATGTTTTGTGATTCTACTTTAGACATCTTGAATAGGCAAATTCATGTAGACAGAAAGAATAGAGGTTGTTGGGGAGAGGGAAATGTGGAGTTATTGTTTAATGGGTACAGAGTTGCTGTTTGGGATGCTGAGAAACTTCTGGAAATGGGTAGTGGTGATAGTTGCTCACATTGTAAATGTACGTAATGCCACTAAATTGAACACTTAGAATTTTAAATGTAAAATGGGTTAAGTATATTTTACCACAATAAGAAAACACAAACTCTTGTTCATTCTGTAATTTAGCACATAGTCTCATCATCTGTTTTTCTCCACACCAGCTCATCTGTTCATCCTTCTATTCATTTGACAAATACTTAGAAATGTCTAGATTTATTGTTCCATTCATCAGACATTAATTCAGGATCTCTTGTGTGCCACAGTGTCAAGACTTCTCCCTCAAATGTTTACACCAATGTCTTGACAAATACCATAGATCTTTCCTGCACAGCCTCTCCAGAATGTTTTTCTTACCTTTCACTCATGTTTCTCTTGCCCATTCTACCACGTTTATGGAGGACGTAGTCTGCACCACAAAGTATAATGGGCACTGGAGCTACGGAAAGACTCATGCTGTTCACTTCAGAAGCTGACGGAATAAATGTGAATAAACCTCAATTCTTTAATCTATTTATAACTTCTTTCCATTTCTCTTCAATTACAGTCTTCCTGTTCCCAAGCTCTTTGACATCCAACACTAAACACCTTTTTCTTAAATGTTAATTTGGTTATGTAAGCTGTCTGCAATTTTTTCAAGGGTTCTTAAGTCTCAATGTTTTCCCAATCATTATCTCCATGTGCACAGGCATTTCAATCACTACTTCCTTTCATTTTATAAACAGGCACACACACAAGCAGGCACATATGCACTTGTGCACTACACATCCCAAGTGAACAGGCATGTTTCCTCACACAGGAATTCCTACATCTATGCCTGTTCCTTCAAACTCATGTGCATTCTTCCTCATCTGCATCCTTCAAGGTTCATATTTATCCCTTTACTACAAACTGATCTTTTAATCCCCATGGTTCTTGTCTGTAATACTTTTGTGATTTTTGCTGTTTTCTTATGTGATGTGAATATGTGAGTTCTATATGATGTAACTTAAAAAGACTTGAATATAAGTATGTGTATATATATATATATATAAATCTAACATAAATATATCCTATATATCTTAGAAATCTAAGATATATACATACCTTGAATATCTTAGATATATCTATCTTAGATTTAGGAAGTCTGAGGGTTTCCTCAGTGTAGTGTAGAGGTTATCTCACTCACTTGCCTAACACGAGATGAGGCCCTCAGATAGAAAGACAGATGTTATATAATTATAAAGCGTCTATTCACCGAAGGGACACAACTGTCCTAAATATGTCTGTTTCTGGCCACAGAGCTTCAAAACTTATGAACAAAATGGATAAACCAGAAAGAAAATAGAAAAATCCAATTACAGTTGCAGACGTTAACACTCCTCTCTCAGTAATTGATAGATTCAGGAGAAAACAAATCAGCAAACATTTTAGAGAACAGAACAACACCATCCACCAATGGATCTAATAGACTTTATAAAGCAAAATCACAATTTATGTAGAAAGGCGAGCCAAAAAAATCAAAGAAAAGCAAGATCATATTATAAGTAGGAAATCACGAATGGTCAGAGTGCAGAAAAGTGACATTATTGAAACTGATATTTCTGAAACAGTTACTTAAATAGCAGGAAGACCGATAACGGCGAATCTGTAAGTGAATCTTTCCTTGTCCATATGTATCCTGCTTTTTCTTGAGGTCTGGGCTGGCCAAATGTCTCCTGAAATTCCTGGGCCTACTACAGTGTCTGGCACAGAGCATCTCTCCAGCAAATATGTACTGAATGAGTAGAAAGGAACTGACGGATTCAGAAGAGACCTGCAAGAATAATGTTCAGTATTTGGCAAATCACTGAATGTGGTGTTTGAAGGAGGACAATGAGTCAAAGTTGACTTGGAAATCTAGGCCCAGGAGGAGGTTGAGAATTAGATATGTGGTATATGAATGAATGGACTACTGTGGAGAAAAACAGGCAGAGAGATAATGAGCAGGAGCAGAGAAAAGACTCACCTTTTGGAATCTAAAATAAATGTGCTTGTCAGTTCAGGCTTTGCCACCTAGCATCTCTGGCACCTTAGAAACAATAATTATCTGAGCCTCCAGTACATCTAGAAAGTGCACATTAGGATACATCGTTTTGTTAGCGAAATTCAACTGGACTACGTAAACGCAAGAAATCTCGTAGTATACTTAATAGCACACAAGAAAAAACAAAGGGGTAAAAAACAAAGAGGGTGCCATTATAAGTATTTTGTGTTTTTTTTTGTAGCGGCAATGTCTTCAGTCATGTAGATGCAAGTGGAGATATGAAGGAAGACAGTAGTATGATCAAGAGACAGGTTTGATGGCTATTTCTTCATTCATTTATCCAGGTGGTCAGTGAACTATCATGAACTGAGAACCTCCTGTCTCTTTTCAACAGAGGAGACTATGGAAAGTGTAAGAGTGACTAAGGTTTCTGAGGGAAGGAAAAGGGAAAAAGAGCAGCAAAAGACAGGTACAATTGATCCTGGTAACGCAGAACCCAGACGGTCCTATGAAATACTGGAAAGGCGTAGACTCCTCTGGTCGTGGGTATGGAATCTTCCTAGTGCAGCGTTGATTGATACAGAGTAATTTTCAAGTAGGATTGATTGTAGTTTTTGAAAGCTGAAACCGTAACGTAGGTGGGAAATACACTTCGACAAAATGGATGTTGCCCGAGCTCAACAGCAAGCCCTCTTAGCGCAGCTGGCAGCGCGTCAGTCTCATAATCTGAAGGTCCTGAGTTCAAGCCTCAGAGAGGGCATCACTTCTGCCAAAGAAGTTGGATACACTAAATATCGGAACGCAACGCAAATGCTATAGCAGATAAGGATTTGAAGACTGACCCAATATTTGTAGAAAATGGAAATATAATTTAGGTTTTCTTGTTTTTTCGACTTTCCAGTGGTTTGAGTAAAATGAGTGGTGAAAACAGAAGAGTAGATTACACCAGAAACTACAAGCTATGTCATATAATTGGTCTTTCTAGCTGACACAGGAAGCAGGGGAAATTTCTCTTCCAACTTCCCGCTCTCAGGGTCACCTCACACTAATTATTGGGTGGATGGGTGAAGTCATTTATTCTTTTAATCATCCAACAAATATTTCTTGAACACATATCTTGTTAAGAGACTGGGGTCAAGAGTGAATACAACGCAAACATTCCTACCACTGTGAAACTACATCCTACTTGGGAGGAGTGGGGTGAAAGTGTATTCAGCACAAATATTCCTACTATTGCGAAACTACATCATACTTGGGAGGAGTGGGGAGAAACAGACAGGAAACAATCAAAAATATGTAAGAAGTGATTTGACGATGTCTACTGTGAGGGAATCGCTAGGCAGTAAAGGGTTTGGGAATGTGGAGGTGGCACATTCAGCTTTCAGGAGGACAATCAGGGACTCTGTCACCTTGACAACTTTAGCCTTGCCTTCTTCTAGCCATCTTGCTGGAACACTTGTGCCCGTGTTTTTCTAACACTGTCATAAGAGTACTTTTACCTATCAAGGCAACTGGGGGTTAGGAGAGCTTTTTGCCCAGAAGGCTAGTTGGCTTCCTTGGAAAACTGATGATACATGAGGACTGGGGTTGTCAATCCCTCACATGTTTCTTCATATGAAAAATGAGGACTGTGGGATTCTCTGGCTGGATCTCAGCACCTAGAGATGGATCTGGGCAATAGGAACTGCTCAGTATTAGCTACCGCTTTGGTTGCCTTCTCCTTGTGGAAAGCTGGCCTCTCACACTGAATTTGTATCATAGGCACTCATGAGGGTCTTGACTACATCAATATCTGATGGGAGACTTTAGGGCAGTTCTGTTGTCGTAGCTGATTTGCTCATTTGGTAGCTAGCATCCAGCTTCTTGTGAACATTAAAATAAAATAAAATAAAATAATAAAATAAAATAAAATAAAATAGATTATGGAGGAATAGAATACAGATACATACTAAGGCATAATTTTCCAGACAAAATGGATTTGGATAAAAGAATCTAATTAAGAATTTGTGCATGGTTCTTTTAAAATTCCTTTGATTTTTTTTTTTTTTTTTGGCCTGTTTTTCAAGTGTCCAATTTTTGTCACCCTTCTCCCATCAGGTCAGAGAGATAGCCAATGGTCAGAAGCAATCTTCCAGCAACTGCCATAGCGCTTTCTCCTGCCTGCAGATGCCTCTTTTTAGTCAGCCTTTATGGGAAGTAGCAGCACCATCCGTTCCCAGAGAGCAAGCTCTGGAGTAGCTGAGCTAACCCCAGTTGCTAATCTGAGCTAATCCCAGTTACCCCAGTGGATTTACAGATTGAGGGTAGAACCCAGCAGGGTTCTCTTCTTGGAAAGAATAGGCTTCCCTCTAAGGTTTCACATAGATACTGGGTGAGGAAACAGCCCTAAATGGCTTCAGAAATTGAATGTTCTTTGGGCAAAGCAGGAAGCCCTGCTGTGGAAGAGCATCATTTGAGCATAAATCAGGTTATCAGGACAAACAGAGTGTTCAGGAGGTCTAGATGGTTAAGCAGAGAGCCTCATCAGAATATCCGTGGTGAAGAGAAACAATCTTGCTGGGAGAAGGATAACCGTAACTGGGGACTTAGAATAAAGGCTAAAAATGATTCAAAGAGAATGCAAAAAGAATCAGGCACAAATCTTTACTATATTCTGTTGTGCAAATCTCACCTTACTATGTGTTTATATTCTATTCCTCCACAATCTTTATTTTATTTTTATGTTCACAGAGACTTGCTGGTTCCAACTAAATGAGCACAACAGCCAGTGACAACAGAACTGCACTTAAATAGTCCCTCATCAGCTCTTGAGAGCAGATTCCTTAAAGGTGAACAATATTCCACATACAAGGACTTTTCAGCAGTATGCATTAGAAATGGAACTGAATGTTTATTATTCTTTATATAAGTTGGTTGATACGACTTTTCAGCTTCCCTCAGTAACATTATCTAAATTTTGTAGATGACAGTAAAGCTCAGAGGAGTTAAACCATTTTCCTCAAATCACGTAGCTTTAAACAGGAAAACCAGATATGAAAAGCAGATTTCTTTCTAAATTAAAAAACAAAAACAAAAAAACTTGAGCTCTTGCTTTACCCTAGCACATAGTCTCGCCATCTGTTTTCTCCACACCAGGTCATTCATGTAACATTCATTCACATAACAAATACAAATAAATGAGCGGATTCATTCATCAGATATTAATTCAGAATCTCTTTTGTGTCTACCACACTAGGCTCAAGACGTCCCAGTGTCTTTGTCTCCTCTCCCTCAAATCTCTCCACCCAATATCTTGACAAATAAAGTAGATCCTTCCTGTACAACGTCTCCAGAATCTTTTCTTCCTTTTCTTTCACCTCTGTCATCATTCATGCTACAGTGTTTACGGAGGATGTGTTCTGCAGCATGAAGTGTCGTGGGCACTAGCTCTGCAGAAAGACTTCTGCTGTCCACCTCAGGTGCTGACATGATAAATGTGGGTAAACCTCAATCCTTTAATATCTTTATGACTTCTTTCCCTTTCTCCCCAGTTCCTGTTTTCTCATGTTCAAGCTCTGACATTCAAAACTAAACACCTTTCTCTAACATGTTGCTTTAATTATTTAAGCATTCTGCCTGGGATATTTTCAGTTAGTCATGGGATTTTTCATAAAACTCTCCCAATATATCTCCAAGTGGCCAGGCTTTTCAATCACTGCTTCCCTCCATGTGTATTTCACACACACACACACACACACACACACACACTCTCCACTTAAATTGAACAGGTTTATTTCTTTACACAAGAATTCTTACAAACAGCCCGGTTTTCTCCACCATATGTCCACTCCTTCTCTGCATAGCTCAATTTTGATTCTTACACTATATTTTACATATTCTTACACTCTGATACGATCTTGTCTCTTATTCTTTATGGCTCTGCTCTGTAATTTTGTTGTTGTTGTTCTGAAATATAGTTGGACATGTAACTTGTACATGACACACCTTAGCAAGGAGGCAACTCATATCTCAGATGTAAGTGAAAGAAGCACTCTCCAGGGGTTTCCTATGGGAGTGGTCAGCACGCTGGCCTCATTGGTGGAATGGCCTAGTTACGAAAACAGCAGGAGCTTTTTGCCTTCCAGAAATCTGGACCATCTCACAACCCCCAGACAGTCTCAGCTACAAGGAAAAGTGATAATTCCATCCCACTTTTATAAACACACACAAACACACACACACACACACACACACACACACACACACAATCATTTAATCATTTTTAATCATTTAATCATTTTTTTAAAATCTCTGACACTTTAGCTGGGCAGGTCTAGACATGTCCTCCTTTGCTGGGATGTGCCTTTTTCTGTCCCGGAATACCCTAAACTTGACATTTTGGCAGCACGAGTTTTCCCTTTGTGACTTTCTCCTTGTTCCCTTTCTCCTCCTTCTTTGCAGAGAATGAGTAGCCACTGCGCCTTGCCCTGGGCCATCAGTGAGAAGACCTGCTCTTAGTAGAGCCCTGCTTTCCCGCTGAAGGCCTTGAAATCCCCTGTGTTCCAGGACACCCACTAAAGATCAAGAAAGCTCCCCTGACGTGGGGAATTAGCTCAAGCGGTAGAGCGCTTGCTTAGCATGCAAGAGGTAGTGGGATCGATGCCCACATTCTCCAAGCTTTATTATTTGGACCTTGGGTCTCCAAACACTCAAGTATCCAAACCCAAGTTAGTGTCTGAGAGCAGGATGCTGCTTTGGTTCAAGACATAGGAGCAGCAACAATACAGGCCTGGTGATGGCTCCCTCCTGGCATTCAGTATAGTGTAGATCTACTGTGTAATTCATTTGCTGTTTCCTCAAGGAGCTGTGAAACCAAGGGACATATACAACTGCTCTTTTCTCCCTGTTTCTGCCTGCAGCTTGGTCCTAAACCTCAGACAATCGTGAAATGTGCAGGGCAGAGCCACCTGGGTAAACACAGCCTCGGCTTTCTGCTCAGGGGACTGAAACCAGGATGTGTCAAGTAACTAGAATGTGCCTGGACAGATACTGTAGAAAGCAAACCCATAAAGTTGTTCATGAGCTTGTGGACACACCTGCCAGCTGTGAATAAGTGGCTCTAATCCCAAACAACTTACCTACAAAGAGCCTGAGAGCTGAACTGCGCAATGGCCCACTTTCCAGTCCTCACTGAAGTTGCACACACTCCGGAAATCTCTGAACAGTGGCGTAAAGGCTTTGCAAATAGAGTTATCTTTGAAACAACAACACGTGGAAGGCTGGTTGGTACTTGGAACTTGAATACAAGGCAATTTTGTGCCTGCAAAAACAAAAATAGCAATATTATTCTTAAGATTTCAACAAAACACAGTGTCTCATCACATAATCCAAAGAAGTCCAGGTTACAAGCCCCAAAATCTTCGGCATTATGAAAAAAACAGGGAGATCTTCATTCACATGGCAAAGAGACTCCTCGAATAACAATACTGAGAGGACACAGATGTCAAAATCATCTGACGCATACAGTGGAGCAGTTATGATAACAATGCTCCTAGAATTAGGGGATAACATTCGTGAAGTGAATGGAAAGTTGGAAAGTCTCAGCAAATATCTGGAATATATAAACACCAATTTTAAGCTTAAGAATTTAAAAAAATGTATTAACCAAAACTCTTAGGGGAAATAAAAAGCTTAACTGGATGATCTCGATAACAGAATGCAGATGACTAAGAAAAAGTCAACGAACTTGAAAACAGAACAAGAATACCTACATAATCTGAGCTATAGAGAGAAAGGAGTATTTCTGTAAATGAACAGAGGCTCAGGGACAAATTAAAAAATAGCAAATCTAACATTCACATTATTGTAATCTGAAAAGAAGAGGACAAAGAGGTCTTTGTGGGATAAAACTTTGAAGAATTAATGGCTGAAAATGTATCAAATTTGTCAAAAGATATAAACCAGGTTTTTAAAGTTCAGCAAAGGTCAAGCAGGATAAACCCAAAGAAACCCAACCCATTTCAAGACGTATCATAATCAAACTGCTGAAAACGAGGAAAGTACAAAACAATCTTGAAAGCAGTCAAAGGAAAATGAAAAAGAAACTACCATATGAATGAGTGTAGATTTCTCATCAGGAACCATAGCGGCCAGAAAAAAATGTCATAATGTTCAGTAAGTAACAAAAGAAAAAGACCTATCAACCCAGAATGCTATGTGGAGCAAAAGTATCTTTCAGACATAAAGGCAAATAAATGCATTCTCATTGGAAGGTAAGTCAATACATTCTCATTCTTAGCAAGAATGCTGGAAAAGAATTAGCAAAGATTTGAGATAAGAAAAGTGATACCAGAAGGAAACTTAGAACATCGTCAATGAAGGAACGAAAGCAGAAATAGAAAATGTCTGGGTAGACATAACAGACTGTTCTTCTTCTCCTGAGTTCCTTAAGGTATGTTTGATGATTGAAAGCCAAAATTGTAACTTTATCAGAAGCAGTTGTCATTGTATCGAGATGTACTACATAGATAAGATAAAAGGGTAAGTGTAATGGGCCTAACTCTTGATGAAGTTTCTATATTCAACTTGAATGGTAAAATATTGATTCTAAGTATACTGTGAAAAGTTATATACGTATATGGTAATCCCTAGACCACTTACTAACCAGATTGAAATAAACCAAAACAAGATAGACAGAGGAACATAGAAGAATTAAAACAAAGGGAACAAAGGTTAATACATTATTAAATAGATCTATCTAAAAACTTATCTATATTAACATTACACGTAAATGATCTAAATCCTTAATTAAAAACTAGAGATCATCAGAATGTATTAAAAGTAAATATGCTGACTGTAAGAAAGCCACCTGCAATACACTTATATATCAGAATAAAAGTTATATAGCAGATTGAAGGAAAAGAGTGGGAAAGATACCTCATGCAAGCATTAATCAAAGACAGCTGTGGTGTATACATTAAAATCAGACAAAGTAGATTTGAAAGCAGAGAAACTTTTCAGGAATAATGAAGGCTGCTAGATAATTACGAATGTCCATTCTCCAGGGAATACTGTTCCAAATGTATATGAGGACACAGATTTTCAAAACTCATAAACAAAATTAGATAAGCCAGGTAAAAATAGAAATATCCAATTTTAGTTGAAGACACTAAAACTCCTCTCTCAGTCATTGGTAGACTTAGTAGACAACAAATCAGCCAACATATTGGAGAACTGAACCACACCATCCACCAATGGATCTGATCAACTTCATAACGCAAAATAAAAATTTAGCCAGAAAGCAAAGACAAAAATTAAAAGAAAAGTAAGATCATGTTATAACCAGGAAATTAAGAGTGGTCCATCATATAGAAGGGTGCTATTATTGAAAGAGTTTGAAATAGTGACTTAGTTATTTTGAAAGAGTTTTGAAGGCATTATTTAGCTGGAAATGACAGAAAGACTGAAAATGGTGAATCTGGAGGTGGATCTTCCCTCATCTATATTTATCTTGTTTTCTTTTGAGGTCTAGGGTGTCTATACTTCCTCTGAATTACCTGATCCTACTACAGTGTCTGGCACAGAGCATCTCCCCAGTGAATATGTACTAAATGAGTGGAAAGTAATTGATAGATTCAAAAGAGTTGTGCAAGAATAATGTTCATTATTTGGCAAATCATTGAATGTGGTGTTTGATGGAAGACAATGAATCAAAGTTGACTTGAAAGGTAAGCCCAAGGCCAGACGTGGTGGCTCATTTCTGTAATCCCAGCACTTTGGGAGGCCGAGGTGGGCAGATCCCTTGACGCCAGGAGTTTGAGACCAGCCTGGGCAACCCAGTGAAATCCTGTCTCTACAAAAAAAAACAAAAATTAGCCGGGTGTGGTGGTATGCATCTGTAGTTCCAGCTACTCAGGAGGCTGAGGTGGGAGCATCACTGGAACCCGGGAGGCGGAGGTTGCAGTGAACAGAGATCACACCAGTGCCCTGGCAGTAAAGTGACACCTTGTCTTAAAATGAAATGAAATGAAATGAAATAAAATAAAATAAAATAAATAAAATAAAATAAAATAAAATAAAATAAAATATAAAAGTTAAGCCCAGGCCGGGCGCAGTGGCTCGCACCTGTAATCCCAGCACTTTGGGAGACCAAGGCAGGCAGATCACCTGAGGTCAGGAGTTTGAGACCAGCCTGGCCAACATGGTGGAACCCCGTCTCTACTAAAAATTCAAAAACTAGCGGGGCACCTGTAGTCCTAGCTACTCGGGAGGCTGAGGCAGAAGAATCACTTGAACCCAGGAGGCAGAGGTTGCAGTGAGCCAAGATTGTGCCACTACACTGCAGCCTGGGCAACAGAGTGAGACTCCAACTCAAAAAAATTTTTAAAAAAAATTTTTAAAAAGTTAAGCCCAAAAGGTAAGTAAAGAGGAGGTCTGGAATTAGATATTTGGTGTATGAGTGAATGAGCTAAAGTGCAAAAGAATGGGCAGAATAACCGTGAGCTGGAGCAGAGGGAAAAAAATCACATGCAAAATCTAAAAATATCTGCTTCTCAATTCGGGCTTTCCCACTTAGCAGCTTTGGCATTTAAAAAAAAAAAAAAAAAAAAAAAAACACTTGACCGGGCACGGTGGCTCACGCCTGTAATCCCAGCACTTTGGGAGGCCGAGGCGGGCGGATCAGGAGGTCAAGAGATAGAGACCATTCTGGCTAACACGGTGAAACCCTGTCTCTACTGAAAAAATACAAAAAAATTAGCCGGGCATGGTGGCGGGTGCCTGTAGTCCCAGCTACTCGGGAGGCTGAGGCAGGAGAATGGCCTGAACCTGGGAGGCGGAGCTTGCAGTGAGCCCAGATCGGGCCACTGCACTCCAGCCTGGGAGACAGAGCGAGACTCCGTCTCACAGAACAAACAAACAACAAACAACAACAACAAAAACGCACTTAGCCTATCTGATTCTCTATTACTTCTAAAAAGTGCATACTAAGGCATAATTTTGTTGGCAAAAGTCAATCAGACTACATCAAGTAAACTCCCTAAGTCTCCTAGTATAATTCACGGCACAAAAATATGAGGAAAAACAGGGAGGATATGATTAAAAGTTTAGTTTGTATTTTTTGTTGAATGAATGTCTCCAGTCATAGAGATGCAAGTGTAGATACACAGTAAGAGTAGTATGAATGGCAGACACCTTGGAAGGCTATTTCTTCCTTCATTCATTCAGTTGGTCACTCAATGAACTATCATGAATTGAGCACTACCTCTGTTTCTTATCAACAAAGGAGACTACGGAAAGGAAGAATGACTAAGATCTCTGAAGAAGGGAAAAGCTAGATGACTGGGCCACAAGAGGAAAAAAAGCAGCAAGACAGGTACAATTGTGTCTAGTCCCTCAAGCCAGAAGGTCCTATCATTATGTGAATACTGGAAACGGGTGGACTCCACCTGTCCTGAGTGGGGAATTCTTCCAGTGCAGCATTGACTGATAAGGAGTGATTTCCAAGTAGCATTGATTGTGTTCTTTAAAAGCTAGGAATTGATAAAGCAGCAGTGCGTGGGAAATGAGATTTAATAATCTGGATGTCACCTCTTAGGAACAGTTGCTCTCTTAGAGCAGCAGGCCACCTGTCAATCTCGTATTCTGAAGGTCCTGAGTTTGAACATGAGACAAGGCACAGCTTATGCCGCTATTTCCATTAAGAGAAATGAAATAGGTGTGATAAATAATGGAACACAAATGCTATGAGATAATGATTTCAAGACAGACCAAATATTAGCTTAAAATTTAAAAGTGAGTTTTCTTTTCTTTTCTTTCTTTCTTTTTCTCTTTCTTTCTTTCTTTCTTTCTTTCTTTCTTTCTTTCTTTCTTTCTTTCTTTCTTCCTTGCTTCCTTCCTTCCTTCTTTCCTTCCTTCCTTCCTTCCTTCTTTCCTTTCCTTTCTCTGTCTGTCTTTATTTATTTTTTCCTTCTTTTGGCTTCTCAGTCGCTTGAGTACAAGGCGTGGTGAAGGCATATAAATTACACCAGAAACTGCAAGCTATGTCTTATGTCTACCTCTCTAGCTGACAGGGGAGGCAGGGGAAATTTCTCTTCCAATTGCCTGCTCTGAAGGTCATCCAAACATAATTATGGGGTGGGGTGGGTAAAGTCTTTTATTCTTTTAATCGTCCAACCGATAGTTCTCAACACATATCTTGTTAAGAGACTGTTTTGGGTATAGCAATTCGCAGTGAATAAAATACAGATATTCTCACCTTTGTGATACTACGTCAATGTTGGGGGGAGTGGGGAGAAAGAGACAGAAGCAAAAAAGAAAAATAAACAAGAAGTCATGTGATATTATCTACTGGGAGGGAGTCATTAGGCAGTAAAGGACTCGGCAGTGTGGAGGTGACACATTCACTTTTCAGGAGAAGAATCAGGGAAGTTGTCACCTTGAAGATATCATTTAGCTTCCCTTTCTTCCAATAGTCTTTCTTTACATGGGAAATGAGGACTCTAGGATTCTCCGGCTGGATCTCAGCACCTAGAGATGGATCTGGGCAATAGGAACTGCTCAGTAAGCATTACCTACTGCTTTGGTTGCCTTCTCCCTGGCCTCTTGGATTGAGCTTGCATCATACGTGTTCAGTAGGAACTTGCTTAGTGGATTTACAGGTTGAGGTTAGAACTCACCGGGATTCTCTTCCTGGAGAGAACAGGCTTCCCTCTAAGGTTTCATATAGACCCCGGGTGAGGAAAGAGCCCTAAATGGCTTGAAAAATTGAATGCTCTTTGGGCAAAGCAAGAAGCGCCACTATGGAAGGGCATCATTTGGGCCTATATCAGGGTCTCAGTACAAAGATGAGTGCTCACGTGGTCAAGATGGTTAAGCAGAGAATCTGACCAGAATGTTCACGGTGCAAAGAAATAATCTTGTTGGGAGAAGGATCACAACAATTGGGGAATTAGAATACAGGCTAAATGAGACTCAAAAATAATACAACAAGAATCAGGCACAAATCCTTTACTACTACATTCTTTTGTACAAATCCATTTTGCCTAGAAAATCATACCTTACTATGCATCCCTATTGTGTTTCTCCACCATCTATTTTACTTTTTAAACTTTATTTCATTTTTATCATCACAGAAGCTTATTGCTACAAAACAAATGAGCAAATCAGCCAATGGCAACAAAACTGCACTGATCTCTCTCCTTAGACCTTCAGAACATTTTCCTTAAAGGTGAACAATACTCCACGTTCAAGAATTTTTCAGCTCTATGTGCTAGAAACTATACTGACTGTTTATTAATTTTTATGTAAGTTGGTCGATATAGTTTTTCAGCTTCCCCAAGTATTATTACCCTAGTGTTACAGATGACACTGAAGCTCAGAGCAGTTAAACCATTTTCCTTAGATCACATAACTTTAAAGAGGGAAACCAGATATGAGAAGCAGATTTCTTTCTCAATGAAAAAAATCACAAGCTCTTCTTGCTTTAGTCTAGCACATAGTCTTATCATCTATTTTCTTCACACCAGCTCACTCATGTAACATTCATTCATTTACCAAATACAGATAAATGAGTGGATTTATTCTTGCATCGATCAGATATGAATTCAAAATCTCTTCTGTGTCTGCCACACCGGGCTCAAGACTTGCCAGTGCCTTTGTCTCCTCTCCCTCAAATCTCTCCACCCAATGTCTTGACAAATACTGTAGATCCTTCCTGCATAAACTCTGCAGAATCTTTTTCTTCTGTTTTACTCACCTCCTTCTTTATCCATGCTATGATGTTCATGGAGGATGTTTTCTTCACCATGAAGTGTGAAGGGGATTGAAGCTGCAGAAAGACTCATGCTGTTCACCTCAGGAACTGACACAGTCAATGTGGATAAATCTCAATCCTTTAATATCTTTATGACTTCTTTCTCTTTCTCCCCAGATCCAGTTTTTCCATTTTCAAGTTCTTTGACATTTAAAACTAAAAACCTTTCCCTAAAATGCTGCTTTTCTACCTGGAATTTTTTCAATGAGTCTTTAGCTTTTATAATATTCTCCCAACATATCTCCAAGCATCCAGGCTTTTCAATCACTACTTCCCTCCGTGTATATTTTACACACACACACACACACACACACACACACACACTCCACTTAAATTGAACAGGCATATTTCTTTACACAGGAATTCCTACAAACATTCCACCCTATACCTACCCTAGGTTTTCTCCACCCTATGTCCACTCTTTCTCTGCATTGCTGAATGTGTTTTCTTTATTCTTTCACTCTGATATGATCTTTGTCTCTTATTCTTTATGCCTCTTATCTGCATTTTTTTGTTATTATTGTTCTGCCATGCAGTTGGATATGTAACTTTTACATGACACACCTTAGCAAGAAGACAACACATGTCTCAGATGTAAGTAAGAAAAACACTCTCCAGGGATTTCCTGGTGTAGTGCTCAGCACCCTG
The DNA here is from genome assembly GCF_000001405.40 of Homo sapiens. Taxonomy (NCBI): domain Eukaryota; kingdom Metazoa; phylum Chordata; class Mammalia; order Primates; family Hominidae; genus Homo; species Homo sapiens. The sequence continues at coordinate 26,713,235 of NC_000006.12, forward strand.
GCCTCATTCCTGAAAGTCCCTCGGTGTGGAAAAAGCAGGAGCTCTTTGCCTTCCAGAAATCTGCATCATCCCACAGCCTCAGCTACAAGAAACAAGTGACAATGCCATCTCTTTTCTTTTAAAAAAATCATTTAAGCTTCCTGAGATATCTGTGACACATTAGCTGGGCAGGGTCCTTCTGTGGGACATGTCATTTTCCGTCTCGGAATATGTGAAACTTGACATTTTGGCAACACCAGAGTTTTCCCTTTGTGACTTTCTCCTTGTTCCCTTTTCTCCTCCCTCCTCACAGAGAATAAGTACCCACTGCACTCTTGCCCTGGGCCATCAATGAGAAGATCTGCTCTTAGTGGAGCCCTGCTTTCGCGGTGAAGGCCTTGAAGTCGCGTGTGTTCTAGACTGCCCACTAAGGATGAAAAAAGATGCTGTGAGATGAAGAAGTAGCTCAAGTGGTGGAGTGCTCGCTTAGCATGTGAGAGGTAGTGGGATTGATGCCCACATTCTCCAGGTTTCACTAGTCGGACCTCAGGTCTCCAGGTTACAGTGGAAAAAAATATGTGTTAGACACTGATCTCAGAAAACAGTAAGTTAGACACTCATCTCAGTAGCAGCCTGGACACTTCTTTGGCTCATTATGTAAGGGCAGCAACAATACGGGCTTGACTAAGATTCTACTGGTATGTGGTATAGTATAGATCTATCGATGTGTAATTAGTTTTCTGTTTCTTTGAGGAGCTGTGATACAAAGGGACATATCCAGTTGCACTTATTCTCCCTGTTTCCTCCTGCAGCTTGGTCCTAAATGCAGCATAATTATGGAAAGCGCAGGGCAGAGCCACTCAGGTAAATACAGCCCCAGCTTTCTGATCGGGAGACCGAAACTAGGAGTTGCCAAGTAACCAGGAAAGACACTGTGGAGAGCAAACCTGTCAAGTTGTATGTGAACTCCTGGATGCGCCTGTGAGCTGTGAATAAGTGGCTCTGATCAAAGACAACTTATCTAAAAAGAGCCTGAGAATCGAACTAAGTGATAGCCTACTTTCCAGTCCTCACTGGCCACTGGGTTGCACATACTCCAGAGTCTCTGAATAGCAGTGTTAAGGCTTTGAAAATAGAATCGACTTTGAAACTACAACACACAAGGCTGGCTGGTTATTGGAACTTGAACACAAGGCAATCACATGCCTGCAAAAACAAAAATAGCAATATTATCCTTAAGATTTCAACAAGACACAGTGTCTCATCACATAATGCAAAGTACAACCCCAAAATATTCAGCATATGAAGAACCAGGGCAATCTTAATTCACTTGGCAAAGAGAATCCTCGAATAACAATACTGAGAAGACACAGATGTTACAATCATCTGACACATACTTTTAAGCAGTTATTACAACAATGCTCCATGAATGAAAGGATAACACTCTTGAAGTGAATGGAAAGTTGGGAAGTCTTAGCAAGTATCTGGAAGCTCTAAACACTGATTTTAAACTTAAAAATTAAAAAATGTATTCATCAAAACTATTAGGAGAAAAAAAACTTCAATGGGTTATTTCAATAACAAAATTGAGACACTCAGAATAAAGTCAATGAACTTGAAAACAGAACAAAAATACCAACCTAACCTGAACAATAGAGAAAAAGGAGTGCTTTTGCAAATGAACAGAGCCTCCCGGACAAACAGAAAAATAAGAAAAATCTAACACATCATTGTAATCCTGCAGGAAGAAGAGAAAGAGGTCCTCCAGAAAGAAAACTCCGAAGAATTAATGGCTGAAAACATATCAAATTTATCAAAACACTTTAGAAGTTCAATAAATGTCAAGTAGGTTAAACCCAAAGAAATCCATACCCAGACACATCATAATCAAACTGCTGAAAACTAAGGAAAACCATAAAAATCTTGAAGGCAGCCAAATGAAAATAAAAGGGAAACTGCCACTTGAATGACTGTGGACTTCTCATCAGAAACCATAGGGGCCCAAGGAAACATTTACTAAATACCAAAAGAAAAGACCTGTCAACCCAGAATGCTATGTAGAGCAAAAATATCTTTCAGACTAAAGGTAAATAAATACATTCTCACAGGAAGGTAAACTGAGAGAATTCATTGCTGGTAGAACTGCTGGACAAGAATTAGCAACGATTTAAGATGAGAAAAATGATACCAGAAAGAGACAGGACACCATCAGTGAAGGAACGAAAGCCGAAATAGAAAATGTCTGGGTAGACATTACAGACTATTATTCTTCTCTTGAGTTCCTTAAGGTATGTTTCATGATTGAAAGCAAAAATTGTAACTTTATCTGATGCAGTTGCCATTGTATCTAGATGTGCTACATACATAACATAAAAGGGTAAAGGTAAAGGGCCTAACTGCTGATGAAGTTTCTATATTCAACTTGAATGGTAAAATATTGATTCTACGTATACTGTGAAAGGTTATATATGTATATGGTGATCCCTAGACCACTTAGGAACCAGATTTAAATAAACCAAAATAAACTAGGAAGAAGAACATAGAAGAATTAAGACAAGGGGAACAAATGATTAATAAATTATTAAAAAGTAGATCTATCGGCTGGGCACGGCGTCTCACGCCTGTAATCCCAGCACTTTGGGAGGCCGAGGTGGCTGGATCACCTGATGTCAGGAGTTTGAGACCAGCCTGGCCAGCATGGTGAAACCCTGTCTCTACTAAAAATACAAAAAATTAGCCAGGCATGAAGCCGGGTGCCTGTAATCCCAGCTACTTGGGAGGCTGAGACAGGAGAATCACTTGAACCTGGGAGGCAGAGGTTGCAGTGAGGGGAGATTGCACCATGGCACTCCAGCCTGGGTGGCAAGAGCAAGACTCCATCTCAGAAAGAAAAACAATAGATCTACCTAAAAACTTATCTATAAAAACATTAAATGTAAATGATCTAAAACAATGAATTGAAAACCAGAAATTGTCAGAATGTATTATAAATGAATATGCTGACTACAGGAAAGTCACTAGTAATATACTTATATGTGAGATTAAAAGTTATATAGCATATTGAAAGTAAAGAATGGGAAAAGATATGTCATTTAGGCATTACTCAAAGAAAGCTGTGGTGGATATATTCAAATCAGACAAACCAGATTTTAAATTGTAGAAAACTTCCAGGGATAAAGGGGGCTGTTACATAATTAGAGGTGCCAACACACCAGAGAAATAATGTCCCAAATGCATATAAGGACACAGGGCTTCAAAACTCGTAAGCAAAATTGGATAATCCAGATAAAAATAGAAAAATCCAATTACATTTGCAGACGTTAACAGTCCCCTCTCAGTAACTGATAGATCCAGTAGACAATAAATCAGTAAACACATTTGAGACCCGAACAACATCCATACAGCAATGGATCTAATCAATCAACTTTCTACAGCAAAATCACAATTTGGGTAGAAAGAAGAGAAAAAAAATAAAAGAAAAACAAGATCATGCTATAACTAGGAAATCAGGAATGTTCAGGGTGCAAAAGAGTGATATATTGAAACTGACATTTTTGAAAGGGTTATTTAGCTGTAAATGACATGACACGGAGACTGAAATCGTAAAACTGGACGTGGATCTTCCCTTCTCCATATTTGTCCTGCCTTCTCTTGAGGTCTGGGCTGCTTGAATCTTTAGAATCTCCTGAACTTACCACAGTGTCTGGCACAGAGCATCTTCCCTGTGAATGTGTACTGAATCAATGGAAAGGAATTGACAGGTTCAAAAATGTTGTGCAGGAATAATGTTTACTATTTCACAAATCACTGGATGTGGTGTTTGAAGGAGAAAAATGTGTCAAAAGTTGACTTGGAAACAAAGCCCAAAAGGTAAGTGAAGGGGATTTGGGGAATGAGATATTTGGTGTGTGAATGAATGGGGTGCTGTGGAGAGGAGTAGGGAGTAAGATTGTGAACTGGAGCAGAGAAAGAATCACGTTTTAAAATCTAAAACATCTTCTCCTCAGTTCAAGCTTTGACACTTAGCAGCTCTGGCACCTTGGAAACAAAACTTATCTGAGGTTCCATTACTTCTAGAAAGTCCAGATTAGGACACATAGTTTTGTTGGTGAAACTCTGTTGGACTACATGAAGTAAATTCAATAAATCTCTTAGTATAATTAATGGCATACAAGATTTGCTTTACACTTTTTGTAGCAGGATTGTCTCCAGTCGTGTAGATGCAAGAGGAGATAGAGAGTAAGACACAGTAGTATGGACAGGAGACACCTTTAAAGACTATTTTTTCATTCCTTCATTCGTTCAGTTGGTCAGTCAGTGAACTATTATGGACTGAACATGTCCTGTGTGTCTTTTCAAAAAAGGACACCATAGGAGGTGTAAGAGTGATTAAGATCTCTGAAGGAGGGAGAAGTCAGATCACTGGGCCACAAGAGGGAAAAAGTCAGCAAAACAGGTACAATTGTTCTTGGCCTCTTGCCTCAAGATGGTCGTCTTGTTAGATGAATACTAGAAATGGGTAGATTCCACCTGTCCTGAGGATAAAATTCTTTGGGTGCAGGATTGGCTGATAAAGAGTGATTTCCAAGCACCATTGATTGTGTTCTTTGAAAGTTAGGAACTGATAAAGCAGCAGTGCTTGGGAAAATAGCACGTGGGATGTCAATTCTTGGGTGAGAACCGCCCTCTTTCTGCAGCAGGCCACACATCAATCTCATAATCTAAAGGTTTTGAGTTTGAACATCAGAGAGGATACAGTTTTTGCTGCTATTTCAGTTGAGGGAAACAAAATGGGTGCACTAAATAATGAAATGCAAATGCTATGAGATAACAGTTTGAAGACTGACTCAACATTAGCTTAGAATGGAAAAGTGATTTCGGTTTTTTGGAGTTTTTTTGTTGTTGTTTGTTTGTTTTTTGGCTTGTCAGTGGTTTGAGTAAAATGAGTGGTAAAGGGATATAGATTACAGAAGAAACTGCAAGCTATATCATATAATTGGTCTTTCTCACTAGCTGATGGAAGAAACAGGAAATTTTTTGTCGAGCTTTCTGCTCTCAAGGTTACCCAATTGTAATTATGAGGTGAGTGGGTGAAGTCATTTATTCTTTTATCCTACATGTATTTCTCGAGCACGTATCTTGTTAAGAGACTGTTCGGGGTACAGCCATTCAACAGTGAAAAAACGCATATATTCTTCACCTTTGCGAAGCTAGTTTCTAGTTGATAGGGGTGAAGAGAAACAGATCAGAAGCAAACAAGAAAAATACATAAGATGTTATGTGACAACGTCTACTGGGAAGGAACCCACAGGCAGTAAGGGACTTGGGAGTGTGGAGATGGCCCATTCAGAAGCTTTTAGGAGCGGAATCTGAGAAGTTGTCACCTTGAAGACATCCTTTACCCACCCTCCACCCCCTCCCCACTCCCCACTCCTGCTCCTTCCTTCAATCATCTTTCTTCACGTAGGAAATGAGGACTGTGGGATTCTCTGGCTGGATCCCAGCACCTAGAGAGGGATCTGATCAATAAGAACTGCTCAGTAAGCATTACCTATTGCTTTGGTTGCCTTCCCCTTGCAGAGTGCTGGCCTCTTGGATTGAGCTTGCATCATAGGTGTTCAGTAGGAGCTTGCTTAGTGGATTTACAGGTTGAGGTTAGAACCCACCGGGATTCTCTTCCTGGAAAGAACAGGCTTCCCTCTAAGGTTTCACATAGACCCCGAGTGAGGAAAGAGCCCTAAATTGCTTGAAAAATTGATTGCTCTTTGGGCAAAACAAGAAACCCTCCTATGGAAGGGCATCATTTGGGCATATATCGGGGTCTCAGTACAAAGATGAGTGCTCAAGAGGTCAAGATGCTTAAGCAGAGAATTTCACCAGAATGTTCGTGGTACAGAGAAACAGTCTTGTTGGGAGAAGGATGACAATTGAGGCCTTGGAATATAAGCTAAATAAGCTTCAAAGGGGATACAAAAAAGAATCAGGCACAAATCCTTTACTACATTATTTTGTACAGCTCAATTTTTGCCTAGAAAATCATACCTTACTTTGCATCCCTATTGTGTTCCTCCACCATCTATTTTGTTTTTTTAAGCGTTATTTCATTTTTATGTTCACAGAAGCTTGTTGCTACAACTAAATGAGCAAAACAGCCAGTAGCAACAGAAATGCGTTACTATCTCTCCTCAGACCTTGAAAGCATTTTCCTTAAAGGTGAACAATATTCCACATACAAGGAGGTTTTCAGCACTATGTGCTAGAAATTATACTGAATGTTTCTTAATTTTTACGTAAGTCGGTCAATATAGTTTTTCAGCTTCCCCAAGTATTATTACCCCAGTGTTATAAATGACACTGAAGTAAAGGGCATATCACTCTCTTTATTCTGTGTAGGTGTGTCTGCTTACAGCTAAGGATTTCCTAAATTATAGTTTTGTAAACATTAGTTCTAAATCATTGTGATCACTTGAATTTTGAAAATGTCAAAACCAATCACATTAATGTAATAGAAAATAGAGGTTTGAGGTGCATTGGCTCGCTGTTTTATTTACTATGGATCAGTGGAGTAGAAATTCCCATCGCGGAAGAGGGTTCATTCCTGTCTCTCAGCCTCAGCAAAGTTAAACATTTCAGACCTTGCCTGACTTTGGATCTATTGCGCATGCTCTGTCCTTTACCACTATCCAGTCCTGGGGGGCATATAGAGCCACTCAGAGCCTTAGAGGTACGTTCAGTGAAATGGAGCCAATCACCATATAGTGTAGCCTATTGTTCGTCTGACCAAAATGCACTATGTTGCGATAGCATGGATTCTACAGACCCGTGAAGCCCATTTGGACCACAAGACACTCTTTCCATCATGCCTGCACACCTATCCTTCACTCTTCATTGGCTCATGCAGACTTTTGAAAGTATTTAGCAATAAGCATCCTACCCCCAAGAAGCTTATGGTCTCATGGAGAAGATGGCCAAGCAACAGACAATCCCAACATGGTGAATGCCGCTAAAACAAATGCGTACCTGGATCTCCGTGAGTGCTAGGAGGAAAGCAACCCAAACTCAGAAAAGTAGGAGAGGTGTCAGGGAAGACATTTTCCAGAAGATGGTTTCGTGTCTAACAAAGCCGTGAGACGAGCAAAGAGGAGGTGAAAGGCTCAGCGTTCTATGGGGACATTTCCTTAAGTCCAGTATCTCTAGAGTTGAGTGAGGGAAGCTAAAAGAGAGGAAATAGAAATGAAAAATGGGAGTTCTTGAGAGGCTTTACTTACCCTGCACAAGCCAAGGACAGGTCTGCGGGAAGTAAGCAGATGCACAGTTAGGAAAGCCCATATCAGGAGTTAGTCACGACAGAGAAAGATTTGTACACTTTGGAAATCGTAAAAGAATGAAAAGCCCAGGTCCTTATTTCCCTGTTTTCGTCTCTGTTTTTCACGTTCCTCCCGGATTTCAATTTCTTTCTGGAATCTTAGCTCTCTTCGTCATCTGCTCTTGCAGGAACACTGAACTGCAAACGCAACCCTACGATTCAGCGAACTACGTCCTATCAAGGTTACTGGGTACAAATACATTTACTTTCGTGAGTTCTCTTGTGACTTTCTGTATCACTGCCCACAGTTGCTACTGTGAGACAAGCATTAGAAGTCTGTGTAGATTGCTGGGTTCACACACATTTACATTCTTTTTCTCTTGTGAGCTTTGACGTGGCTACACATAATTGTTACTGTGAAATAAACATTAGAAAAGCCTGTGGCCCGTGAAATAAACATTAGAAAAGCCTGTGGCCCGTACGGGGATCGAACCCGCGACCTTGGCGTTATTAGCACCACGCTCTGACCAACTGAGCTAACCGGCCCCGCCGGCGGAACGGACCCTACCTCTCTTGAGAAGTTTAAAGGCGAACGTTATTCCAATCACCAAAGAAACTTTTCTGAAGTTCTTGGAGTTGGAAAGAACCTACGATCTTTGCTAACTTGGTTACGATCCTCGGCAAATTTCTTCTAACCTGGAAATTTCAGTTAAAATACAATTCTGCGGAAGGAAAGTTCAAATGTCACCTGCTTCAGTGTTTCACGACAAAGGGTTTCAGTGACCACCCTTTTAAACGCAACGCCATCACCGTCCGCCGGTACTGTGGCCTGTCCCTATCACTCCTTTCTACTTTGCTTCCGTAGCTTCTGAGCGACCCGTGAAGAAATTGACGGAAAACGGAAGGAATTGCCGCCAGTTCCTTTCCACGGGCCGTCAAGGCCAGTATAAGTCCCCACCCAGGCTCCTCTGCTCGTAACTTCTAGCACGATTCCCACTGAATTCGCCCATGTTTCCCAGAAGTGAGTATTTGATCCCTACCCCACCCCATTTTTAGAAAACTCAGGAAAACGCTCTCGTATTTCTATCTGAAAAGGACACTTTAGAGAAATACGTTCCATTACAGTCTTTGTGTTCGCATTGTATTCCTTCTCGATGAAACAGGTATAAGTCCATTGGTATTTTACGCACGACAAGACAACTTTGCAGCCCGACTCATGACCTTTAGATTAAGAAACACTCTCCGGGAGCTCTGCTGATCGCTGGGTCTTACGAGGTTGATGCCTTCTGTCCCAAAGAGAACTATTTCCCTGCGTGTTTCCGCCTGGCTGCCCACTTCTCCAGTAGAGAAACAGCTGTTCCTCGGGATTCATTTTTGGAAGTTCTTTGGGTCCTGGGTAATGGGGCCGCATCCTGCAGCGTCGACAAGGTGGTTGAATACGCAGGAACACCCACAGTACCCAGGGACTAATAAATAGCTCAATAGATACATTTCGAATAACTGAATAAAGGAAATCTCAACCAACCCCCTTGCCGTATTACAGGTGGTCCAGCTCTCTGCCTAGACTATTGTGCTAATGTCCTGTTCCTTCTCCCGGCTTTTGAACTAGATTCTCACCTCTCTCCAATCCATCTTTCGCAGGGCTGGCCTGTCTTTCCGCCTCACTTCTGAAATTCTATCCATTGCAGCCTCTATGCAAACCGACTCTGGTTAATACTTCAGTCGGTATGGCTCCCCTCTTCCGCACTTTGCACTGCGAGAAATGCCCTTCCTTGAGGCAGCTGGAGGCCTCCTCCTCCTGAGAGCTTAATTGTGGACACAGTCTTGAGTAGAGGCGAAAAGGAAAGAAGGCTGGGAGATAATGGGGGAAAAGCACACCTTTGGTCTGGTTTGAAAGCTGGCGCCCGAAAAGGGGAGCGAAAGGACAAGAAAAAAAAACACGCTCCGAAAGTGTCTGAGATTGCTGCGGCCATAAAGCAGAGCACTAACCGCGGTACTGATAAGGGAGGGGAGCAGGGCTCCGCCGCCGGGCCTGTGCCCATGGATCTAGGTGAGGACGGGCACTCCTTCCTCCGCGGCCAAATGTTGCATTTCCCAAGACCACCCTGGCCCGCCACGCCCCCATCCTGTGCCTATAAAAACTCCCGAGACCCTAGCGGGCACGGACACAAGCGGCTGGACGTGAAGAGGAACACACCGGCGGGAGAACACAGAACACCCACCCTCTCTTTAGTCACCCTGGAGGCCTCGGAGAAGGCGGTTTCGGTGATCCGTGAAGAGACCCCGAGTCTGTTACATCCCGGAGAATGACAAGAGAGCGAGTACCTGGGTGACGTTTACGTTCTGGGATTTCGGGAGATGCGGTTTTCTGCACGCCAGGGGCCAAGCCTGAGACGTAGATGGACGGCAGGGATAGGAGCTCTCTCCGCGCCACAAACGCCCCTGCTCATACCTGGGTTCCTTGATTTTCCTGCCTATATAACCGAGCCTCCCATGGCCGGGCTCTGAGCTCTCATTCTGCGGACTGGGACAAAGGGGTTAACTGTGATGAGCTTTGTATAACCCCAGGATTCTGCACTTGCCCAAGGGCGAGGCGCAAATCAAAAACTACGCACAACTGAACACCGAGATCAGGTGAGTCCTGAGTGTCTCACGACATAAAATCCTTACGATTTTAACAAGAGTTGTATTTGTGCTAGCACTGTTAACTGACAAACGCATGCCAGATCCCATCTGTCTTTAAAGCTCAATGTGTGACGTTAGACACGTCGTTTTGCTCTTCAACTTTCTTATTTGGAAAAAAAAAAAAAAAACAAAAAAAAACAAGTGTTCTAGATTTGCAGAGGACCTTTTCGGAGCTAAGTTCCAGTAGCTATACTGTAAGTTGATTTCTTGGGCAGTTCTGTTGGTGAGGAAAGAGGGCAAATTGAGAAATGAACAAACACAGAAGTTGCAAAAGCCCTGTGACTTACAGCACAGGACGAGTCTACAAACCCTGCCATACCACACTAAGCTCAAATTGTTTTAACACCAGCTTACTCAGACCCGATGATCCAAGATAAGACCAAAGCCAAACGGATCCAGCAACTCTGCGCAGATCTTCATGTTCCAGCAGCTAAGTTCCACTGAATAAACCTATGATTCGCCTAGTTTAGAAATTCTGGCCGTGCGCGGTGGCTCACGTCTGTAATCCCAGCACTTTCGGAGGCCGAGGCGGGCGGATCACAAGGTCAGGAGACCGAGACCATCCTGGCTAACACGGTGAAACTCCGTCTCTACTAAAGATACAAAAAAAATTAGCCGGGCGTGGTGGCGGGCGCCTGTAGTCCCAGCTACTCGGGAGGCTGAGGCAGGAGAATGGCGTGAACTCGGGAGGCGGAGCTTGCAGTGAGCCGAGATCGCGCCACTGCACTCTAGCCGGGACGACAGAGCAAGACTCCGTCTCAAAAAAAAAAAAAAAAAAAAAAAAAGAAAAGAAAAGAAAAGAAAAGAAAAAGAAAAAGAAATTCTGTCCAGTCCCTCCTGAGAAGGACCTTACTAACCTTCCCCCTAAAAGTGTCCTATGAATAGCTCCAGTCCCCAGACCCTTTAAATTCTGGTCTCTGACTCACCCTTGTTTTAGGCAGTACTGGGACTCCATAGAGGTACGGCTCTTTGCTCAGCAAGTTTAATAAATCCAAGGTAGTAGAATCAATTTGTTTTCTTGGTCGTCTTGTTTGGAGGGAGTGGGTCTTCTCAATGTTGGTTCTGATCCCTGCCTATGGATATTTATGAATAAATAGATATTTGCACTCCATCATCATGTGGAGCTACAAGTGTTAAATTTAACGATCTAATTACCTCTAAAATAACCACTAAATTCAACAATCTGAAACTTATCTAATTAGTTCCACATCCTGGAATGAAGGGATTTAATAGGTAATAACAGGTCTCAGTCTCTAATGGAGACATAATCACACAGACACCAGATGAAAGATGAGTAAAGTGGAAAGCAATAGGTAGAACAATAATTTGCTTTATGCTATGATTTTTGGAGCGAAGCAAGAAAATTAATCAAGGAAACAAAGAAGAAATCCAAGACTTAGTAGTGTTGGATTTGCATTTTTGTCATATGACACTACTTGTATTTTACAGGATTCACTTGGTCTCCATCTGACCTCCTCAGAGTAGACTGCTCTTTCCCAATCACTCCTGCAATTACCCTAGGAGATGTGTGATCCTAAAGTAAGGGGGAGTTTTAAATTTACTTCTAAGTACACCTGCATGATGCCATTAGTCAGGGCAGGGTAGCTGAACAAACTCAGCTCTGAATCCTTTAAGCAGAGGTAATAATTGCTGACACTATTTAATCGGATTCTGAACATGATGTGCCACTTTTCCTTTTGCGTCTGAAGTGACACCAGCCATTTTCACAGTTTCTTCCACTAGGAGGTCCTGGGAGAAAAGTGATAAAGGTAGATTCAAGAATGGTTAGTTTGATAAGAGAAATATAAAGGCAAGTATCTTTTTCACTCAGTTCACCTTGGTTCTAAGAGTGGGTCTATATAAAGAAATGGAGCATGCTTCTGCTAATTAATGTTCAGGCAGAAAAAGTCATGAATTCCACTACAAACCCATGTCCCTTCTTCCGAAGACATGACAAATTGATGAGGGTATGCTTTCTTCTGTCGGTAAAACGAAGTCTGGGATATAGATTGCAATATTAGCAGTGCCATAGTGCAGAATTTCTCATAATTAACACTTTTCACTTGAATACATAAGAAAATAGAATTGGAATGTAAAGTTAATAAATTAATCATGTTATAAACAATATGAACATAAAAGCAAAAATTGCAAGGTCTTTGGCATGCAGTCTTTGATTTGGGGAATGCATTTTTTCTATTGTTATCAGGAAGAAAGAACAGAAACAGTTCATATTCACATGGACTAGACAAAAGTATGCATTTATGTTCTTACTCCAGAGGTATATCAAGTCCCCCAATTTTTCCTAATCTAGTCCAAAGAGAATTGAACTGTCTGCACCAACAGCAAAACATTGGTACACTGTATTGATAGTATCATTTAAATCTTCGATGAGCAAGAAGTGTCAAGTAAGTTGCAGATTTTGTTAAGCCCTGCATGCTCCAGAGGGTGGGAGAGAAACACAGAAACCATTCATCGACCTGGTTCGTGAATGAAAGTTTTTAGGATCTGTGAAATTCTGAGACATTTCCTCCAAAGTAAAGTCTCATTGTTGTATCTCGAAGCTCCCGTCACTTAGAAGGGAGCACTGTGCTCACCATGTTTCTCTGAGCTGTGAAAGCGGCGCGTTCCACACTTGGAGACCCTTCTCTGACACATTTACCAACAGATACTGAATTAAAATATTAACAAATTGAATCCAGCATTATCTGTAAAGCATAATGCACCATGAGTTAGGGGAGATTGCCTCGGGAATAAAAAATTAGTTAGGCATTGAAAAGTCAATTAAATGTAATATACCACATTAACAAAACAAAAAATACATGTAATCATCTCACTAGATGCAGAAGAAATATTGGACCAAATTTGCCATTCATTCGTGGTGTTTAAAAAATATCCCAGTAAGCTAAGAATAGAAGGAAAATTCCTCAGATGAATAATGGGCGTTTAAGAAAGTCCTACAACTAGCAATAGAGTTAATAGTGGAAGAATAAATATGTACCCTTTAATATTGGAGAAAAGTGCAAAATATCTGTCCTTACTACTTCTACATTTTACTGAAAGTCCTAGCTAGTGTCAGAAAGTAAGGAACGCATGAATGAAGAATAAATGGCATACTCACTTTAGAATAAGAAAAATATATTCGTTTGCAAGCAACATGATCAGATACACAAAAAATCCTAGTGTATCCACAAAAATAAGCATTATAAGTAAATGCAGCTATGTCACAGATTACAGTATACAAAAATTAATTGTATTTCTATGTACTAGCATCAAAAAAATGGAAAATTAAATTACCACTTTCAATAGGTTTAAAACAAATGAAATATTTAGAGATAAACTTGTCAGTGTGCACAGGACTTGTACCTAGGAATCTACAAAAGATGGCTGAGAAAAACTCAGGAAAGCTTGACTAATTGGTGTTGTTTGACATATTTACAGATTGAAAAAGGTAATATTATTAAG